>NC_000014.9:99611713-99914713 GCF_000001405.40 Homo sapiens
CACCATGCCCAGCCTAGTTTTTGGGTTGTTTTTTTTTTTTCCTATAAGCAATGCCCTGTGGACCTTCTTATACGCGTGTCCCAACGCACATGAGTATGAACTTTGCTCACATCTATACCAAGACAGAGAATGTCAGGGTCACACAGTACACACAGGTTGGCTAGACAGTGCCAAAGTGCTTTCCAAAGAGCTGGGGCTAATTCTTACTCCTGCCAGAAGGATATGGGATGTGCCTTGCCCATCCTCGGTGATGTCTAGGGTTGTCACTCTGGTGGGCAAAGATGCTTGTACTTTCTTTAACCTGCTTTGTCTTTCTTGAGGCTCTGTATTAATTTATTCTCACCTGCTATGAAGAAATACCCAACACTGGGTAATTTACAAAGGAAAGAGGCTTGATTGACTCACAGTTCCGCGTGGCCAGGGAAGCCTCAGGAAACTTACCAATCACGGTGGCAGGAGAGAGAATGAGAGCCGAGCGATGGGGAGAGCCCCTTAGAAAACCATCAGGTCTTGTGAGAACTCACTGACGATGAGAGAAACTGCCCTTATGATTCAACTATCTCCACCTGGTCCCGCCCTTGACACGTGGGGATTATTACAATTCAAGGTGAGATGTGGGTGGGGACACAGAGCCAAGGCTTATCGGGCTCTCAGAGCACAAGAGAAGCCCAGGCCAAATTTCATACTGGAGGTGCCCCATGTATTGGGAATAAAACCCAGAAGAAGAAGAGGAAACAGCAGAGCAGGTTTACTCACTTGGGATTTAATTGAAGTGTTTGTATTAATCAAATTGATGCTTTCACAGGTACACAAATACAATGTAACATGATTTATGCTACTTATAATTACGGGGTTTACATCAAGTGACAGATTCCAGGCCCCAGACACATGGTCTTTCTTTGAGCCCAGCTGTGCACTTCTGTAACTGTTGCACCACTGTGCTGGGAGTGGTGAGGCCCAGGCCCACCCGTGATATGGGGGTGTTTCTGTCTCCTCCCCAGTGGTGCCCTCCTGGAGGATTAAGCTTCATTTTTCTCTGGGACTCTCAGTGCCTGGCCCCCGGGTTGCCCTGGGGGAGTCTGCAGCTGCACCCTCTGGGTCAGGTACCTCCAGCCCCCACAGCCTCTGGACGGCTCACGTCCCAGGCCTTGGGTGCTGCCCTAGGCCTGAGGTCTACAACCTCACAAAGCCGCCCCACCTGGCCCTACCCTGCCCTGACCACTGCAGAGATCTGAGACCAATCTCCTCCAGTGCCTGAATATTTCATGCAGTGAGGGTGGAATGAAAGTCGCAAAGACCTTAATTGTTAATGTGGCTTCTGCTGGCTGCAGGCCCAGCCCTCCCAGCCCCCTCCTGTTTGATACAACAACAGCAGTAACAGTAATTCCTCCTGCACCCCAGGCCTTGTCGTGACCTGCCCTGGGCGAGGCTGGCCTGAAATGAAGTTGTCTGAGGAGCCCCAGCTGGCCAGAGAGAAGTGGTGACTCAAGTAACTATAACAACGAGACCAGGAGGCCCACTGTTCCCCAGTGACAAACTTCTTTTTGTTTTTTAGTTTTTTTTTTTAATAAGCCTTATAATTTTATTTTTGAAACTCCATACATGTGGTTTTTTTTAATTAATTTTTTTTTAGACAGAGTCTCACTCTGTCACCCAGGCTGGAGTGCAGTGGTGCCATCTCGGCTCACCACAGCCTCGACCTCCTGGGCTCAAGCAATTCTCACACCTCGACCTCCTGAATATCTGAGACTACAGGTGCATACCCACATCCCGCTAGTTTTTATACTGTTTGTAGAGGCTGGTCTGGAACTCCTGGGCTCAAGTGATCTGCCACCTCAGCCTACCCAAGTGCTGGAATTATAGGTGTGAGCCACGTTGCCAGGCCTGAATGTGTTTTTAAATTTAAAGTTCCAGGCCGGGCACAGTGGCTCATGCCTGTAATCCCAGCACTTTGGGAGGCCGAGGTGGGCAGATCACTTGAGGTGAGGAGTTCGAGACCAGCCTGGCCAACATGGTAAAATCCCATCTCTACTAAAAATACAAAAAAATTAGCCGGGCGCAGTGGTGCACACCTGTAATCCCAGCTACTCAGGATGCTGAGGCAGGAGAATCACTTGAACCCAGGAGTGGGAGGTTGCAGTGAGCCGAGATCATGCCGTTGCACTACAGCCTGGGCGACAGAGTGAGATTCCATCTCAAAAATAAATAAATAAAATAAAAATAAAATTCCTAGCATAGAGCCTGGGAACTCAGTAAATGTTTGTTGAATGAATGAATGATAAAGAAGGAAGCTGAGTTAAGTTGAAAAACCCTGGATGTAAAATCTGTGTCTCTGGCCTGACCCTTACCAGCAAGGTGGCCTTAGGCAAAGCTGCACTCCCTCTCTGAGCCTCTGGATCAGGACCGGAAAATAGGACCATTTCATCCTCCTTGTAGGATGAGGAGATAGTCAAGTGACAAGAAAAGGAGGCGTGAACCCCAGGCCACACGGTGAGGCGGGAGGGGATGCTCTCCTCGAGAAAGGGCTGAGTCCTGTGGGTGCCCCGGAGCCCAGAGTCTTCCTGAGCGTCTGAAAACTGAACTGAAGAGCCAAGCCTTCTCTCAAGAGTAGCTCGCCCAGCTCAGCCCCAACACCAGGCCACAGAACTCTGCAATGAGGAAGCTCCATCTCAGCACCCTGAACTCACAGAGCCCCTGTGAGCAAATCAGAGCCCAAGAGGCAGCTAGCTGGTCAGGCTCTCGGAGCAAGGGCAGCAGGTCAGCCCTTGGGCTCTCAGCCCCAGCCACCCTTAGAATCACCGGAAAGCATGTGAAATGCAGATGCTCAGGTCCCACCCCAGACCAAGTCCATCAGAATCTTGGGAGACAGTGATTTAGCAGCCAGATCTGCTCTGAGCTACATGAGGCACTTGTTTGTTGGCATCAGGCTGAGCTAGGAGACACTCCCATTGCTGTGGGGTACACCCCTCCCCAAGCATCTGACCTTAGAGATCTTTCTCTAACGTTATCCAGATTCCCCAAATAATCCTCAAATGTGCTACTTCGAATGCATACACCTAGTGACGCTGGAGGGGACGAGGGTTTCCGGAGGCCAGGATAGCGTTCACTTAATGCCCTGATTTTTTTGTCCCGTATCTAATGGGATAAAATGAAAGGAAAGAAAGTAATAAAGATATAAAATCAAAAAATTATCTGGGACTCATGGACACAAGTCTCTCCATAAAAAGGGCCAGAAGAGAAGTGGAAAATAGACCATACTGGGCACATTATTGTAAAACTTCACAACACCAGGGTTGAGAAAATCCTCAAACCATGGTGCGTAGAGTGCGGAGAAAAGGAATCAGAATGATGTTGACATTCTCAACAGCAAGTCCAAAAACTAGAAGGTCATGAAGCGATGTCTCAGCATCCTGAAGGAAAACTATTTTAGTACCAATGCAGTCCAGGGGGAGGGCAGAGTGAGACATTTTCCAATTAAAAAAAAATAGAAAAATTATTTCCCAGACATCCTTTCTCTAAAATTAGGAATTAAACCAAGAAATAAGACATGAAGCCCAGGCACAGTGGCTCACGCCTGTAATCCCAGCACTTTAGGAGCCCAGCCTCCCAGATTGCTTGAGCCCAGGAGTTCAAGACCAGCCTGGGCAACATGAGGAAACCCTATCTCTACAAAAAATTCAAAAATATGGGCTTGGTGGTGCATGCCTGTGCTCCCAGCTACTCAGGAGGCTGAGGTGAGAGGGTTACTAGAGCCCGGGAGGTTGAAACTGCAATGAGCTGTGATTGTGCCACTGCACTCCAGCTTGGGTGGCAGAGTGAGACTCTGTGTCAGAAAGAAAAGAAAAGAAAGGAAGGCAGTTAAAAGAAAAGAAGAAAGAAAGAGAGAGAGAGGAAAGGAAGGAAGAAAGAAAGGAAGAAAGAGAAAGAAAGGAAGAGAGAGAGAGAAAGAAAGAAAAAGAAAGAAGGAAGGAAAGAAAGAAAGAGAAAGAAAGAAAGAAGGAAAGAAAGAGAAAGAAAGAAAGAAAAAAAGACATGAGATTCAGACAACAGAGAAAGGAAGGTCCAGGGTGAGGGCTTTGCAGACAGAAGCAATCAGCGCAGATTTGAAAAGGAGGCTCCCGGAGGAACTGCCCAAGCTCACGGATTCCCTTGGTAGGAGTGCTTGGCTGTTTGGAGAGGAATATTAGAGCTCTGTCGGAGTTTGGTGAAAAGCCCAGAAAAAACCAAGCAAGTCAAAACAAGGAGGCAATTATTAATCCCCAGGGAAACCCAGAAGTTGTACAAGGAAGGAAATCCAATCAGGCCATACCATGGCTCAGCTGGCCATAATGTTTATATAGAGTCACGTGCTGCTCCATCACATTTTAGTCGGGGTCACATACACCACGGTGGGCCTGTCAGATAATATTGTGTTCTTACTGTACCTTTTCTATGTTTAGACACACAAATTCTTGCCATTGTGTTACAGTTCCTACGATATTCAGTACAGGTACATGCTGTACAGATTTGTGAGCCTAGCAGCAATAGGCTAGACCATCTGGCCTGGGTGTGCAGTGGGCTATCCCATCTAGCATTGTATGCTCCATGACAATGATGACAGCAACTAATGACACATTTCCCAGATCATATCCTCGTCATTAAGTGACACGTGACTGTAGCATAATATGTAAACAATACTAATTTAATCAAAAATTATGGTGTAGCATTATTGGGAGGATAGGGGAGGGGATTGGCCTGTGTGGGGAAGGGTAGGGACGTAAGTGGCCCGAAGCCTCCTCATCCGTAAGAGAAAGGCAAGCGAGAGTGTCTCAAGCTGGAGAGTCAATAAAGAACAGTACAAGTGTGTTGTTTCCAAATATAGAGAAAAGTTGCAGAATCAAATATAGAGAAAAGTTGCCTCTGGGAAGTAGGAATTGGGTGGAGAGAGATAAGGCAGGGACTTTTTTGGTTTTTTTAAAAAATAAGCCTTATAGTTTTATGTTTGAAACTCTGTGCATGTGTTTTTAAATTAAAATAATAAAATAAGCCTATTATTGGACCTCTCCTTGCGACAATGGAAGCTAGAGGACCACAGAATGATCAATTGCCTTTAAAATCTGGGGGAAAAGGATTTCCTGCCTGGATTTTATGCCCACAGGAAGGATCAGCCTTGTAAACCTTGCAAAAATGCAAGGCCTCAAAATAAAATTTAAGTTTAAATAGAATATAACGACTGTGCACCTTCTAGGAAGCTTTGGTTGCACATGCTCTCATAGGAGCTGAGAACAACCAGGGAGTGTGCGATCACCCAGGAAGGAGGATCCTTCCTGGGGGGCCGAGAAGTGGCCCCAGAGCAGAAGCTGGGGAGCTTAGGGCACAACGGAGTAGATTACAGACTGTCAGAGCATTTGACAACACTAGCACTAGGTTTAGAGTAGATCAGATGAAAAATTAAGAAGAGACACATAATACCTTGCAAGTTACAAATAAATGCATTCACTCCATGGCACACACAAACAAAACTGTACAAGAAACCGTCATTGACCATTTCCTGACTTTCACGGAATAACATTTACGCGATCATCGTCATAAAACCCTTGACCAGCTGTTAACTAAGAAACGCATAAATCCCTCTAAAGAGGCTGAGGGAGGGGAGGCGGGAGTGGGAGGGTTTCAGAGAGCTGAAGCCTCATCTGTCACCATGAGAAAGCAACAGAAATGTCTAGAATTGAAAAATCAAGAAATAGCAACGTAAACATCTTATGAGAAATGTGGAGACTGCAAAGCCAGAAAGAACAACTAAATGTGGAAACTGGTTGCTCTGGGGAGTGGGGAAAGGGAGGGGAATCGGGGAACCATCTCATTTCCTTGCAAGCATTTTAGTGTTACATGATTGCTTTTACCCTAAGAGCATGCATTGTTTTATTTAAATATCAACATAATTTATTTAAATAGTGATAAAACCTAGCTCTGGGCTGTGGTGCATGAAACAAGTAAGGAGGGCGAGAAATATTCCCTGATGGAAGCCCCCAGACCAGACCATCACCAGCAACACGCCAAGCCCGGGCCTGCCTGCTGGAGAAGGAAGCCTGGTCAGGCCCTCAGTTTCCCCATTCATTTCCAGTTTGCAAAGCACTCTCTGGGCTGTTTCCTCCTCCCATCCTCCCAACAAGCCTGCAAGGTGGGCAGGGATGACTGTGCCCATTTTACTTGCAGAAGCTGGGGCTCGGGTATATGTTTGGGGGTCTGTAGCAGATTTCTCCCATGGCAGATGTGCCAGTGAAGGCAGGCAGAGGACGTGACCAAGAGCAAGGGACAGGCAGTCCCAGCTGGAATTTCAGAGCAGGGAGGCACCTTGCCTGGTCCAGGGGCTCCCAGCAGGGTGGCTACAAACCCTTCCCTTGACTGTACCATCTGTTCTTAGTCACACATCTTGCCCTCAGTGTCTGTCAGAGGGAGTCCTTCACCAAGCAGGTGGGGGTTGCCCTAGAGAGGGGACACCGCTAGCTACCAAAGAGGAAGGGCTGGCACCAACTGGGGCTGCACAAGACTTGGCATCCTGGGAATCCCAGAGCTTTGTCCTGGAAGCCTATGGGAGAGCTGGTCTGGGAAGTGGCCAGGCTGCCTGGCGGACCCATGGAAGGTCCACCCAGGCCTGAGGAACACTGGACTGGTCCGATCCTAGAGAACACTTGGAGATACTGAGCCCCATTAGGAGGGACTCGCCCAAGGAGTGAAATGTCCAGCTCCCCACTGGGCTCCACACTGAGGGCTTCTCTTCGCCTCATGGTTGCCAGGCCTGGCAGGGACATGAGCTTCAGCTTCCAAGTCCCGCTTGTAGCCTGATGTCCCTAAAGTCTACCTCTCCAGCCCTGAACTGTGCGTACAGCCACTGCCTGAGGTCCGCTCTGGGCTCACCCACCCAGCTGAAAACCTAGCGGCATTGGCAGGGCCTCTGCCTGGCTTTTCCTTCTCTCTCAAAGATTCTCTGGAACTCAGCTCAGCTGCTTCCTTCAGGTGCCTCCTCTCCATGGGGCCCCTCCCAATGCCTAGGCCGGTGTGGGCACAGAGCAGGGGCTCAGACACCCCAGGAACACTGCTGGCTTTCAGGGACCCAGGTAGGAAAGGAATGCGAGGGGTGCACATCTGGTGTATGGGGTTGGCCATGTGCACCTTGGAGCTAACTCCTCTCTACAGAGCCCAGAGCAGGGCCTGGCCGGGCAGGAGGAGCATGGAGAAGCCCTGCAGAAACATCGTGCCAGGCCTGGGCACAGCTCTGGGCACTGGGATGTACTCAAAGCAGCCTGTGTAGCCTGGGGACTGGGGAGGGTGAGAGGGAGACAGGAGCTGTGTAATTTGTAATTGGTGGCAGTGCCTCACCGAGCCTCACCATGATCTCACTATCCCTCCCGACACCCCGTGTACTGGCCCTGGTGCTGGGTCCATTTTACAGATGCCGCAACTAAGACTTAGAGTTGGCCGGGCACGGTGGCTCACACCTGTAATCCCAGCTTGGGATCCTCAGCTTGGGAGGCTGAGGCAGGCAGATCACGAGGTCAGGAGTTCGAAACCAGCCTGGCCAACATAGTGAAACCTCGTCTCTACTAAAAATACAAAAAATTAGCCAGGTGTGGTGGCGGGCACCTGTAATCCCAGCTACTTGGGAGGCTGAGGCAGGAGAATTGCTTGAACCCGGGAGGCAGAGGTTGCAGTGGGCCGAGATCGCACTGTTGCACTCTAGCCGGGGTGACAGTGCAAGACTCCATCTCAAAAAAAAAAAAAAAAGACTTAGAGTTTCAATAAATGCATCCTTGAAGCTGCAATGTAAGCAGGGGTTCTCACACCTGCGTGATGATAAGACTCAGTGGGATACTTGCTTGCCCAGGGTCCCCTACCTAGAGATGGAAGTCACCACCTCTGAGTTCTGGAACATGTCTGTTTGCCAGTGTCAGAGTAGGGATCAGGCTGGGATGTCAAAGTTCAGGAAGCCTAGAGTGCTAAGCCAGGACCTCCAAGCCCCCCCGCCCCCCATCCTCCCCATTTGCCCTATGTCACAGCCAGGTGATATTTAGCCCAGCCGTGGTGCGTGGCTGTTCCCGCTGCTGAGCGCCAGTTCTGTTATACAGAACTCCTATGGGGACGTGTTTGTGCACAGCTTTGCTTTCCTGTTGGATTGTTTCCTTGGGGTAAGTTCCCAGAAGTGGGATTCCTGAGTGGAAGGAGGGATATTTTCCCACCCCCAATCCACATCCTTAGCAGAGGCTGGCCCCAGGATGAGGATCCGGCCTTTCTCCGGCTTCAAGGAGGGGCAGCCAGCAATCCCCGCCTGGCACTTCCGGAGGAAAATGACAGACCTTTTCCTTTCCTGTAAGAGCTAATTACCAGCTGGATGATGCGTTCACGGCTGTCAGGGCAATGAGGGCCCAGGTGACTCAATGCCATCTTTCTTGGACCCTCCTGGATTGCTCAGCCAGCCGGTGATGGATTTTTCTCTGTGGAGGTCACAGGAAACAAGAAAAGAGTCCCTCAGCTCCCCAGGGAGTCAGGTCTGTCAGCAGCTTTGGGAGAGGGCAGAAAGGAGGCCTTGAAATCCACTGGGCAGATAATCCCTCTGCCCTTCCAGACAACGAAGGGCTTCTGGCCCCTGGCCTCTCCAACCTGCTGGACAGGAATGGCTGGCTGAGGGTCCAGGAGCCCCTGCCCTGACCTGGGCTTCTTGCAGGGAGTGCCCTCCCCCTTTTTCTCGCTCCCCATCCCAGCATCCCTACATCCAGGTCAGGGTCCCTGGCTGGATCCAGCCTCTGAGGGGCACGAGAAGAGGGGTGTCCAGGCTCCTCCTTAAGGAAGCCCCTTCCTCCCCGCAGGGGGGCTAAGGGCAGACATCAGCCCCTCCCAGCTGTCACCACTCAGGTGGGGGGCGGGTCAGGAGCAGTGAGGGAAAGGGGGACAGGGGCCACTGTGGGAAAGTCACTTGTGGGCAGTGGCCTACCAGCTTTCCACAGGAAGGAGGGGTCTTGGCTTCCCAGGGCTCTGGCTGGCTGCCTGAGCCTAAGGGCCACTCTCCCTCTGCCTGCAGAACGTAGGGGGGCCAGGCCTCTGGGCAGGGCCCATCTCTGGAGCACTCTAGCCCATTTCCCTCTGGGGACACCCTCTGAAGGAGCAGCAGGAGTCAGACCTGGAGGCCGGCCCCGCCACTGCCACCAGCTCACTTCCCCATGAGAGTGCGGATTCTCTGAAGGCAACACTCGGGTCTGCCCTGTCCCAGGCTCAAGGTAGTGAGTTCCCTGTCCCTAGAGGTGAACAAGCTAAGAGAGCATGGCCATCTCACAGAGGTATAGAGGAAGTGCTTGCTGTGAGCACCCACCCTAGGTCACCACCTGACCACGACTTGCCCTGCTCTTTATGTTATGCCCACTTTTTTTTTGAAACAGGGTCTTTTTCTGTCACCCAGACTGGAGTGCAGTGGTGCAATCTCAGCTCACTGTAATCTCAACCTCCCTGGCTCAAACCAACCTCCCACCTCAGCCTCTCAAGTAGCTGGGGCTACAGGCAGGTACCACCATGCCTGGCTAATTTTTGTATTTTTTTGTAGAGATGGGGTCTCACCATGTTGCCCAGGCTAGTCTCAAACTCCTGGGCTCAAGCGATAGTTCATCGCAGGCACAGAAGGCCGCCCTCTGTCCTTACCACCCCACCGCTGCTATTCAGCTGGCGAAGGCCCTCTCTGATCTTGAGGCAGCTGGGATGCCTGTTCCTGGGTGGGACTGGGGGATTTTATGTGGGTTACACCAACCCCAGCTATTGTGAGTGGGCACAGGAGCCTCACAGGCACTGGTGGGTTAGCCCCATCCTGGTGCAGGGGCACTGGCTGACTCCTCCCAAGGATTCTCCCAGGTCAGGACACCCATCCAGGACCCACTGATCACAGATGTTTTTAGAGAACTTCCTGTGGGCAGGCCCAGCAAACAGATCTCTCCATCTCAACCTCAGAGGATTCCCTTTTTTTCTTTTCTTTTCTTTTTTTTTTTTTTTTTTTTTTTTGAGACACAGTCTTGCTCTGTTGCCCAGGCTGGAGTGCAGTGATGCGATCTTGGCTCACTGCAACCTCTACCTCCCAGGTTCAAGCGATTCTCCTGCCTCAGCCTCCCAAGTAGCTGGGACCACAGGTACGTGCCACCATGCCCGGCTAATTTTTTGTATTTTTAGCAGAGACTGGGTTTCACCGTGTTGGCCAGGATAGTCTCGATCTCCTGACCTCGTGATCCGCCCACCTTGGCCTCCCAAAGTGCTGGGATTACAGGCATAAGCCACCGCGCCTGGCCAAAGATTCACTTTTTAAACACAATTCAGGAGGCGGGGGAAAAAGGACCTTGCCATCAACTTGTCAGTTTGTGCAATTGACCTTTTGCTCCTGAAAGCAGGCTATTCTTGTTCTCCCTGTTCAATTCCCTTCTGTTGGTTTCAGTCTCTGGTTCCACCTTCTGAGGTTTCTGGAAATGTGATGTTCTCATGGGACATTGCCTTTGGCACATCTGATAAGCTCTAATGGCTCCATCCAGACTCGATTGAAACAGGTAGGGATGAAGGCAGAGATCTGTGGCCCATCCTTAGAGACCCTCTAACTCTAGATTGCACTGATTTACAGAGTGTCACCCCTGGGGTGCTCTGTCCAGAGAGTCGTGGCCTCCCCTCATTGCCCTGCTCTCCAGCCCACAATTTCCATCCTGCCCAAATGACAGCATGAAGAGCTTGCTCCCCGACAACTGTCATCTGTCACATGGCTGTGTGACACGGTGCTCTCTCTGGCACCGACGCCCTGTCCTTCTTCCTCACCTGAGTGACTTATGCCAGGACATAGCTTTATGAAATTTTTTCCCATGCTCCCCCCAACCTGTCTGGCTCCCACCAAACCCCAGGGTCCCCAGCTATGGTAGCAACATACTGTGCTGGCCGTGTCTGCCTACCTGCTTGGCCACCTTTCCACCAGGGGGGTCCTGAGTTCCCAAAAACCCAGCCCAGGGTGGAGCCCCTGCAGAGGCAGCACTGTGCTGTTGAAAGAGCCCAGGCCTGGGATTGGCCAGGCTTGGGCAAATGGTTAAACTTCTCTGAGCCTCACTTTCCTCGTCTGTAAAATGGGATGGTCACCACATTAAAGGGTGCTAGTGAGGATCACAGGCCAAGAGCATAAAGCACTCAGCATGCTGTGGACTGAACGAATGAGCTTCCATCCCTGTCATCAATTTCAGAGCCTACCTGGGAGTTAAGACAGAGACAGTGCAAAGTGCCATGAACAAGACCCATGTGCTATGGAACTGCCAGGAAGGGCAGCAATTCTGACTGGGGAGCTGGGAAGGTGTCACTGCAGAGACGCGTGTGCTGAGCCTGAAAGGAGGCTCCCATTCCTGCAGGCAGCAGAGCTGGGGAAGAGCACCCTAGGAGGAAAGCCATGCTCACACGTGCTAAGTTCCCCACAGCCCTGCCAGCTCGGGCTTTTATCCTTTTAATGGTGTGTGTGATTTAATAGGGGTGTAACGGTGCCTGGGAGCTGCCTTAGCAGTTTTGAATGCCTATTACCCTTTAAGGCTGGCTCTGAGAAAACCACAATTCCTTAAGGTATGAGTCCACGGAAATCACTCTCCATTAGCATGAGATTATGAAATGAACTCAGCCCAGGAGAATTCTGGTGAGTTTTGGGAAGTGGTGCAGTTGAGATGACAATAGACACTTTTTCTTTTTTTTAAGGCAGAGTCTTGCTCTGTCCCCCAGGCTGGAGTGCAGTGGTATGATCACAGCTCACTGTAGTAGCCTCAACTTCCTGGGCTGTGGTCCTCCCACCTCAGCCTCCCAAGTAGTTGGGACTGCAAGAGTGCACCACCACGCCTGGCTGATTTTTTTGTTTCTTAAAGAGACAGGATCTTGCTATGTTGCCCAGGCTGGTCTCTAAATCCTGGTCTCAAGCAACCCTCCAGCCTCGGCCTCCCAAAGTGCTGGGATTACAGGTGTGAACCACCACACCTGGTCCTGATAGACACTCTTGAAGGAAGAAGAGGCAGAGGCTCCTGCCTGCAGCAGGCAGTGCCAGACTCCCCTCCCGAGCCTGCTGTACCTGTGATTTGAGGAGCTCAGAGAGCTCTTCCTAGCAGCCCCGCCAGTGCCGGCCCAACAAGCTGCCGAGAATTCCATCATCACTCATCCCCCTTCTAGAGACAAGGGACTCTATTAAAACGTAAATATTTTGTCTAGGAGAGGGAACACTCTGCTTTGTTATTGAAGGAAAAGGAAGATGGAAACTTACTTTACTTGAGTACCTACTATGTGCCAAGCATGAAATGGGCACCTCTCACATTGCCTTTGAGCCCACAAGGCAGCCAGGCCAGACAGGGGAGCTACTCATCCCTTCAGGTGAGAGAATGGAAACTCAGAAGGGCCCGAGGCTTGCCAAGAGCTTGGCAGACCAGGATGGGAACCAGAGCTGACTCTCCACCCTCGCTTCGGCCACAGCACTCAGCCACTTCTCCTCTTCCCTGGCTGTGGCTCCCTGGAGCATGGGATGAGATAAAGCAGAGTTTGGGGGCACTCGGGCCTGGGTTCAGGAGCAGACCTGCTGCCAATCAGCTCTGTGGCCTGAGCAGTCTCATCTCGGGTGTGTCTTCATCTGTGGATGGGTCAGCAGCAGCACTGACCCCACAGGGTTATGGTGGGGACAGAAGGAGCTGTGAAGTCCACGACACAGGACCTGGGCCAGGGCTCAGGAAGGGGCAAGACTGTGTTGTCTTCTTACCAACTCCCATATGGTCGGGCATTTACAGCCCCAGCTCCCAACCTAGGCACACCCCACCTCTTCTCCGACCTTGACAGCAGCAGGAGTGGGATCCAGCTCCCTGTGCCCCACATCTCCATCCTGGGATCTGAGGATCTGAGGCAGAGCAGGCAGCAGCCCAAGCAGTTGGCCTGCCAGTGAGTGTGAGTTTGTTCTTGGGGCCGGGCAGCCTCTGCAGGCCACCAACGCCTTCTGCCTCCTCCCCGCACCACTCCCAGCAACTGTGATTCTCTACTCTCTTTTCCCCAGGAACCTACTTCAGGGAACCATACAGAGGCCAAATTCAGAATCCCTACTTGAACCGCTGACCTTTTGCCCTCTCCAAGGCCGGAAGCAAGCCCTTGCCTGATGCACGCCTCAGTCGCCCCGTCTGTAAAGTGGGCAGCCCATCAAATTCACATCTCCCTGGCTGAGAGTCATCTGGAGAAATAATGACTATGTGACCTAATGAAAATTGCACGGTGCCTGCCGAGCGAGGTGGGTAAGCCACTGGCCCAACGCTGTCATTACAGGAGGTGAAGCAGCGCGTGGGCTGATGACTGGCAAGGGGTGCAGCCGCAGGAACCTTTCATCATGGGTTCCCTTGGGAGGCCAGGTAGGTCAGCTCTGAAAGCACCCGGTGCTGCGGGGCCTGCCTTCCTGTGGCTTCGGCTTGGGCGCCATCCCAAGCCGGGTTGGCCAGAACTCTGCCTGTGCAGCCCCGCCCCCAGGCAAGCAGGAAACAATGCACCTGAGCAACCTCCTCCCATCTGCAGAGGAGGAAGCTAAGGTGTAGGGGGGTCAAGGCACTGGCCTAAGGTCCCACAGCCAAGGGGTGGCTGGGAGGTGCAATCAGGTCTGCCTGGCACAGAGTCTGGTCTCCTGACCACGATGCCAAACTGGTTATTATTGTCACCACAATAGAATACTAATAATAGTTGTCGTAATTATTATTATTGTGGAGGGCTGTTCTCCAGGCAGGCAGGTCTGGGTTGCTGCGTCACTGGGGCCAGGAGGCTGGCTAGTGCCCACAATGAGGCAGGGTCCTGTCCCAAACAGCACTAGGAGAATGCTGGAGATGGGAGGCTGAGCCCATCCTGCAGCCTGGGTCAGCAGCCTGGGGCCTCACCCCCACCCTCCATCCAATGCTGGGTGGCGGGCAGCCTCTCCAATGCCCATCTGCCCTGGAGGGCTCTGGTGATGGATACAGTGGAGATTCGTTGATATGAACATTAAACATTCAACCAGAGGCACTCACTGCTTTAATAAAACACAGCCCCCCATGCCAGCCAAGAACCCTGAGTTTCAAAGGTTCCTGCTCTTGCTGGTTAAAGTCTCCTGCATGGACCCTGGGCCTAGGCTGCCAGAGCCCAAAGCCTGGTGCTTGTGCCCACTCCTCGTGTGACCTTTGGCAAGACTCCCCACAAGTTGTTCTGTTTCCCCATCTGCATAACAGTGCAAAATTCAAAGTCGTTGTGAGGATGAAGTGAGCTAGCCCTGTGTCTGGCCCACATCCACACTAGATGAATGCCTGCATTGCTACCCCGTCAGGTGGGTGCAGCCAGAGGATCGGGCGGCCTGATGCTGGAGGAGTCACCGAGAGATGACTGTAGACTGACTTTGACGCTATGAGAATGGGTGGCCTCTCATGATGTAGTCAACGTGTGGCTGCTGTGGCTGTGACATTCCTGTGACCCCAGCAGGCATCTGCTCTGGGCTGGTGAAACCAGAATGCTTGCTGGCCATGGGGATACAGGTGTGTGTGGGTGTAGCGGGGTGTGTGTGTGTGTGTGTGTGTGTATGCATGTGTGATCCTCGGGGCTCTGAGACTGCAGGGAGCCTGCAAAACATGTTCCCAGCTTCCCTGCTCCCATCAGGATTCCAGCTGGATCTTGTTCTGCTCTGTCCTGCCAGCCCGGACTGTGGGAAAGATGTGGAAACTGCTCCGGACCCATTCCTGGCCTGCAGGACACGGCCCATCCAGCTACCTCCACTCTGGGCTTGGAGGTCAACGCCAAAGCCTGGAGGTCAGGGAGTCCAGTGCCTCTGTCAGCCCCAAGCTGGCCCTGTGAGCTCCCAACAGGATGGGTGCCCAGACTGCAGTTTGCCTGAAAGGGATGGCTCTGTAGACACAGGCCTGAGAAGGGCTGGGGTAATTTCTTTCTGCTCTCTGAGGCAGTATTCTAGGTCCTGGGGATCTGGGCATGGCCAGGATTCCTCTCTCCCTGATGTGTGCCCTGCATACTCTATGCCTAGGTGACACAACACAGGGCTCAGGGTCTAGCAGTGCCCAGCTCAGGTCTTCTGAAAGCTGGGCCTGCAGGCTCCTCTGCGCTCCCCTCTCCTGGCTCCCCGAATCTGTTCCTCCCCCCTCGAAGCATCCCAGCCACCCTGCAGAGCCTGATGCAGGGCTTATCCCTTGGGGAATATTGGGGCAGTGAGGGAGAGAGTAATATGTCACTGAATGGCTCAGGACAGGGGGAGCACCAGGGACTGTGTGTGACATGGAGTTAGTGCTCACCAAGACACTTGAGCCTGAGTCTGTCAGAGCCCAGAGCCAGAGCTCTCACTCATAATGCCACACCACCCCTTTCACCCATCCATCTATCCAGCTATCCATCCGTCCATCCATCCATCCACCCACCTACCCATCCATCCATCCACCTATCTGTCCCTGTATCCATTCATCTACTCTTCTATCTTCCCATCCATCCATCCATCCATCCATCCATCCATCCATCCATCCACTCACCCACCTACCTACCCATTCATCTATCCACCTATCTGTTCATCTATTCATCCATCTACTCTTCCATCTTCCCATCCATCTATCCATCCATCTGCCCATCCATCCATCCATCCATCCATCCATCCATCCGTCCATCCAACCATCCATCCATCTGTCCATTCATCTGCCCATCTACCTGCCCATCCATCTGTCCATCTATCCATCCATCCTTGTCTACATTTCTTCATTCAGTTCCCATCTCCTAAGCCCCTAGTGGTGCCACATTCTGTGCCAGGTGCCAGGGTGCCAGGGATGAATGAGGAGAGGTCATGATACTCATTCAGGCCGGAGAGACAAGTCTGGGCATTGTTTCAGTGGAGGATGGGGTAACAAGTGCTCTGGAAGGTCAGCCCAGGAAGCTGGGGCAACTGCAAGAGGCAGGAAAGTGTTGCTGAAGTCCAGGTAAGCTGGGCTTGGCCGGAGAACACACTGAGTTGCGGGGAGCACTGGAACAGGCCTTAAGAGCTGGAAAGGAAGTCACCAGGCAAAAAGGGGGACTGTCCAAGGCAGCCCAGACAGAGGCAGCAGGACACACAAATGCAGGATGAGAAAGGAACATTTGGAGATGACAAGTGGACAGAGCAGAGTCAGTGAGGTCAGGATGGGCTGGGAGGAGAAGAAGGCAGGAAAGGCCCCCGAGGAGGAAGGGCTGGAATGCATGGCCAACAATCTGCACCTGATTCTTTAGGCAGTGGGAGGGGCGGCTGTTAGGCAGGGAAGATGCATGATCAGTTTGGCAGTCCTAGAGGGGGATGGATTGGAGGGGGCAGGCCATGAGGGACTGCTGTGATGGGCTAGACGACCAGTGCTGGTGGGAGGACCGAGGCCCAGAGAGAGGTGAGACCTGCCAAGGTCCTAAAGTGAGTGCTCCCCAGGCAGGCAGGAGCCCAGGTCCCCAGGTAGCATGGCAAAGGGCCCAGATGCTGAGGCCATGGGACTGGATGGGGCAGGTGTGCTGTGGCTTTGTGTGGGGGCAGTCTCTTCCTTTCTGTCCTCTCTAAATGAAAACAACACCAACAGCCGGGGGCGGTGGCTCACGCCTGTCATCCCAGCTCTTTGTGAAGCCGAGACGGGTGAATCACCTGAGGTCAGGAGTTCGAGACCAGCCTGGCCAACAGGATGAAACCCCGTCTCTACTAAAAATACAAAAAATTAGCCAGGCCTGGTGGCGGGCATCTGTAATCCCAGCTACTTGGGAGGCTGAGGCAGGAGCATCACTTGAACCCAAGAGGCAGAGGTTGCAGTGAGTTGAGATCATGTCATTGCACCCGAGCCTGGGCAACAAGAGTGAAACTCCAACTCAAAAAAAAAAAAAAAGAAAAAAAGAAAAAAAAAGAAAACAACACCAACAAAGTTTGGTAAGCATGTATTTTCTTTCCTTTTCTGGGGAGGTAAGTGGGGGTCACAGGTGACCCCAGCTTCTTGTTCCCAAACCCCTGGACCCCTCCCCTCCTGAATGCTGGAGGTTGCACAGTCCAGTGGGTCCCTTCTAGCTTCCTGTGTGGCCTCAGCTCTCTTCCCCTCTCGGGCCTCAGTTTCCCTGTGGCTTCATAGAGCTAGCCATACCTGCTCTGCCCACTGTGAAGGGTGGCAGGAGGATGGAAGACGAGGTAGTGCTTCTGGAAATTCGAGATGCCAAGTCCAAGCCTAGGTGCCTCCCTGCCTCCGAGGAGCCTCCCCTGATGTCCTGGTCACCGCGGCGCTGTGCTGTGGCCACCAGCAAGACCGGCGGCACCAAGGGGCCCCCTAGCGGCCCGAGGAGTTGCTGCAGCCACCTGGGCCCAGCATGTCCTTCCCAGACACCCGCGGATGTAGGACCTTTCTTGGGGACCCAGATCACGTGCCAGGCACTGCGCTGGGTGCCAGGCCAGGGAAACACCATCTCCTGGCAGCCCTGTGAGGTGGGCCTTTCCCCACCTTATACCTGTGCACACCTCCAGGGGACTGTTTCATATCATCAGGCTGCTGGACAGCCACAGGCTGGACTATGCCGCTGAAAATCAGTGAAATAAACAAGAGGCAGAACATACATAAAAAAAACATGAATATGTATTTATCTTAAAAATAAAGACTGAGTCTGCTGGCACAGGCATGGGCTCTCTCTGGAAGATTACATAAGAGACTGGCATCACGCAGGGTTTTCTGGAAGGCTACCTGGGAGGCGGGGGCAGGGGCGTAGGCACAGGGTAGGAGGGACCCGTGTTCACTGAATTTCGTTTTAGACTTCCTGATTTTTTTTTTTAATGGAGTCTCTGTCGCCCAGGCTGGAGTGCAGTGGCACAATCTTGGCTCACTGCAACCTCCACCTCCTGGGTTCAAGTGATTCTCCTGCCTCAGCCTCCCAAGTAGCTGGGATTACAGGTGCGTGCCACCACGCCCGGCTAATTTTTTTTTTTGTATTTTAGTACAGACAAGGTTTCACCATGTTGGCCAGGCTGGTCTCGAACTCTTGACCTCAGGTGATCTGCCCGCCTCAGCCTCCCGAAGTGCTGGGATTACAGGCGTAAGCCACCGCGCCCAGCCCTTTCTGATTTTTGAACTATATAGAAGTATTGTCTATACTTAAAAATACACTAAAGATTTAAGAAGTCATAGACTCATAGGCTCAGGGACAGAAAGCAGCCTGAAAGTGTTCTCATTTTCCCTTCAGTTACAGCAGAACTGACAGGAGGCCGCTTGACAACTATTTACTTGCCTGCCTCCAGTGATGGGGTGCTCATCCCTTAAGTGGCCAATTCCCAGTGTAGAAAAACTCTCTCTCTATGAGTGGAGATGCATTGCCCTGGTTTCTACCCACTTCCTCAGATAACCATGTGGGAGTCTGTAGGAAAGCTAGTATTGGCTGAGCCTCCACTGTGTGCCAGTCAGTGGCTATGGATTCAGCCCCGGAGGAGCTCAGAATCCAATTTCTGGGATCTCAGCATTGGGCAGGGCACTGAGGCCATTTGGTAGAAGCTGCAGCCAATGCAGGACCTGCCCCATCGCACACCGGGCAGGCGGTGGTTAATAACAAGGGAGAGGAAGCCCCTGGTCCATCTGCAGTCCCTGTCATTCCATCGCGTTTCATCATCTGACTCCGCCTCCTCTGTCAGCCTTTACAGAAAGGCCTTGGCCTCCAAGGTGTGGTACTCACACCCTTACACTGGGTGCTCTCATTGGCTGCATCTGACTGGGCCTCAGCCAGCCTAGATTCCAGCTCAGCATCCCTGAGCCTCAGTTTTCTCATCTATAAGATGGGGGTTAATAACAGTACTCACCCAGGAAGCGGCTAGGAGGAGCAAGTGGGACGATGGTGATAGGCATTGTGGGGTGTGGAGGGAGCCCAAGAGGTGACGGAGGGGAAGGGTCCACCGCCGAAGGCCGCTGCCAGCACATAGCATGTGGGTCTCAGGAACAGGACATGCGGCCTCCCGGTCACACAGACTCTGTTAGTTTGCTAGGGCTGCTACGCCTGCAGACTTTGATTCCCTTGCCATTCTGGAGGTTGGAAGTCCGAGATCGAGGTGTCTGCAGCAGCCTTCCTTCTGAGGCTACAAAGTCGATATTCTGTCCCCTGTCTCTCTCCTGGCCTATGGGGGCTGCTGGCAATCCTGGTGTTCCTGGGCTTGTGGAAGCATCACTGGATCTCCGCTTTCCCCTGCATGTGGCCTTCTCCCTGCACGCATGTCCTCTGTCCAAATGTCCCCTTCTGATAAGACCCCAAATCCTACTGGATAAGGATGCACTCTAATGACCTCAGCTTCACTAATTCCATCTGCAGTGGCTCCATTTTCTTTCTTTCTTTCTTTCTTTCTTTCTTTCTTTCTTTCTTTCTTTCTTTCTTTCTTTCTCTCTCTTTCTTTCTTTCTTTTTTTTTTTGACAGAGTCTTGCTGTGTCACCCAGGCTGGAGTGCAGTCAACCTCTGCCTCCTGGATTCAAGGAATTCTCCTACCTCAGCCCCCAGAGTAGCTGGATTACAGGCATGTGCCACCATACCCGGCTAAGTTTTGTATTTTTGCCAGGCTGGTCTTGAACTCCTGACCTCAGGTAATCTGCCCACCTCAGCCTCCCAAAGTGCTGGGATTACAGGCGTGAGCCACCGCGCCCGGCCTGGTTCCATTTTCAAATACGGTCACCTTCTGGGGTACTGGAGTTAGGGCTTCCACATATGAACTTGGGGGAGACACAGTTCAGCCCGTAACTGATCCCCTACAGTCCTGGCCCCAACACCACTCAGACATGGGAGTCACTTTTGCTTTCTGGGCCTCATTTCCTTGTGTGGACACTGGGTACACACACGTGGGGTTGGACTAGGCATGATCTGAGGGTCCTTTCTGCTCAGAATTTATAGGGACCCTCTGTGACTTCTGGCTCTTGAGATGGAGTCTCGCTCTATCACCTAGGCTAGAGTGCAGTGGTGCAATCTCTGGTCACTGCAACCTTTGCTTCCTGGTTCAAGCAATTCTCCTGCCTCAGCCTCCTGAGTAGCTGGGATTACATGTGTGCGCCACCATGCCCAGCCTTCAACTCTGCCCTATCCCGCCCTCAACTCTGCCTTCCCTATGGTCCAGAGAGATCGCTCCTGCCGTGGGCCTTGACTGTCCTACTGGCCAAAGTGCCCTGGAGCCCCTCCTTTGGCTCTAAGCCCATGCCCCAGACATCCTGGGATGAGGGGTGGGGCTCTAAGCAGAAGGCCAGCCCAGGAGGATTCCCTTGGGATGGGGGCCTGGGACAGAGCCTGGGAGCGAGGCTGGGAGTGGACATGGGGCAGGGCCAGTGGGGGTGAGACCAGCAACACCACTAGCATCTGGCCCATCTACCAGGCACAGCCTGACCTATGTTTTAGGTCTTGCACTAGAGTCTCTGTCATCCGTCTGCAACTGCTGACCCCAGGTAGAGGCAGGCAGAAAGAACAGGAGTAGCTTTGCACACAGGTGCAGGTGCCTGTGTGTTTGAGAATCCCGAACTCTTGCATTGGGGTAGATCTTAAACATTATCCAGGCCCTAGCAGGAATCTTCTTACCTGCACTCTCAGAGGTATCTTTGCAGCCTCTACTGACTTACCTCTGAGGACAGGGAGCTCACTCCCTCTGGGGGAAACCCAATCCCTGTTCATTAGACTGAACTGAAACCCTGTTTCTGTGGGCCCCAGTTCCATTCTCTGGGCTTCACAGGGCAGGGCTGCTTCCTCCTCTCCGCTGAGAACATCCAGTCCTCATCCCATCCCATCCCACATCTCCTCCTACCTCTAAATAGGCTCCCATTTGACCTTATCACCAAGTGGTTCTGAGTAGCCAAGCTCTGAGCAGGCTATCACTTCCCTTTTTCTGAGTGTTAGATCTCTATTAATGCAGCCAGGACCACAGTGGCGTTTGGGTGACTGCATCACCCCCAACTCTTCTCGGACTTGCTCACAGGTGTTGCTCCAAGACCTGCCTCCTGCGCTGTGCTGTACAGGCAAGCGTTAAGACTGAAGTCTCTCCCTTTGTGTCTGCATCGTGGTGCACTGGCCATCACCTCAGCCTATCACGTCCTTTGGAGGCCTAAGTCAGTCATGCGATTTCTTCTCTTGCCAGCCTCAGGCTATTTCAAACCCACATTATGGATAAATTGGTGTGTGTGTGAGAGAGAGAGAGAGAGAAACAGAGAGATAGACTATTTGCATGTATGGATGGGGGAGTGAGGAGGGGATAGAGGGAGGGTCCTATCTGAGGCCTCATGGAGCTGAGACTCAGACCCATCTGGGCGAGTCTGGCCAAGTGGTGAGTGGGTGGGCTGGGTGGGTGGATTCATGTGAGAGACAGAGGCGCCTCCCAGGGACAGGAGAGACACACAGGAAGGCGAGAAGCCCAGCATACTGGGGAAGGCAGCTGCCATTCAAACTACTCCTCAATCAGCCCCAACTGAGACATGGCTGAAGCTAGGCTGGGGGAAAGGTGGATCCTGACAGAGCCACCCCAGGGAACCCCTGCAAGACCCTGCAGCCCAGAAGGTCACCCCCAGGGGAGGGTGCGCCAACCCCTGCACACCTTTGCCTTTCTGCCTTGTGGTTTCAGCTGCAGCCTCGGGGAAGCCAGGTTGACAGGCACTGTGGGGACACCCAGGAGAGAGTCTGTGATGCCTGGCAGACCCCCACAGAGGAACTGAGCAGAGCTGTTTGTGACACATGCCTCCCTGGGGACCCCAGAGCCATGTCACAGCCCATGGAGTGTGGGCCCCTGTGGCTTGAGACCTGCAGAGTTGGGAGGGATGAGCCAGGTCTGGGCCCAGCTAGGGGCCGTGAAGCTGGGATGAGGGTGCAAATCACAATTGGATTTGCACTGCGGAGGGGTCCTGGGCAGGGGAGCCACAGGCTTAGATGAGACTGGGAAATGTTCGAAATTGGGTTTAACTATCCCGCTTACTAAATCTGGGGCTATCAGGAGGAGGGACTCAGGACCCCGCCCTCCCTTACAGGGGCCACTGTCCTTGCTGGGGCTGGAGCAGGAGAGCAGGCAGCCTCCGCCTTCCCCATCTGTAACATGGCAGCCTGTTTTCCAGCTCTGATGTCCAGGTGCTAGGATTGTCGCCTGGAATTTGGGGTTTAAAACAGGCATTCTGATAGCTTTCAGTTGGCATTGCCCTCTCTCCCCCGTGTCCGGGACAGGATCAGAAGGCCCCTGGTGTGTGAGAAAAGCACTGAGTGTGAAGTCAGGGCCTGTCTCCATGCAGGGCTGTAGCCCAGGGACACGTGGAAGCCTGGCGGGGCAGGAGCAAAGCTGCCGTTCAGTCCTCACCAGACTCGGTGGTGAGGAAAGGGAGGCTGCAGAGCGTTTCTGCAGAGGCGCGAGCACTCACAGTTGGCACTGGAAAATCTCCCAGCCGAGGTCCCCCTGGAGACCTGAGCTCAGAGTGTGTAGACATGTCTCCCTCAGGGCTTCTGAGCAGCGAGAGAGGGCACGTATGTGTCTGTGCAAGTGTGTGCACTTCTATTGAGGCTGGGGCTGGAGATGCCTGGGGCCTGGGGTGGCATCTGTCAGCCCCCACACTGGGGGGTCCTTTCCATTATATTTTCCATTTAACTCTTCTCCACCCAGATGAGGAAGTCCCCCGTGACGGCTCTCATTTAGTTGTAGAGCTAGAAGTGTTCACAGGTGTGCTGGGGAAAATAAGTCTTACTCGAGCAAATAAATGAACCGGGCTTTGGCTGCGGGACTTCTCAGAGCATGCAGAGTTGTTTCTTGAATCTCTGAGAGGGACTTAGAATGTGGCATTTCCCATACTTCTCTAACTACAGCACCCTAAGCAGCCCCAGCTCCTGGGAAGAGCACTGAGAAACCATATTTTACAGGACAGAGCATGGGAAGTGTTAGAATGTTTGAAATCGGCATCTCCCAGAACAGCTGGGCCACACGGTTGTGGTGCAGATAAGGAAACGGGCTCAGCCAGGGCCTTCTCTAGGGTCACGCAGTAAGTTAGAAAGATGGTGGATTTGGCCCCAGGACCATCTAGCTGGGGGAACGTGGTCAGGCAGCGATGGCAAGTCAGGGGAGGAAGGCAGGCCGAGAGCCAGGCTGGCAGTCCGCAGCGGGAGTGCTGTTGTTTTTCATTGGTTTCTTTTTGTTGATGAATTGATTTTCAAACTTCCTCTGACAGGAAACTTCAAACACACACAGACTGGAGGGCAGTGTAATGAGCCCCCCATCTCCTTCACCCACGCCGCCTGTCAGCAACGTGAGGTTGGTCTTGTGTCCCTACCCCCAGTCACTACCTCCCCTCCGAGGGGCAAGTTTGAAGCAAATCCCCATTGGCGGTCTTCAGTGGTGACCCAGAAAGGATCTAGTGGGTTTGGGGTGGGGGCAGGGGAGGGACACTCAACGAGCTGGAGGTAGAGTTGGGGTCTGCAGGGGTGGAGGTCCCAGGGAGGAAGTATCCCTGAGGCCCCGATAGGACAGCCCCAGGGAAATACTGGCTGCCGGACAGTTGGGGCGTCCAGGGAACATGGAGAGCCAGGGCCCTCCGCCTGCCGTCCTGAGTGGGACTTAGGGGCAAAGCAGTTGAAGAGTTTGGACAGGTGGGGTGCTTCCTGGGAAATAATCTCACAGTGTAGGGAGTGCCCTGTCCCTGCCCCTGCTGTGAAGAATCTAGTGGCTTTGGACTGAGAAGCCGGGGAATCAGATGCGGGGTGGGGGTGGCAGGGAAAAACTTCCAGGAAAGGAAAGTGACCCTCAGAGCATCCACAGGAAAGTGGGGCTGGGCCTTTTCCTCCCTGGGCCTCAGTTTCCCTGCTTGGGCCGTCAGGGGTTAGACTCTGGGGTCTCCTCCTCTGAAGGCATCATTAGTTCTGTGGTTAGCAAGAGTCAGGCTCCCCTTTCACCCTCCCCAATCTTCCCTGCAGTGGTGAGCCCATCTCATTCATTCATTCATTCATTCATTTCCTACTTGCAAGAGGCTGCACGCAGGCCCACAGACACAAGGCAGTCCAGGCCCTGCAGCTCAGGAGGGACATGGGGAGACAGAGAGAGCTACCTGCTAGGGTTGATCAGCATCACCAGCCTCTGGAGGCAGGGGATTGCTGGGCTATGGCTTGGTACTTCTCTTTCAAATTAATCACACATATATAAATGCGTTTCCATGCAAAGTTATCTCGTGCCTTCAATAAGGCTGAAACGTGGAGCAGGAGTCCTACTGTGCATCGGTCTCAGAGGGTCTCGGCCAGAGCACTGCCCTGGGAGTCAGGAGCCCTGGGTTCTAGCCTTCCACTGCCACCAACTCCACTTGTGGCTTCAGGAAGAGTCTCTGCCTCTGGAGCCACGGGGCACTGGGTTCAAATCCGGACCCCTCCACTCTGTGACCTGATTATGACTAGCTGTTGTCACCTCTCTGTGCTTCAGCTTCTTCATCTGCATGTGGTGGGGAATGACTGGCCCAGGTGGTGGGTGTGAGTGGGAAGGGATGTCATGGAGGCTTCGGAATACTTGCCGCTGAGTCCGTGTATGACCCCTGGAGACTCAGAAATACCTGGAGAGACCTGGGGGTGGAGTTCTGTTGGCACATGGGTGGGGGTGGGGCAGCATCTGGGGAAAGGTGACCTCCTGGTCCACGGGGTCCCACTGGGACTTGGTGCTGACATGAGGCCCGCATGACGTGGCACAGGCAAAGCTCCTAGCACGGTTGTGGGTCTTTAATAAATGCCCATTTCTGTCTTCTGTTTTTTTCCTTTTCCAAGTTTTAATTTTAAAATAGATGTTTTGAAGACAGACCAGCAGATTGTCAAGCAGGCAGGACTTCAGGGACAGTCTGAGCTGCTTTTTGGTGACTTGCAAGATCTACAGACGGTGGCACTGCTTAGAGAGTGGAGTTCTAGACAGCAGTTAAATGGAGTGAATTGCCCTTTAGTGTAGACGAATCTCCAACACCAGATGGAGGGGAAAGAAGGAAGTTACAAAAAGAAAAGTGCAGCAAGAGGCCAGGCGTGGTGGTGCATGCATGTAATGTCAGCACTTTGGGAGGCCGAGGGGGGAGAATTGCTTGAGCCCAGGAGTTTGAGAGCAGCCTGAACAACACAATAAGACCCATCTCTACAAAAAAATAAAAAATTAGCCGGGCATGGAAGTGCATGCCTGTAGTCCCAGCTACTTGGGAGGCTGAGGCAGGATTGCTTGAGCCTGTAGTGAGCTGTGATTGCACCACTGTACTCCAGCCTGGGTGACAGAGAAAGATCCTGCTGAAAAAAAAAAAGGAAAGAAAGAAGAAAGAAAGAAGAAAGAAAGAAAGAAAGAAAGAAAGAAAGAAAGAAAGAAAGAAAGAAGGAAGGAAGGAAAAAAGAAAGAAAGAGAGAGAAAGAAAGAAAGAAGGAAGGAAAAAAGAAAGAAAGAAAGAAAAGAAAGAGAGAGAGAGAAAGGGAGGCAGAAAGAAAGAAAGAAAGAAAAAGAAAGAAAGAAAGAATGGAAGAAAGAAAGGAAGAAAGAAAGAAAGAAAGAAAGAAAGAAAGAAAGAAAGAAAGAAAGAAAGAAAGAAAGAAAGAAAAAGTGTGGCAAGAGGCTGGTGCAGTGGCTCATGCCTGTAATCCTAGCACTTTGGGAGGCCGAGGCAGGCAGATCACTTGAGGTCAGGAGTTTGAAACAAGCCTGGCCAACATGGTGAAACCCGGTCTCTACTAAAACAAAAAACAAATAACATAATCAGCTGGGCGTGATGGCGGGTGCCTCTAATCCCAGCTACTTGGGAGGCTGAGGCAGGAGAATTGCTTGAACCCAGGAGGCGGAGGTTGCAGTGAGCTGAGAGTGTGCCACTGTGCTCCAGCCTGGGCAATAGAGCAAGACTCCGTCTCAAAAAAAAAAAAAGAAAGAAAGAAAAGTGTCACAAGAGACCATTTATAGAAAGTTTAAGAACATGCCAGATGCTGATCTGTCTTCTCTGTGGAACCTGCACACAGTCGCCTTCAGGAGAATGTTCCCTGAGCAGAGGAAAAGGTTCTGAGGCTCACGTGAGGCCATGGTGTCAGGAGCTCACTGGGCCTGTAATAGCTCCTGTTTTTTGAGCACATACTACACGCCAGGCACTCTTCCAATGGCCTCATTGATCACTCCCATTTAACAGATGAGAAAACCAATGCCCAGAGAGGTCAAGGGCCCTGTCCAAGGCCACACAGTTGGTAAGTTACAGAGCCAGAACTCGAACCCACTGCTCTTCATGACCAACCCACATCGCCTCTCACACTGAGGCACACAGTTCTTCGTGTTTTAAAAAGGATTTCAGACACCTAAAGGGAGCGTGGTCAAATGTTAGCACGGGTGAAGTCTGGTGGTGTGTTCCTGGGTGTTCCTTCTTCTGTTCTTGGTAATTTTTCCATAAGGATGTTTACGAAGGCTGGCTCTGGCCTGAGGTCTGCGCTGGCCCCTTGCCTGGCCATGATCTATACCACACAGGTATCCCGGCTACCAGAGTGGCAGAGCAATGGCTCACTCACTCCCCAGCACTCACGAGATGGGTCCTGGCACATTCTCCCGCTGCAGCTAAGAGTGGCGGAGGAGGCCTGGGCCCTGCGGAGAACAGATTCACCAACACCTTGGCGGTTCTTCTCAAGACAGTGGGGACAGGCGGCCTGTCGGGGAAGAGGCTGCCCCGAGGCCTTCCCAGTCTTTCTGTAGAAGGGACGCAAAACCATGGAATTAGCAGAGCCTGGTCTGCTGGAGCCGATGCGTAGGTGCCCATACCGACCCAGTCTGGCCAGAGAGGCGCTGGGTGTCCACTGGCCTATGTGCCCTGATAGTGGCAGCCGATGATGCCTGCCGGGCTCCTGGAAACGTGGGCAATGCTCCTGGACCCCACACCCTCAGGCCCCAGAGGGGCCAGCAAAGGCCTGGTCTCACCTCTTCCCCACTCCCACTCAAGAGATAGGGAAACAGAGGTTGGGTTGAGGGAGAGTCCTTAATGGGGAATTTGAAGCAGGGCCAGGCGGCTCCCTTGTGCCAGGCAGCCTTTGTGGGCCCTGAATCATTTGCTGAAGAAAACTGGGACACTTCTCAGCCCCAGGCCTGGCTTCCGAAGCTGCATTTCCATTAGATGGAGTGTGAGGCACCTTCGGCCCAAAGGACTAGCTTTGTCTTTGTTGCCCTGGTGGTGCACATCCCACCGCCACACAAGCACCTCTGGCTCCAGATGGCATTTGGTGGAATTGTCCAGCTGTGGCAGGAGCTCAGGCCATAGAAATAGCCAAGTCAGAGCATTTGATCATTCATTCATTCATTCCCTCATCCTTTCACTCATTCACTCATTCATCCTTTTGTCCATTCATGTGCTTATTTGTTCTTACAAATAATAAGATGCCTAGCACGTGCCAGATGTCATACCCTGGGAGCTCAACAGCCGGGCCCCTGCCTTCAGGGAGCTGCCTAACTGGTGGAGACCGGGGAACCGGGTTCTGGCTTCTATATCACTATGGTTTGCTTCATCTGAAATGAATGTGGTGACTCCAGCTTTATTTTAATTCAAGGTAGCATGGTGTATCTTTC
The DNA here is from genome assembly GCF_000001405.40 of Homo sapiens. Classification (NCBI taxonomy): domain Eukaryota; kingdom Metazoa; phylum Chordata; class Mammalia; order Primates; family Hominidae; genus Homo; species Homo sapiens. The sequence goes on from NC_000014.9 coordinate 99,639,256, forward strand.
TCCATCTCTTTGTTTTTCAACTATCAGTCTTTACATTTAAAGTGGATTTCTTGTAGACAGAATATAGTTGGGCCTTGGTTGTTTATTTTTATTTTATTATTATTATTTTTTTGAGACAGGGTCTCGCACTGTCACCCAGGCTGAAGTGCAGTGATCATGGCTCACTGCAGCGTCGACCTCCTGGGCTCAAGTAATCCTCCCACCTCAGCCTCGAGAGTAGCTGGGACTATAGGCACACACCACCACACCCAGCTAATGTTTTTGGATTTTTTGTAGCAACAAGGTTTTGCCACATTGCCCATACTGGTCTTGAACTCCTGGGCTCAAGCAATCTGCCTGCCTCAGCCTCCCAAAGTGCTGGGATTACAGGCATGAGCCACCATACCAGGTAGGCCTTGTTTTTTTGTTTGTTTTTTTGTTTTTTGAGATGGAGTCTTGCTGCGTTGCCCAGGCTGGAGTGCAGTGGTGTGATCTCGGCTCACTGCAACTTCTGCCTCCTGGGTTCAAGAGATTCTTCTGCCTCAGCCTCCTGAGTAGCTGGGACTACAGGCACGCGCTACCACGCCCGGCTAATTTTTGTATTTTTAGTACAGACTGGATTTCACCATATTGGCCAGGCTGGTCTCGAACTCCTGACCTCGTGATCCTCCCACATCGGCCTCCCAAAGTGCTAGGATTACAGACGTGAGCCACCATGCCCCGCCTAGGCCTTATGTTTTAATTCACTCTGACAATCTATGTCTTTTAATTGATCTATTCCAATCATTCAGATTTAAAGTGATTGTTGATAGAGATGGATTACCATCTACAATATGTATAACTCTTTTCTATTGATTATACTTGTTCTTTGGTCCTGCCTCCCTTTTCTTACCTGCCTTCTCTGGTTTTAAAAATGGAGCATTTATTAGTATGATTTCATTTTACCTTCTTTTAAAGCATATCAATTATATTTCTTTTACAATTATTTTAATGGTTGGGCTAGAGTATGCAACACATATTTTGTTTATGTGGTTTTTAAAACTTTAAAATTTTTATTTATTTATTTTTGAGATAGGGTCTTGCTCTGTCACCCAGGCTAGAGTGCAGTGGCACAGTCTTGTCTCACCACAGCCTCAACTTCCCAGGTTCAATCAATCCTCCTACCTCAGCCTCCCAAGTAGCTGGGACTACAGTTGCACACCATCACGCCAAGCTAATTTTTGTATTTTTTGTCGAGACAGGGCTTTGCCATGCTGCCCAAGCTGGTCTCAAGCTCCTGGGCTCAAGCAATCTGCCTGCCTTGGCCTCCCAAAGTGCTGGAATATCAGGGGTGAGCCACTGTGCCCAGCTGGGTTTTTTTAATTAATAGACTTTTTGAACCATTTTAGATTTGCAGAAAAATTTGAGCAGATACTACAGAGGAAATACATTTTTTTCCTAATAAAAGTCTACCTTCAAATAACACTATACCACTTCATGTGTAGTGTGATAACTTATAACAGAATTTCCAGTTCCTTCCTCCCATCTCTTATGACATTGCTGTCATCCATTTCACCCATCCATGTGCTATAACCATCCAGTACGTTGAATTTCTGACCTATATCATCTTCTTTCTCCCTGAAGAACTTCTTTACTTCTTCTTCTTTTTTTTTTTTTTTTTTTTTTTTTTTGAGATAGAGTATCTCTCTCTCGCCCAGGCTGGAGTGCAATGGTGCGATCTTGGCTCACTGCAAGCTCCGCCTCCCAGTTTCAAGCAATTCTTCTGCCTCAGCCTCCCCAGTAGCTGGGATTACAGGCATCCGCCACCACACCCAGCTAATTTTTGTATTTTTAGTGGAGACTGGGTTTCGCCATGTTGGCCAGGCTGGTCTCCAACTCCTGACCTCAGGTGATCCACCCGCCTCAGCCTCCCAACGTGTTGGGATTACAGGTGTGAGCCACTGCACCTGGCCTGAAGAACTTCTTTTAATGCTTTTTTGTTTTCGTAGGGCAGATCTGCTGGTGATGAATTTCTCCCATTTTTGTTTTTCTGGCAAAGCTTTCATTTCTTTTTCACTCCTGAAGGATAATTTCACTGGATCTAGACTTCTAGGTTGATGGGTTTTTTATTTCTATTTTTTTCTTCTACCACTTTAAAGATTTCACTGTACTGTCTCTTGGTTGCCTGGTTTCTTTCTTTTTCTTTCTTTTTTTTTTTTTCACAGAGTCTCGTTCTGTTGCCCAGGCTGGAGAGCAATGGTGCAATCCCAGCTCACTGCAACCTCCACCTCCCAGGTTCAAGCAATCCTCCTGCTTTAGCCTCCCAAGTAGCTGGGGTTAGAGGTGCCCGCCACCATGCCTGGCTAATTTTTTGTATTTTTGTAGAGCGGGGGTTTCACAATGTTGGCCATGCTGGTCTCGACTTCCTGACCTCAGGTGATCCACCTGCCTCAGCCTCTCAAAGTGCTGGGATTACAGGCGTGAGCCACCGTGCCCGGCCTGCTTGCCTGGTTTCTAATGTTTGCTGTAATTTTTCTCCTTGTTCTTCTATAGGTAAGGTATTTTTCCCCCTCTGGCTTCTCTCAAGGTTTTTCTTCATCTTTGGTTGTCTGCAGTTTGCATAGGATATGCCTCGCTGTTGATTTTTTGGTATTTATCCTGCTTTATGCCTCTTAGATTCTTGGATCTGTTGTTTTGTATCTGTCATGAATTTCAGAAAATTCTTAGCCTTTTTTTTTTTCTTTGAGACAGAGTCTCGCTCTGTGGCCCAGGCTACAGTGCAGTGGTGTGATCTCGGCTCACTGCAACCTCTGCCTCCTGGGTTCAAGTGATTCTCCCGCCTCAGCCTCCCGAGTAGCTGGGATTACAGGCGCCCGTCACCATGCCTGGCTAATTTTTGTATTTTTAGTAGAGACGAGGTTTCTCCACGTTGGCCAGGCTGGTCTCGAACTCCTGACCTCAGGTGATCAGCCCGCCTCCACCTCCCAAAGTGCTGGGATTACAGGCATGAGCCACTGTGCCTGCCCTTTCAGCCATTTTTACTTCAACTATTTCTTCTGCCATTTTTTTCCCCTTCTTCTCTTTCCCATTTTCAAGTTATCTGTATTTACATCTTTGGAAATTGTTCCACAGTCCTTGGATGCTCTAGTGTTTGTTTTTGTAACTTCTGTTTTTCTCTTGGTGTATCAGTTTGAGAAGCTGCTGCTGACGCATCTTTAAGCTCACTGGTGTTCTCCTCGGCAGTCTCAGTCTACTTGTCAGCTCGGCAAGGGCATTTCTGTTACATTGTTTTTGACTTTTAATATATCTTTTAATTTTTTTTTTTTTTCTGAGACGGAGTCTCGCTCTGTCACCCAGGCTGGAGTGCAGTGGCGCAATCTTAGCTGATTGCAAGTTCCGCCTCCTGGGTTCACGCCATTCTCCTGCCTCGGCCTCCCAAGTAGCTGGGACTATAGGCGCCCATCACCATGCCCGGCTAAATTTTGTATTTTTAGTAGAGATGGGGTTTCACCGTATTAGCCAGTATGATTTCGATCTCCTGACATCGTGATCCGCCCACCTTGGCCTCCCAAAGTGCTGGGGTTACAGGCATGAGCCACTGTGCCCGGCCTTCATTTTTTTTCTTAAAGTGGACCCCTCTCTGCTTCTATTACCCATTTGTCCTTGCCAATGTCCTTGTCAATATTCAGAGATGTTTGGTCTTGATGTTGTCAACTTTTTCCACCAGAGCCCTTAACATATTAGTCATAGTTATTTTAAATTCCATGTCTGGTAATTTCAGCATCTGTGTCATGTCCCAGGCTGGCTCTGATGCTCCTTCTGACTGACTTTTTTTTTTCTTTTTTGAGACAGAGTCTCGCTCTGTCACCCAGGCTGGAGTGCAATGGCACGATCTCAGCTCACTACAGCCTCCGCCTCCTGGGTTCAAGCGATTCTCATGCCTCAGCCTCCCAGTAGCTGGGATTATAGGCGCGTGCCACCACGCCTGGCTAATTTTTGTATTTTTAGTAGAGACGAGATTTCACCATGTTGACCAGGCTGGTTTCGAACTCCTGACCTCGGGTGATCCGCCCGCCTCAGCCTCCCAAAGTTCTGGGATTACAGGCGTGAGCCACTGTGCCCGGCTCCTGACTGTGACTTTTCTTATCTTTTTTTCATGCCTTGTTGTTTTTCTGGAAAGCCAATCAGGATGTACTAGATAACAGAAACCGAGGTAAATAGGTATTAGGGTGAGGATTTATGTTACTCTGGCTGGGGCTGGGCTGTGTTTGACATTTTCTGTGGCTGTAGGAGCCCAAACCTCATGGCTGTGGCCCAGGCTCTGTGTCACTTCCACCTCTGTACACTCATCTGGAGCCCTGTGTTGATGTGTGACTATCACCCAGTTCTGAGTCCCAGCTGGGAAGTAGGCGCCATCGTGCCCTCCGATTCCATCCTGGCTCTGCCTATTCCCAGCTGTCTGTGCAGGAAGCCGTTGCAGGCCGCATTTCCCACCCTAGCAGCCCTCTGCTAGGTTCAGCCAATGAAAGCCACAGGTGGGAGTTGGAGGGGAAGTGGCAGGGAGAAGCCGGGGTATTTCTCCTCCTCTGTCTGTGCAGAATCTCTGACAGTGGCTATCTCCAGCTGTGGCCAGACAGGCCTTGTGAGGGTCCAGCTTTGACAAGGTGACCATAGCTCCTTGGCTCCAGTAACATCTGCTCTTCCTGCATCAAGGACCTGGGGACTGTTCCTACTGTTGCTGATCTCAAGGTTACTTCACTGAGCCCTGTATGGCTTCTTAGCCTCTTTGGCTTCAAGTCCCTGCGTTAAATTCCCCGTGTTTCAAATACTCAGAGATGTTTGGCTGTGCGGAGACCCTGACTCTTACACTGCACCTGTTCAGGCCAGAGCCACAGACCTCTGAGTGCTCCAGCCCTGCCGCATCTCATCCACCCCCAGCTCTGCCAGGAGCATGGGCCCAAAGACAGAAACATGATCCCCCAGGACAGTCCAAAGAGACCTGCAGAGGACGGATGTGTGCGTTGGGGCCATGAAGATGGAGTAGGAGCTCACTGGACAGAGAAGATGGGGAAGGACACTCCAGGGAGAAGCAAACGCTGAGGTCCACTTGAGAAAAATGCCTGGGTGGTTTTGGTGCTGTGAGATTCTAGGGTAGGTGAGACAGTGTGTGTGTGTTTGTCTGTGTGGGTGGTTTTGGTGCCATGAGATTCTGGGGTAGGTAAGACAGCGTGTGTGCGTCTGTATGTGTGTGGGGGGGTGGGGCGGGGTTGGGTCTGAATCTCCAGCGGGGGCAGCGGAACAAAGGGCTGGATGCCCATCCCAGGAGGTAGATTCATCAGTGCTCCCTATGCGAGAGTGGAAGTGGGGAGCCCCAGTGGGTCCTGGGCTGCAGGAGAATCCGCTGCCCCAGGAGCAGAGACTGGGAAGAAGCCCACAGTAAGGGCAAAGGGTGGACTGCGGAGACTGCTCCGTCCTCCCTCCCCACCCCTACGCCAGGTTTCACTTCTCCCTGAGAGTCCTGGGGCAACACCCCCTGTTCTTTCCCTCGCACCCCCATTTTTAAAATGTTACGTGGGAGCTTTCGGGGACGGGCTGCGGGCATCCGTTTCCCTAGCCCAGTGGGAGGTGGAACCGAAGCCCAGGAGTCCAGGCCTCTGGCCCTGCGCCTCCCTGGCTAAAGAGCGCCCTGTGGGGAGGAAGCAGGGCCCCAGGCGGAACCGGGAAAACACACCGGGGCTTTAAACAGACCGGGCCACTCCCATCGAATTTGGAAAGCGGTTAAAAGAGGTCGTGCCGCATTCTGCGCCGCGTCCCTCTTCCTTCAGTCCCGCCGAGTGTCCCCGACCAGAGGTGACCTCCTAGAAGGGGAGGTCCCCAAACTCGAGGCCCTGCGTGTAGGGAAGGGGAGCGCCCGCCCCTTCCCTGCCGCCGCGAGCGCCCCGGGAGGGGACCGGGGCTGCCGTCCCTCCGCCTCTTCCCCCGCGGGGCGTAGCGATGGCCCGGGCCAGGGCCGGGGCGCTGCTGGCGCTTTGGGTGCTCGGGGCCGCCGCGCATCCGCAGTGCCTGGACTTCAGGCCGCCCTTCCGGCCGACGCAGCCGCTGCGCCTCTGCGCGCAGTACTCGGACTTCGGCTGCTGCGATGAGGGGCGCGACGCCGAGCTGACCCGCCGCTTCTGGGCCCTGGCGAGCCGCGTGGACGCCGCCGAGTGGGCCGCGTGCGCCGGCTACGCGAGGGACCTGCTGTGCCAGGTGAGCGGGCGCGCGGCCACCGGGCGGGGCGGGGCGCGGGAGGCCGAGTCCTGGAGCAGAGATCGGAACCCCGCGGGGGCGAGGGCCAAGAGTGGGCGGCGGACTCGGGAACTCTAAGCCCCAACAGGGAGTCATTTGGCACGGGGCGGGGAGACCGCGCATCCCAGGACGACTCTTGGCTTTGCCATTCATTAGTTTTGTGACTTGGGCCTTCTCGGGGCCTCAGTTTCCCCTCCTGAAGCAGGAAGGACGGACGGACGGACAGATGATGTCATCATTTCCTCAGAGGTTGGGGGCTCTTCTGCCCCAGTCCCCTGGAGTCGACCCCTCAGCGTCCCACCCCGAGCAGCTGCACCCTTGTCGGGGTACCAAGGTGGAGAGGCATCTGTCCCGGTCAGTGCTCCTTTGTGTTGTCCCCGGGGCAGTGAAAGCAGGGGGCCCTGGCGTGGGCGTGGTCAACGTGTGGCCCGGGTTTGTTGAGGGGGTTGGGGCCACTGTCCCCCACGAGCGTCTCACCCCCATCCTGATGCCCTTGCCACTTCCGCCACCACCTCTGTGGGTGCTGTGCCCTCTCCTGGGGATGGCGCCCTGGCCTGCAGAAGCTCTCTCAAGACTGAGCGACAGCTCTTTGTTGAAGCCCCTGGGCCCCCCATCTTCCCTCTGAGGGTGGAGCCCCTGCTTCTGTGCACACCTGGTGGTGCCACCGCTATTTGTTTTCCTCTTGTGGGAGTCTGAGGCCCCAGGGCCTGACCACACCCAAGTGGGCAAATGTTGCCTGGCTGAATGCAGAAATGGAGCAGGACGGGCAGCCCCAAGGCATTCCTGCCTCAGCATCTGGGCAGTGAGAGGCCTGGGGTGGAGAGGCCCCAGGGGCCAGGGCCGTGTCCCAGCCTTCGGCCAGCAGGGGCAGGTGGTGTGGGGAAGGGCAAGAAGGCTGACTTGGAGTTGGAGTTTGATCCTGGCTCTGTCACTTCCCCAGCTTCGTGACCTGGGCAGGTCACTGCTGCACCTCACAATATCTTTAAAATGAAGCTGAGTATGGTGGCTTATGCCTGTAATCCCAGCACTTTGGGAGGCCAAGGTGGGCAGATCACTTGAGGTCAGGAGTTCGAGACCAGCCTGGCCAACATGGCGAAACTCCATCTCTACAAAAATACAAAAATTAACTGGGCATGTTGGGGAGCTCCTGTAATCCCAGCTACTCGGGAGGCTGAGGCAGGAGAAGCACTTGACTCTGGGAGGCAGAGGTTGCAGTGAGCCAAGATTGAGCCACTGCACCCCAGCCTGGGCAACAGAGCAAGACTCCGTCTCAAAAATATAATATAATATAATATGATATGATATGATATGATATGATATGATATGATATGATATAATATAATATAATATAATATAATATGATATAATATGATACATAAAATAAATAAAATAAAACCTTAACCACCCCCCTGGGTGGCCATGCAGATTAAATGCCACATACTAGGGGCTCGGTAAGTGTTTGCAGTTGGATTTCTCGAGGGCTTCCTTGGCCCTCACTGGCTGCCCAGCCCTGGGAAGGGTCCAGGTGAGGCTTGGAGCCCGAATCAAGGAAGACTCAGAGGCAGGCAGGGACTTGCCCAGTGGTCGCACAGCCCAGCGGTGGTTGAGGTGGGGACATGGACCACACTCGCTGAAGCGAGCTCATATCTTAGGTGGGAAGCAGTAGACTCTGGGAGGATGAGGAGGGGGCCCTGGGGAGCTCCAGAATGCAACAGAGGGTGGGCTGGCCACCTTTAGGTGGGCTCTGCTGGACTCCCATGCTGTACACCTCAAGGGCACGGGAATGGTCTGGCCAAGCGTCTGCCTCCCTCACCAGCCTGGGGGCTCCTCAGGACCAGGTCCTTTGGTCTCCCTACCCCCATCACATAGCAGAGTTCCTGCATCCATGCCACATTTGTCTATTGAGCACTTGCTATGTGCCAGGCTCAGCACGGCAGTGAGGTGGGCAGGTGGATGGAGGAAGGGAAGGGTCAGTCCTGATGCTGTCCCCTGGCAGGTTTCTTGGGAAACTTCCCAGGACAGCCTGGCTTTAAGCAACCAGCAGTTAGCAGGAGTGACCACTAACACTTCAGCCCAGGCGTCTCTGAGAGTGACCTCATGTCTGGAGTGAGCTTAGAGACGGCGGCTGAGGCTGGGTTATGGTTTCACTGACGGGGCCTCCTGGAGCATGCTGGCGGGAGGACCATGCTCTCTGCTAGCCAAGGCAGAGTCTGCATTTGGCACCTCCTGATTTCCACACGGGGAGGTGGTGGAGGTGCCTTATTCATAGGTCTCTGTCAGTGTGGAGGCACTCAGGCCTTCACACCTGCTTTGGGGGGATGGGAGACTCTTTCCTGAGGCTTTGCTTGTCCAGTAAGTGCCTGTGTCCTCTGGAGGAGAGAGGACAGCCATGGCACGTGGCATCCCCAGTGCATCTGGTGTGAGCTTCCACATCGCTAACCTCCCCTGTGACTGGGGTTGCCTCTCTAAGCCACTAAAATCATCAAAGCATGGTTTCTGATGGAGATCTCCATGAAATGTATTCTATGGGCTCATGTATTCAGCAGGCTCTTCCTGAGCCTGTTAGGAGGCAGCCCTGTGCTGGATGCTGGGCCCAAAAACAGTTGGCAAGTCACAGGCCCAGTCTCAAAAATCCCCTTCATCACTTCAGGAGACTGACACACACAGGAAGGTGCCAGAAATTCCTCAAGGAGTGTAGGAACAAGGCCACATACCTCAGGGAAGGCTTCCTGAATGTTGGTTGCATGTTGATAGCTCATTATTTACTGAACAAACACATACATCTTCTCCATTTGTTCCTCCCAACAACTCTATGAGGTTGGAATTCCTTTCCCCTTCCACAGATGAGGACATAGGCACAGAGAGGTTAAGGAGCTTGCCCACGGTTAAGAGCAGTAAGAGGTTAAGGAGCATTCCCCATGGGGAATGTGTGCGCTGGCTCCAAAGCCATTCTCCTAACCGCTTTGCCACACTGCCTCCCTCCTTGAAGCCCCACTGTGTCCCACAGTCCGTGGAGTGGACAGACATGCAAAGAGATAATGAAGTCCTAGCCAAGCTGACTGGCTGGAGCGCCCCTGGCGACGGAGCAGTGACTGCTGTAGAGAACTCACCCTGTAAGCTACAAGATTCAATGGAGTGAGTGTCGTGTCTGAGATATGGACAGAGTGCATTGGGAGCATCCATAAGGGCCAGGGATGGGACAGTCAGAGCCCTGGGAGCATGGAGGACAAGAGGAGACCTTTGAGTAGGCCTTGAGTCATGAATAGCAGTTTGCCAGATGAGGAAGTAGGTGAGAAGCAAATATCCGATGGACAGGACACTGTGCAAAGGCTTGCTCTTTCAAAAAATGAACGGTGGACATAAGAAACCTTCAGGACCCAGGGCCATGAGTCACGAGTGTCAGTGACATGGGGGTGGCAAACTCTGGGCAAGATGGGGGCCCTCCGCCCTGCACTGAATGGCCCGGGCGGCTGAAGCCTGCGATACTGGGCTGGTTTCCTATGGCCTTCCTGCCACCTGCCCCTAAACACACTGAGGCCAAGCTGCGGATCATCCTCTTGCCAGCAGCAATCACTATGTCTTCTTGTCACTTCCTAGCTCTGGACTACCCTGGTCTGGGCACCACATTTACGTCGTGTGTAAGTAAGAGTACATAGGCCACGAGGAAGCATCTGCTGTGTGATTGGGACGCACGGATGCCGAGGTCTTCGGCCTGGCTCCCTGAGGGAACTTTTGCTCCCTCTGTAGTTCTGGATTGGGCTTTGGTGAACGGAGGGCTCTCGTTGCCTTCCAGATGTCTGTTCTGCCCCTCACTGCGTCTCTGGAACCAAGATGGTGCCTGGTACAATCTCTGCTCAGTAAATTCTTGGTGAATGAAATGTTGCTGACTAATCTGGAAAGAACACCAGTCCAGGCATCATGAGGCTTGGGTGTGAGCCCTGGTTTGGCTACTTCTTGGCACGTGGCCTTCTTTAAGTCTCAGTTCCTCATCTATAAAATAGGAGTCAAGCCGTGTACGGTGGCTCATGCCTATAATCCCAGAACTTTGGCGGGCCAAGGCGGGAGGATTGCTTGAGCCCAGGAGTTCAAGACAAGCCTGGGAAGCATAGAGAGACCCTGTCTCTGCAAAAAATAAAAATGAAAATTAGCCGGGTGTGGTAGAGCACGTCTGTGGTTCCAGCTACTCTGGAGGCTGAGGTGGGGAGGATCGTTAGAGCCCAGGAGGTCAAGGCTACAGTGAGCTAGGATTGTGCCACTGCACTCTAGCCTGGATGACAGAGAGAGTCCCTGTCTCAAAAAATAAACAAATAAAATAAAATAGTGACAATGACCCTACCTTGCAGAGATGAAAGAAGGCACGTGTGCACACAGCCCCTCCCTGGTCCACGTGCAGCTGCCGGCTGACCCACAGGTGGTTCCCAGTGAACCATGGGAGGGACAGCACACACGGCGGCCTGAGGCCTGGCCATCTGGCCTGCTCACTGGCAGAGGGGAGCATGTAAGACATGGCACCCTGGTCTGTACCTGGGACAGTAACTGACCAGGACCCCAAGACATTCTGCCAAGTGGCCCTTGGCCAGTCAGGTGAGACCTAGCCTCACAGCAGTAGAGGGGCCAGGAGGACATGCTGTGGTATGACCAAAAGCCACAATCATGTCACAGGAGTGAGTGGGCCCTGGCCTGGGGCTTGAGAACACCCCGGGAGGCAGCCTGCCATCCCCCATCCCCAATCCTCCCCCAAACGTCCCAGAGGCCTCTTGCTGGAACCCAGCCTGGTCCTCCCTGTGAGGGGAGGGAGTGTGTGGCTGTCAGTACCTCCCCACTGCAGAAGGAGCATCCCCCGAAGCTCTGGGGGCCCAGAGCTGACTCAGACCCAGGCTTGGCCTGGTGGACTCACAGGTGGGGGAGGGTGTCAGTCACAGATAGAAAGAATGACCACGCCACAGGCCGGCGGCTCTAACAGGGAGGCCCGCAGACAGCCTGGAGCTGTAGGGGTAGGGTGCAGGGAGGGTGCTGTGGTGTGGGGACACTTAACTGGCGTTGGGGATGGGTAGTTGGGAGCTGGCCAGTAGAGCTGAGCAGACGTGGCTCAAACCCCAGCCCACTGGCATGTGACATGATACTTTGGGCTCCCTTCTGCTGTCTCTGCTTCCACCTCTGTGCAGTGGTAATAAGAACAGGCCTCCCTCCCATGGTTGCCTTGAGGAGGAAATGCAGATTCATGGGCACACTGCCCTGGTGCCTGGTCCACAATTTGCCCCAAACCCCAGGAGCTGCTGTGATTGGTTAGCATGGCTTCCCCCACGGCCATGGCCATGATTTAAGAATAAAGAGAATTCTGCCTGCCAGAGAAGAGCAGGGAAAGGGCATGCCTGCAAAGGGAACAGCCTGTGCTGAGGCTCAGAGGTGTGAAATGGCAGGGAGTATGTATTAGTCTCTTCTCTCATCGCTATAAAGAAATACCTGGCTGGGTGCAGTTGCTCACGCCTGTAATCTCAGCACTATGGGAGGCTGAAGCGGGAAGATGGCTTGAGCTCAGGAGTTCGAGAGCATCCTGGGCAACATGGCAAAACCCCATCTCTACAAAAAATACAAAAATTAGCTAGGCGTGGTGGCTCTCGCCTGTAGTCCCAGCTACTCAGGAGGCTGAGGCAGGAGCATCTCTTGAGCCCAGGAGGCAGACATTGCAGTGAGCTGAGATGGTGCCACTGTATTCCAGCCTTGGTGACAGAGAGAAAGAGAGACCCTGTCTCAAAAAAACTAACGGACAAACACAAAACAAAACAAAACAAAACTGGGTAATTTATAAAGAAAAGAGGTTTAATGGGCTCACAGTTCTGCAGGATGTATAGGAAGGATAGTGGCCTCTGTTTCTGGGGCGTTCTCAGGAAACTTACAATCATGGTGGAAAGTAAAGGGGAGGCGGCATGTCTCATGACGACAGCAGCAGCAAGAGAGAGATGGTGTGGGGGCACACTTTAAAACAACCAAATCTAATGAGAACTCACTCGCTCTACAGTACCAAGGGGAGATGGTACTAAACTAAACCATGCGTGAGAACTCCGCCCCGTGATCCAGTCACCTCCCACCAGGCTCCTCCTCCAACACTGGGGGTTACAATTCTACACGAGATTTGGGTAGGGACACAGATCCAAGCCATATCAGAGTATCAGGAGATGGAAGGTAGACAGGAGGCTGGAGAGGTGGGGAGAGGCAGGAGCTGATGATGGAGCTGTCCATGGGCAGAGCCAAGTTAGAGAGCACTTCGTGTTTTACTGTTTTTCAACAGATAGAGGCCGGAAGGTACTAGAGGGTGCGGACGGGGTGGTCAGGGAGGATCGGAGGTGAGCCTTGGGCAGGAACCCAAGTTAAGTGCAGCAGTGAGCTGTGCTGATGTAGGGGCGGAGGCGCACTGTTAACACAGAGAGGGTGGGTGACAGTGCCTCAGACTCTTCCTGGCATACGGCAGGTGCTCCAGAGTAGCTGCTGCTGTTGCTGCTGCTATTAATAGGAGTAGTAATAGTGTTCTAACAACAACACAAACATTAAGACCTAAGGTTTGCTACTGTCACTGAGGCTTATCGTGGTAACAGGCAGATGGCGTTGTCTCCATTTTATGGATCAGCAGACTGAGGCTCTGAGAGATGGGGGACCCGCCCAAGGTAACCTTGGGCTGGTAAGCACCTCCACAAAACATCTCTGAGCCATTACTGTCTCTGCAGGAATGCTCGCCGTATGCAGCCCACCTCTATGACGCCGAGGACCCATTCACGCCCCTGCGCACGGTGCCCGGGCTCTGCCAGGATTACTGCCTGGACATGTGGCATAAGTGCCGGGGGCTGTTCCGTCACCTGTCAACTGACCAGGAGCTCTGGGCGCTGGAGGGCAACCTTGCCAGGTTCTGCCGCTACCTGTCCCTGGATGACACGGACTACTGCTTCCCTTACCTGCTGGTCAACAAGAACCTCAACTCAAACCTGGGCCACGTGGTAGCCGATGCCAAGGGCTGCCTGCAGCTGTGCCTGGAGGAGGTGGCCAACGGGCTGCGCAACCCCGTGGCCATGGTCCATGCCAGGGATGGCACCCACCGCTTCTTCGTGGCCGAGCAGGTGGGGCTGGTGTGGGCCTACCTGCCCGACCGCTCGAGGCTGGGGAAGCCTTTCCTGAACATCAGCCGGGTGGTGCTCACCTCGCCCTGGGAGGGTGACGAGCGTGGCTTCCTGGGCATTGCCTTCCACCCCAGCTTCCAGCACAACCGCAGGCTCTACGTCTACTACTCAGTGGGTATCCGCAGCAGTGAGTGGATCCGCATCAGCGAGTTCAGAGTCTCCGAGGATGACGAGAACGCCGTGGACCACAGCTCTGAGAGGTGGCTTCCTTGGGGAACCCGGGCCTGGGTGGGGGCAGGCACCCATATGCACTGGTGTGACAGGACCAGTTGGTATCCTGTTCTCACATATTGTGAATATTTAACACACCTGGTGGGGGTGCTGAATTTCATGCTTTGGGGCCTGGAGAAGGACAGTTTTACAGAACAGACCTCACACAGGCATCATATCCAAACCCCTCCATCTGGCCTGTGAGGCCTGACATTTCTCCACCAACTCTTATTTCAGGCACTTTAGATGCTTCATTTCATTTGATTCTCCTAAAACCCACTGAGGCTAGTATTATTTTTCCCATTTTACAGATAAGAAAGTGGAGGCTTAGAAAGGTGAAGTGTTGGGTCACACGGGGAGGGAGGGTCAGAGCTGGAACCCTGATCTGTTGTCTCCAAAGCCCGCCCTCTGCCCCAGCCTGCCTCGCTCTGGCCTGAAGGTGCCATCTTTTTTGTTTTGTTTTGTTTTTTGAGATGGAGTCTCACTCTGTTGCCGAGGCTGGAGTGCAGTGGCACAATCGCAGCTCACTGCAACCTCCGCCTCCCGGGTTCAAGCAAATCTCCTGCCTCAGCCTCCTGAGTAACTGGGACTACAGGCACACACCACCACACCTGGCTAATTTTTTGTATTTCAGTGGAGACAGGGTTCCACTGTGTTGCGCAGGCTGGTCTTGAACTCCTGAGCTCAGGCAATCTGCCCGCCTCGGCCGAAGGTGCCATTCTTGAGCCCCACTGGGTCCTTTTTCCCACCTGAATCCCCTGCCTCAGGGAACTTGCTCTCCTTCCTGCCCTGAAGTTCATCTGTTCCTGCCTCTGGGCTTTTGCTCCTCTCAACAAGGCCTGCAGAGCCTGCACTCTGTGGATGATTTATGCCCCAACTGTTTTCAAAATGGGTCTGACCTGACCTTGCACGTGGGGCACATGTATCAGTCTAAGTCCAGTAGGAAATAAACCCTGTAACAGGTAACTCAATAGGTAGAATTTGATCCTGGGAGTCAGTTACTCATGTGTTAGAAATGATAAAAGGGCTCAGACGCAGTGGCTCACGCCAGTAATCTCAGCACTTTGAGAGGCTGAGGCAGGTGGATCACTTGAGGTCAGGAGTTCAAGACCAGCCTGGCCAACATGGCGAAACCCTGTCTCTACTAAAAACACAAAAACTATCTGGGTGTGGTAGTGGTTATCTGTAATCCCAGCTACCCGGGAGGCTGAGGCAGGAGAATGTCTTGAACCCAGGAGGCAGAGGTTGCAGTGAACCAAGATCCTGCCACTGCACTGCAGCCTGGATGACAGAGCAAGACTCTGTCTCAAAAAAAAAAAAAAAAAAAAGAAAAAAGAAAAAAGGCAACCTGGGGAAGGCAGCGACTCTGAGGTTAAAAACTGGAGGAAGCTGCCTCTACCCCTTGGGCCGGGAGGACAAAGTGAGAAGATGGGGTTACTGGCGCCCTGGAGCTGGGGACACCCAGTGGAAGCTGGAGCCATAATTGGCCTGGGCAGGAGGAGGTGGAGCCGAGAGAAGGAGCAGCTGTTGCCAAGAAGCTGCTTAAAGCAGAGAAGGGGAAAAACCCCAGTGCTCCTCCCTCTCCAGGCTCCTGCCAATGCTGTCCACTGGCTGAACCTCGCTGGAGGCCAGCTATCTAAGAAGCCTGGGAAATGTCGTTCATAGGAGCTGACCCCCTGCAGTAGAGAGGAGGTAGGGGGAGGGCCAGGACTGGGTGTGAGGGCAAATTGGCAAAGAACAGCACATTGTGTGTTTGATAAAACTGTAAAATCTTGACACCGAATGTATAAAAAGGAGGAGAAATCAAATATGTTAGCTATGAAGGCTAATGTGAAGCTTTATGATTCACAGCATTAGTTTTGACTATGAGCTTCCTGGCAGCCAGAGTGAAAGGAGGAAACATAATTATCAGATCTTACAGGAGCCTGTACAGCCAGTTCTCCAAGAGAGACCAAGTTTATCACATGGATCTGACAGAGGGGAGATGGAGGGACAGAATGGATGTGTCTTCAGTGGTGACTTTTAAAAATGGATTCCTGATAAAGACTTGAGGTGGAACACAAAATACACAGATGAACATATTTCAGAGTGGGGGCTCAGCAAAGGTCCTCTGGTGACCTCACAAAGTCAAGCCTAGAACTTGACTCACTGTTGGGGAAAGGTAGGCACAGCAGGCTCAGGGCAGGCCAGGAATGAGTGGTTATCCTTGCCTGAATCCGCTGTCAGTCTCTCCTCCCAGAGCTGAGATCCCAATGCCGGGTGGATGACCGAAAGTCTGAGCTGTTCTCTCCATGGAGAACCTGGAGTTTGGAGCTCTGTATTGCTCACCAGATCATATGCACAGGCCTCACAAAGAAAAGTCCTCCAGTCTTGGCTCTGAAAAATCAAAGTCCTGGGTTCAAGTCACTTGACCTTTCTGTATCTAATTTTTTCTTATTTGTATGGATAAGGGATTAATAGGCTGGGTGCGGTGGCTCAAACCTGTAATCCCAGCACTTTGGGAGGCCAAGCAAGGAGGATCGCTTGAGGACAGGAGTTCGAGACCAGCCTGGGCCACACACTGAGAGCCCTCATCTCTACAAAAAATTAAAAAATTGGCCGGGCATGGTGGCATGCACCTGTAGTCTCAGCTACTCAGGAGGCTGGGGCAGGAAGATCCCTTGATCCCAGGAGTTCGAGGCTACAGTGAGCTATGACCACATCACTGCACTCCGGCCTGGGTGGTAGAGTCTCAAAAAAGGAAAAAAAGAAAGAAAGAAAAAGAAGGGATTGAGAAATCAGTGACCGATCCTGGAAAACCTAAACCACCCTAAGTATTTCAGTCAGAGGAAACTGAACACAGGGATGACTAAGGCATTGGGAGGGCTGGAGAAGGAGAGGAGGAAGGTTAAGTTACTTAAAGACTAGTAACTGTAAGAAGCTGCTACCACTCTTGGGTTGGAGGAACAAAGGGAAAAAGTCCTTTGTGCTGTGGACTTTGCTGCTCTTAGTACCAAGATGGCTGGGTGGAAACCCAGGAGTCCACGTTCACCAGCCAACCCTGCTGTCTCTGCAGCCACCACTTCCGGAGGCAGGGCTAGAAGCCAAAGAAACCTGGTCTCTCCCTTCCACCCACCAACCCAAACTGGAAGCCAGCTGGCTGGGAAGTATGGTGGTAGGTTTCCTGCAATGGCAGTAAGGGAGGTTCCTGAGTAGGGTGAGTGTGGCGCTGAGTGCACCGCACACCGTCCTGCCCACCGTTAGAAGCTGCAAATGAGAGAGTACATAAGATGAGCTCAACATAAGTAACTAGTGTGTGGGAAGCTATGATGAGGAAGAAACCAGCTGTGTCAGTGACTAGGTCGACAATTTCCCATAATCATAACAGGGCAGGTGCTAGCAATGGAGAGCAGAAACAAACAAAACAAAACAAAACACTAGGCCAGAACGAGAAGACTTGAGTTCTAATCCCAGCTCTGCTACCTGTGGGCTGTGTGACCTTAGACAAGTTGCTCAACCTCTCTGAGCCTTTAGGTCCTCCTTGGCACGATAGAGTGCATTAACTTTGCTCATTCTACCTACTAGCTCCTTGTGGAAAATCACTTAATGTAAAGGATATGAAAAGTCTTTTCCAGGCTGGGCATGGTGTCTCACGCCTGTAATCACAGCACTTTGGGAAGCCAAGGTGGGCAGATCACTTGCGGTCAGGAGGTTGAGACCAACCTGGCCAACATGGTGAAACCCCATCTCTACTAAAAATACAAAAATTAGCCAGGCATGGTGGCGGGCACCTGTGATCCCAGCTACTCAGGAGGCTGAGGCTGGAGAATCGCTTGAACTTGGGTGGCGGCGGTTGCAATGAGCTGAGATTGTGCCACTGCACTCCAGCCTGGTGACAGAGCAACACTCTGTCTGCAAAAAGAAAAGAAAAGAAAGAAAGAAAGAAAGAAAGAAAGAAAGAAAGAAAGAAAGAAAGAAAGGAAGGAAGGAAGGAAGGAAGGAAGGAAGGAAGGAAGGAAGGAAGGAAGGAAGGAAGGTCTTTTCCATTGTGAAATGACATCCAAGGAGACCGTGATCTTGTTTTGTGTGTTTGGCTCATGCGTGGAAGGCTGAGTTTTAGGGGCCCTTATCTTCCTTTAGGATAATCCTGGAGGTCAAAGAACCAGCCTCAAACCACAACGGGGGCCAGCTGCTTTTCGGGGATGACGGGTACCTCTACATCTTCACTGGAGATGGCGGGATGGCCGGAGACCCCTTTGGGACATTTGGAAATGCCCAAAACAAGTATGTTCAGCTTTTGATTGGCTTGTGGGTTGGTCTCCATATCCCTGGGCTTCTCATACTCTTCCAGAGGGTGAGTTCCTTCCTCGGCCAGGCATTGTAGGGCAGGAGAAAAGGTTCTGGGTCCCAGCTCAGCCTGCAGCTAGCTGGGCAGCCTAGGCAAGTCACTTGCCCTCATCAGTTAGAGGGGGTAAAAGTCCACTCTGCAGGCAGCTTGTCACAAGGAGTAAAGGCAATCATGGCTGCTCAGGGCCTGGCACAGGACCCTCTGGGCACAGGCGCCTGAGAGGTGCATTAGCGAGCCTCAGGGCAGATGGGATTTTCTCTAAGGTCAGCCTGGCCCTGCCAGACCCCTGCTGGAAGAAGGGAAGGGATGCTTCCCAGGCCGAATGGAAAGTGTGAGCTGGCTGGAGCAGGGTGGCAACAGCACGTGGGGCTCCTGTCCCAGGGTCCCTCAGGAAGACCCAGATGTTAACGTGTAGTCTTGCTCTTTTACCCACTTCCTGGCTTGAGCAAATGAGCTCAAGATCTCATTCCATTACACACACACACATACACAAATATGCATACACACACATGTACACACATATATACACACATACACACACAAACACACATACACACATGCATATGCTACATATACACAGCACACACATATACACACATACATATGCATGCACACACACATTCACATATGCACATACCACATACACACAATACACACACATATACACACACATCCACACACATCCACATACATCCACATGTACACACACATACACACATACATACACATACACACATCTACATACATACATACCTTCACACACATACATACACACAGTCTTGGGAGTGTAAACAGGATGTCCAGGAGTCTCAAGTCAGCCTCCCCCATTCCCTTAGCCAAAATGGTAAAACCTTCCTCAGCCCAGGAAGTAAAAATAGCAAGTATGATGTTGATTACAGTAATTAAAGTGCTCACAATTTGTGAGTTGTCCTTTCACGTGTGACAGTGTAAGCATCATCCCAGCTTTCTCACGTTTGGGATGTGTTTAGAGATGAAGTTGAGAAAACAGAAATTAAGGATTAATGGATAATTGGACAGAACTTAAAAACATTATTTTGCTGCTACAAGTTGTGCCCACTTAGATATCGAATCCTGGCATGTGACGCGTGGGTTCAGGGGTGTGATCTGGATGGTGTTCAGC
This sequence comes from Homo sapiens, assembly GCF_000001405.40. Lineage (NCBI taxonomy): Eukaryota > Metazoa > Chordata > Mammalia > Primates > Hominidae > Homo > Homo sapiens. The sequence goes on from NC_000014.9 coordinate 99,658,349, forward strand.
AGGCTGGAGTGTATGAGAGGAATTTACGGGGGAAAGTAGAAGGCCAGCAACAGGGGCTTGATCACAAGGCATATATCGGGTGGGAGCGTTTCATCACCGTGAAAGAGGATACTTGTTTGCTGTCCCTACTGATAAGGGAAAGGTGTGGGTGCTAACGCTATGTGAGGATGATGGAATACAGCTTCACAAACCCTGCCTTGAAAAGCAACCCAGAGGGAGGACACCAAAATGCTAACAGCAAGGGAAACTGATGCATTCAGTCGGTGCATCAGAAATCACCGCTGAGAAGGGCATGTTCTCCGCACTGTCTTTAAGCACATTACAGATTTTTCCCATCACGCGTCACTTTTGTCATGAGCTATCCTCCTTAGCTGCTTGGAGCTTAGGGCTGCACCCCTCTGCTCTCTCCCCCTCTCCCCACCAACCCGCACGCTGGTGCATTTGGCTTTGATTGCAATCCTTCATTCACTGACTCTGCACTTAATGGTCACCTACTATGTGCTGGTCACAGTGCCGAGTACTGGAAGAAAACTGTAAATACAAGTCATTTTTTCTAGTGGAATTTTCACCCTATACCACAGTCCGGGAGGACTGAATGGTCTGAGCGGGACCACTCTACTATTACAGTTGAGGACACCAAGATTCCACAGAGTGTGTGGTAAAGAGCTTGAGTTTCTGGGCCCAGGCTGTCTGGGCTGGATCCCAGCGGTGCGGCAACTGGGCGATGTTATTTGAGCTTTCTGAGCTCCGCTGCCACATCTGTAAAGTGGGGATCATACTAGGACACACCTACCTAAACGACTGTTGTGAGGACAAGACGAAATAGATGATGTGTTGTGTCCAACGCATGGGACAGGCCTGGCGCACAGGAAGGTGGGGGATGCATGTTGAGTGAATGAATGGTTACCCGGCTGTAAGTAGTTAAGGCGGACAGCATCCCAGGGTCTCTGGCCCCACAGCCTAGGCTCACCCTGCACCTGGCTCAGCGGTCAGCCGGCGCCCCAGCACCTGCCCCGCGGAGCCCGTGAGCCCTGGCTCAGGGCGACCCCGAGCCGCGCCCTCTCCCACCCCGCCCGCAGGTCGGCGCTGCTGGGCAAGGTGCTGCGCATCGACGTGGACCGTAAGGAGCGCGGCCTGCCCTACGGCATCCCGCCCGACAACCCGTTCGTGGGCGACCCCGCGGCGCAGCCCGAGGTCTACGCCCTGGGCGTGCGCAACATGTGGCGCTGCTCCTTCGACCGTGGCGACCCCTCCTCGGGCACTGGCCGCGGGCGCCTCTTCTGCGGCGACGTGGGCCAGAACAAGTTCGAGGAGGTGGACGTGGTGGAGCGCGGCGGCAACTATGGCTGGCGCGCGCGCGAAGGGTTCGAGTGCTACGACCGCAGCCTGTGCGCCAACACCTCTCTCAGTGAGTGCCCGCGCCCCGGGGACCCCGGCCCCGAATCCGCCCCCACCCCACCCCACCTGCTGTGCCGCAGGGCCTCCCTCGGAGACCGCACCCCCCCCCCCCCGGAGATCCCTGACCCTGAGTCTGTCCTCGGCCCCACTCTATGGGCTGTGCGGCAGGGCCTCACTCGGGGACCACCCGCACCCCAGGCACCCCCTGACCCTGGATCTGCCCCCACCCCAACTCCACGGGCTGTGAGCCAAAGCCTCCTTCGGTGACTGCCCCCGCCTCCACCCGGAGCCTCCCTGCGCCTTGGAGGCCTCCCAGCAGCGCTCTTGAGTTCTTCCTCGCTCCATCCCCACCTGGCACCCCTGCAGACACGCTTTCCACCACGCCAGCCCTGCTGTGGGCACGCCAGCCCTGCTGTGGGCACGCCCCTCCCTCCGTGGCCGCCCCACCCCCGCGGAATCCCTCCGGAATTCTCCTGGCTGATGAACCTTCCCGCCGCTGGCTCACCGAAGCTTCTCTCCCTCCCACCCCGCAGATGACTTGCTGCCGATTTTCGCCTACCCGCACACGGTTGGCAAGTCGGTCACAGGGGGCTACGTGTACCGGGGCTGCGAGTACCCCAACCTGAACGGCCTCTACATTTTTGGGGATTTCATGAGCGGGTAAGTGACCTAGTGCCCTCGCGCCCCTGGCTGCTGCCACTGGCTCCTTGGGACTGGCTCCTTGGTAAAGGGGAGTGTATGTGTGCGCCCGTTCCTGCACATGTGCCTCGCTGCTCTGACAGGGGCCCCTAGGTGTGGGCCGGACACCCGCATCCACCCGCTTTTCTCCTGAGATGTATGGTGAGCCTTTGCTGCAGGCCTCAGTACCTCTATGATAGACACACAACTCATGGCATTAAAGACTGGAGGCTTGCTTAAGTGCGGGTCCCGTGGTCTTCCTCTCCCTCCTGAGAACCATGGGCTCTGGGCCTGACAGCAGTTCTGATGGGCAGGAGGGCAGAATATGAACAATTTCCTGGACACTCAGGGCCACCCTGCTCCTGGGGAAGCCACAGCTTGTCACTGCAACAGCTGATGGGGGCCTGGAGCCCTGCCCCACCCCACCCCAGCCAGGACTGCAGGGAGCTTGCAAAGGTTGAGAAACTAAGACCCGAGAGAACAGTGGCTGCCCATGGGCCTCCTAATGGGGAGAGGAGGAGGTGGGGCTCTTGTGGCCTTGGAGCCTTGCTGCCCTGCCCCCGTGCTCTAGGGCAGCAGTACCACCCACTGAGACCCTGCTGTGGGAGGAGGATGAATCACATCCCAAATAGGTTTGATGGGGGAGGGAAACCTACATCACAACCCTCCTTCGAGTCAGGCTCTGTCCCCAAGGGTGCTTATGGAGCCTCGTGACCACCTTGTCCCATTTACAGAGGAGAAAGCTGAGGACTAAAGAGGCCCAAGGGCAGGCTGAGACGGCTTGGTCTGAACTCTGGCTCAGTTACTGGCCAGGTGACCTTGAGCCAGTTACTTCACCTTTCCTTATCTTCAGCTACCTCATCTGCAAAATGGAGATGATCATAGTACTTGCCCCTAGGGTGGTTTTAAGGACTGAATCAGTTAATACATAAATATCACTTAGAATCTAGTGTGGAAAGAAAGAAAGAGAGAGAAAGAAAGAGAGAGAGAGAGAAAAGAAGGAAGGAAGGAAGGAAGGAAGGAAGGAGTACATGCTTAATATATGGTGATTTTTTTTTTTTGAGACAGGGTCTCATTTTGTCACCCAGGCTGGAATGCAGTGGCACAGTCTCAGCTCACTGCAGCCTCCACCTCCCAGGCTCAAGCAATCCTCCCACCTCAGCCTCCTGAATAGTTGAGATTATAGGCATGTGCCACCACGCTTGGCTAATTTTTGCATTTTTTGTAGAGATGGGGTTTTGCTCCATTGCCCAAGCTAATCTTGAACTGGACTCAAGCAATCCTCCTGCTTTGGCCTCCCAAAGTGCTGGGATTACAGGCTGAAGGTACGGTGCCCAGCCTGGTGTTTCTTACTTATTTCCATGCAACCTCCTCTGGCAGCAGCCGAATAGGGTTCCTAAGGAGAGGGAATAAAGACATGAAGATGCCTGAAGCTAGTGGGAGAATTCTGATTTTGTGTCCAGCCTGCAGCCTGGAGCTGAGAGAGATACCTGACCTGGGCCCCTGGAAGTTGGATTCCTCTCCCAGATCCGCCCCTTCCCCGGGGACCCAGCTTTCCCATCTGGAAAATGGGTACAGATGAAGCCTCTGTTTTTACCCCTGATTCTCCTTTCTCCCTTCTGTCCTTCCCAGGAGAGCCCAAGTCTCCTGACCACAGAAATTCAACTAATTTTGCCAGTATTTTCCCAGCCGCTCTGCTGGGTCAGGCAAGAACCAGGATGACAGAGATGAATAGGACCCCTCGTACCCGAGCCAGGGAGACAGACCCATTCAGTCCACTGCACTGCAACCCCAGAGAGCCTGTGCACAGTGTCGGGGAGCCCAGCATGGGGGCCTTCAGGGAGGGCTTCACAGAGGAGGGGACATCTCTAAGCAGGGCCTGGAAGTATTAATAGGTGATTGACAAGCAGCGATGGGAGTAAGGAGCAAGGTTAGCATATTCCAAAGATGTTGGAGCTCCAGTGCTTGGCAGGTTCTGAAACCAGTGAGCTCTTGAAAGCGCTGTGCCCTCTGTAGGATCCAGTGGGCTGGATTGCATTCAGCGGGCAGTAACCAAGCCGGTCTTGTTCGTTCCTGTGGGTGTCTGGTAGGTGCTGGGTGAAGATTGCACACAGTGACAGCTTCATGGACATACCACATGTGCAGTCACAGAGGGCCCGGTACCCAGAAAGGTTCACCCTTGATCTCATGCTCTGTGGTCACCATCTTGAATTCTTAATATGTTTTGGACAAGTGACCCTGCATGCTCATTCTGCATCGGGCTCTGCGAATTGTGTATGGTCCTTGCATGGATCAGTGGGTGAGTGGATATGTAGATGGATGGTGGAAGGATGGAGGGAAGAAGGGAGGGAGGAATGGATACATGGATGGATGGATGGATGGATGGATTGGTGGGTAGGTTCCCCTGGGTGCCATGCCAGGCATGGCCTCACAGCTCATCTTCCTTTGCAGGCGTCTGATGTCCCTCCAAGAGAACCCAGGGACAGGCCAGTGGCAGTACAGTGAGATCTGCATGGGCCACGGCCAGACCTGTGAGTTCCCAGGCCTCATCAACAACTACTACCCGTACATCATCTCCTTCGGGGAGGACGAGGCCGGTGAGCACTCCTGAGACCTCTCCTTGCTGGTTGCTCGTGCCTGGGACTGGTCCTCCACCCTGTGGTCCTTCTGGTCTCTGATGTAGGGGAAGGACCACACAGGCCTGAAATTAGTTCCCACCTGGGATGTTCCCTGGCTCCAGACGTGCATGTGCCTCTGTTACGGAAAGGGGTCCCAATCCAGGGCCCAAGAGAGGGTTCTTGGATCTCACGTAAGAAAGAAATCGGGGGAAGTCCATAGAGTAAAGTGAAAGTAAAGGAATAGAAGAATGGCCACTCCATAGACAGAGCAGTCCCGAGGGCTGCTGGTTGCCCACTTTTATGATTATTTCTTGATGATATGCTAAACAAGGGGTGGATTATTCATGCCTCCCCTTTTTGGACCATATAGGGTAACTTCCTGACGTTGCCATGGCATTTGTAAACTGTCATGGTGCTGGTGGGAGTGTAGCAGTGAGGACGACCAGAGGCCGTCTTGGTTGTGGTGGGTTTTAGCCGGCTTCTTTACTGCAAACTGTTTTATCAGCAAAGTCTGTATTTTGTGCCGGCCTCCTATCTCATCCTGTGACAGAATGCCTTAACTGTCTGGGAATGCAACCCAGTAGGTTTCAGCCTTATTTTACCCAGCTCTTATTTAAGATGGAGTTGCTCTGGTTCACAGGCATCTGACACCTCCTCATGCGTCTTCACCTCTCTGAGCTCCCGTTTGTTCCTATGGAAAATGGAAGTAGTGGCCCCTTTCTTCCTCTTACCCCCACCTCACCCTCACCCTGGGTAAGGTTGCCATGAGCTTTAGTCTAATAACATGGGTAAGCGTCCATGCCGGTTAGCCGGCCAGGAAGGATCTGGAATGTTGGAAATGCAGGCAGGTGTGGAAGAGAGCCTCCCCAGAGACCTCCCCTGGCCTGGAGCTCCTGATGGCAAATGGATTTGGGCCATTCAATGAAACCACATAATTATTTCAAAGCGGGTGGACACAGCCTTCTTGCCGGTTAGTGGGTCCTGAATCTAGGCACTTGTCAATGCAAGGGACAGAGTGGGAGGGGAGAGGAAGAGGGGCCTGGAGACTGGATCCTGCTCCAGCCTCCTGCTTTTGTCCTTGGCCCCGGGTTGTTCCTGGACAAAAGCCCAGGGGCCCCCAGTGGGCCCTAATGGATGCTTATTGGGGTTGCTAGGCAACGCCCACCCAGGGGCCTTTGGAGGGGTGTCCCCTGCCCGGCTCAGTGCCCAGAGCCCCCAGGGCTGTGTCTGGGAAACCTTTGTTGAACCGTCAGAATCTGAATTTCCAAAAAGGCAGCCCCCAGCCCCCACAGCCATTCCTAAGCCCTCTGGGCCCTTGAAAGCCCTTTCTTTTGGTCAGTAGGGGGTTAATGTGTTTTAGAAGCAGGGGTGCCCCTCCCTCACAGAGGCAGGGCCTGGAAGGAAGGTACAGTTCCCAAAAGGCTGTTCCTCAGCCCTCTGAGTGACACCCGAGTGTGGAAAACCAGGAGGAGGCACCAGTGAGACTGGCGGCCCAGGGACAGCTCTGGCAGTGGCCTCTGGACAGCACAGAGCCCGGAGCCCTGGGGTCCAACGCAAACAAACCTTCCCCCTGCCCTCAGCTCCCACTTCTGCTTCTCTAATTGTTCCAACACTTGCAAATTACAAAACAAGTACCTCTGCTGGCCCAGTGTGCTCTAGGGACAGTCCACACCACAGAGACCAGGAAGGTGGCTCAGTGTCCCACCAAGGGAAAACATCCCCTTTGCCCTCTGAAAGTTCATGGAAAACCACTGACAAGGGGCAGATTCCTGGGAGAAAAGGCACACAAATGCATCCTGTCACAATGACATGACACAGGAGCCCTTGGAATGAAGACCCAAAGATACAGGGGAAATTGTCCATTTTTTTTTTCTTTTTTTTTTTTTTCCAAGACTGAGCTTCGCTCTTGTTGCCCAGGCTGGAGTGAAGTGGTGCAATCTCGGTTCACTGCAACCTGCAACCTCCACCTCCCGGGTTCAAGCGATTCTCTCATACCTCAGCCCCCGGAGCAGCTGGGATTACTGGTGCGTGCCGCCACACCCGGCTAATTTTTGTATTTTTTTTAGTAGAGATGGGGTTTCATCATGTTGGCTAGCCTGGTCTCGAACCCCTGACCTCAGGTGACCCCAAAGTGCTGAGATTACAGGTGTGAGCTGCCGCGCCCAGCCGAAATTGTCCATTTTTATGCTCAGGTGCAGCAGAGTATGGACAGCTGTGCAGAAATGTGATTGGACAAAAAGGTCCTGACCTTATGCTGATTGAGTGGGGAGGGCCAGCACAGCCTGTGTGTCTGGATTCTTCTTGGCCTCTCTGCGCATCAGTCCTTCCTTCTGGGTATGGGGCTGTCTCTGGAATGGGGGTCTTATGACCTGCAAATGGTCAAATGGGTCAGATCACCTCTTCCTTTTTTATTTTTGAGGTAGAGTCTTGCTCTGCTATCCAGGCAGGAATGTGGTGGCGCCATCATGGCTTACTGCAGCCTCCAACTCCTGGGCAATCCTTCTGCCTCAGCCTCCCAAGTAGCTGGGACTTCAGGCACATGCAACTATGCCTGGCTATTTTTTAAATAGTTTGTAGAGATGGGGTCTTACTGTGTTGCCTAGGCAGGTGTGGAACTCCTGGGCTCAAGTGATCCCCTGCCTCGGCCTCCCAAAGTGCTGGGATTACAGGCATGAGCCACCATATCTGACCCAGATAATTTCTTTTTTTGTTGTTATTGTTGTTGTTGTGGGATTTTTGTTTTTGTTTGTTTGTTTTGAGACAGGGTCTCGCTCTGTCGCCCAGGCTGGAGTACAGTGGTGTGATCTCGGCTCACTGCAACCTCTGCCTCCTGGGTTCAAGTGATTCTCATACCTCAGCCTCCCGAGTAGCTAGGACTATAGGTGCGCACCACCATGCCTGGCTAATTTTTGTATTTTTAGTAGAGATGGGGTTTCACCATGTTGGCCAGGCTGCTCTCAAACTGCTGACCTCAAGTGATCTGCCCGCCTTGGCCTTCCAAAGTGCTGGGATTACAGGCGTCAGCCACCATGCCTGAACTCAGATAATTTCTTTATGGCCAGTTTTACACAGAAAGGTTGGGGGAGAGTTACAATAATATTTTTAGGTTCTATGACTGGCTTTGGGGGAAATGTGTGCTGGTTTCTACGATCTGCCATGGGAAAGAGAGATTCTAGTTTCTATGGCACCTCGGGGGAGAACAGGACTGAGAGACGGGAGGACAGGCGAAGGTCAGAGAAAAACTTTTGCTTCGGAGGCAGCTTCTGAGGCCTTCATTTTGGAGCATTGTTTTCTGAGTCTCAACAGCAGCCCTGGGCGGGCTTGGCAGCATCCGCAGGGGCTCCCTGTGTGTGCAGAGGGTTGGGGGCTACAGCTCCCAGCAGATCACGGCTGGAAGGGGCCTTGCAGTCTGCCTGGTCCAGCCTTGTCATTTTACCAATGGGGAAACTGTGGCTGACTATGAACGCCTGGTTATGGAGGAGGGGCACCATGCCCAGCCTGGCCCCTGGACACCTCCCAGAGTGGGGCCTTAAGGTCGGTTGGCCAGATGAACCAGGGAGTTCCTCAAGGGGTTGGAACAGAGGAGACCAGGGCTGCTCCTGGTGGCTCACTCCAGAAAGAGGCCCAGAGGGGAGTGGACGGCCCAAGGCTGTGTGGCCAATTTAGGGCTGTGCCCATGGACTTCTCAGCAGGGACATTCCACCCGGGGACCCCCAATGCTGCAGGCTGCATCATCACCATGTGTGCCTACAGCTCCTCCCCCGACCTCCCCAGTGGGACTGGTGCCCCTGGGTTGGGGGGTCAGGGGCCATTGACCACTCAGCGTACTGCTCTCCTCATCCCCCAGCCCCATCACAGCTGGGTCTACCCCGGTTACACAAGTTACCCCTCAAGTGCCTTCCCTTTGCACTTCCCAAGTTTCCTGTGCCTTGCTTCTCAGACCCCACCCCCATGCAGCCCTCCCTGACTGCACCTGTCCCCAGGGATATGCTTTCCTCCAACCTATTACCAAGCTGTCTGTCTCAGCCTCTCCGTGGGGAAACCCCCCTCCCTGCCCCCAGTCCAGCTGAGCTCTCTGCTATCCTTTTACAAGGACAGAGGTATTAGCATGGCTGAACCCTCAGGATGAGCCATGTGTGCCTTGTGTCTGGGCTCCCAGCCACCATGCATCCAATATTGGTGTGGGGCTGGGGCAGCAGACTTTCCTGAGTTCTGGTCCTGGCTTAACCATTCACTAGCTGTGTGACTTAGGACAAGTCACTTGACTTCTCTGAGCCTCTTTTTTTTTTTTCTCAGCTGTGAGGTAGGAATAATGCAGCCTATTTTCTGGTCATAGGTGCCCCTGGCAGCAGGGGTTGGGAGGGAGGATTGGAGTGGGAGGAGCAGGGAGAACCCACGTTCCCTGAGACAGTCCTCAGCACCAGGGGCTCAGAACTCCAACGGTTACATTTTCAGCGCAGCTCTGAGATGGGGAGAAGTTGAGGCTTAGAATGGGACCATCACACAGCTGCTGGAGATCACAGGGGGCCAAGCAGAGGGGCTAGGACCTACACTCCCAGCCATGTACTCTGCTCCTGCCTGGGAGGTGCTTGTTGTCAGCAGAGAGACACCCTGGCCTCGAGGACCTGGCAGGGCCCAAATCCCGGATGACGCCTGCAATCATAGCTAGCTAATGCTGATGAAGCACACGCTCTGCGCTCTTCAGTCCTTATAACAGCCCAATGAGGCATGCCCATTTTAGAGATGAGGAAGCTGAGGCTCAGAGAGCCACATGTGCCTGCGGGTCCCCTGGAAGCAGTTGGGGAGCTGGGCTGTAGCCCCCTCATGTGCGCCCAGAGGTGTGTGGGGCTGGGCATGAAACCCAGGTAGGTGACAGGGGTGGCGCTGGGTCACCGGGAAAAGGCAAGAGCAGAGATCTGAGCCTGGGTGGGTCCAGGCAGAGTGCCTGACACCCGGAAGACCAGGCTCCAGAGGCCCTTGGGTACAACCCAACTCCTCACCCAGCCTCACTTCCTCTTTCTGGGGACTGGACAGCTAGACTGAGCTGGGATGCCTCACGTGATGGCTAGCTGGGGTTGGGGTCTATTTCCAAGCCTGCAGGGAGCCGGGTGGTGAGGCGGGGCTGGCTGGGACGGTATTCCAGGTGGGGGTCTCACTAGTCACTTTGTTCTGTCCAAAGGGGAGCTGTACTTCATGTCGACAGGGGAGCCGAGTGCCACAGCTCCACGCGGAGTTGTCTACAAAATAATTGACGCATCCAGGTGAGTCCCAGCCTCCAGGACAGGGAGCTCCTGCTGTCTGTCAGGCCTCTTAGCTCCACGGGCTTGTCCCCTCCGCCTCGCCCTCAGGTGGGTGGTATTAATCCCCATTTTCAGACAAGAACCCTGAGGCCCAGAGAGGGACGTGATTTGCCTCAGTTCCTCCGGCAAGGGGCAGACCCAGGATTCAGACCCGGGTCTGCACGCCTCAAAGCACAGGTCTATTAGGATAGGAGGGAGCTGGAGAGGTGACTGGGGCCGCGGGCCGAGGCTTCACTTGGCTTTCTTGCCTGGCCCGCCCTCCCTGCGTCTTCCTCCTGTCTAGCAGGCCCCTCATTCCTCATTTCCTGGGCTGCCCCTGCACCCCCACACCCCAGCCCCCAATTTGCCTCTGTGATGCCTCCCAGATGACACCCTGATCCCTGTGTGTCCCCGCCCCGTGCCTGCCCTTCCTCCTGTGGTCCATCTTCCACTGGGGAAAACACATTGGGGCTCCCTTCGCCGGCTCCATCTCCCCGGCTTCCCTTCTAGCTGTAAGGCCAGAAGCGCCATGCCCGGCTATGTCCCAGCTCCTTCCGTGTGCAGCTCATTGACGTCTCAGCCGTTCATTTTACAGTGGTGGAAATGAGCACAAAGACACGAAGTCATGGGCCTGGGGCCCAGGGCCAGGGTGGGGCCCAGGCCACTGGCTCCAGAGCCCTGCCCTAACCCCTTGGCTGTGTGCCTTCACCTCACCCTCTTCAAGCACCTTCCCCAACCCACGTTGCCCTCCAGGCCTCTGTCCAGCCCTTCCTCAGCTCTCATCACTCAGACTTGGTAATCCCTGGGCTACACGACTGACTCTCTCCCAGCTGCTCTGGGAGTCTCAGGGCCAAGCCTGTATCTCTTCACTCTGCAGAGGCCGCCCAGGTGCTGGGAATGGCACGGAGCAGAGACTCAGGAACACTTGATGAATAAATGAGTGATCAGCTTTCTAAGCTGCTTCTCAGCCCTTAGATTTTCGCTTCTCTGCTGGCTTCCACAGCAGTCTGAACGTCTCTTCAACACTGGGTACGGACACAGCTTGTACTTGTCTCTAACGCAAGGCCTGAGGTTGCACTCCGAGAATCCACACCTTTGGCAGACTCTAGGAGTCCCCACTGTGTTTAGTTACCCTAAACTTTGAGACACACCAGGTTTGGGAAAATCCTGAAACAAGCTGGCATGTTTCACGTTCTTGGGAGGCAGATGGGAGGAGTTCAAGTCCAGCCCGGGCAACACAGGGAGAACTTGTCTCTAAAAAAATTAATTAATTTTACAAAAAGAAAAATTCTAAAACACTTATTGTGCTTAAAATCTTTTACACTGGGCTCAGTGGCTCACACCTGTAATCCCAGCACTTTGGGAGGCTGAAGTCGGAGAGTTTCATGAGCCCAGAAATTCAAGACCAGCTTGGTCAACATAGCAAGACCCCATCTCAACAAAAAATTAAAAAATTAGTCTGGTGTGCTGGCGCACATCTATAGTCCCAGCTACTTGGGATGCTAAGGTGAGAGGATCACTCGAACTCAGGAGGTCGAGGCTGCAGTGAGCTATGATCGCACCACTGCCCTCCAGCCTGGATAACAGAGCAAGACCCTATCTCAAAACAAAAGACATTTTAGAATAGTTTCAGATTTACAGATAAGTTGTAAAAACTACAGTGTTTCCTGTATGCCCCTTACCCTGTGTCCCTTATTATGAACACCTCACATTACCATAGTGTACATGTCAAAATTAGTCAACTAGTATCAGTCCATCACTATTAATTAAACTCTACAACTCCAGTCTTTTACTTTTTTTTTTTTTTTGAGACGGAGTCTTGCTCTGTCTCCCAGGCTGGAGCGCAGTAGCATGATCTCAACTCATTGCAACCTCTGCCTCCCGGGTTCAAGTGATTCTCCTGCCTCAGCCTCCCGAGTAGCTGGGACTACAGGTGCCTGCCACCATGCCTGGCTAATTTTTGTATTTTTAGTAGAGATGGGGTTTTGCCATGTTGGCTAGGCTGGTCTTAAACTCCTGACCTCAAGTGATCGGCCCACCTCGGCCTCCCAAAGTGCTGGGATTACGGGTGTGAGCCCCCACGCCCAGACTCCACACTCTTTTTCAAAGGATGTTTCTAGTTGTTCCCCAATGCCCTTTTCCTGTTCCAGGATCCTGTGTTGCCTTTAGTGGTTGCGTCTGCTTAGCTTTCCCCTGTTTGTGTCAGCTTCTCACTTTCCTTGTTTACCAGACTTTTTTTTTTCTTGTTTAAGAGCACACATAAATTATTGACATGACTTTTTATCAAATAAAACATAATCACTTCCTGCTTCCATCCCTTCCTTCTCATTTCCCTGAGGTCCCATCCATTGTTATCTATGCAGCGCCAGGATTTATGTGGTTGTATTTGGATCACACGCAGACTTGGTTCTTTTTCCTTCATTTATGCCCATTTTGTCTAAACGTTGCAAACATCGCCCTCCAAAAAACCATTTCTAATGGCTGCTTGATTTTCTGCTGAGTCACTATAACCCATTCCTTGGAATTTTAGGTTATTTCCAATTTTCAAAAAAGAATGCTCCTCTGAGGAAATGCTACATATACCAAGTGAGTGCCTAATTCATGCCAGATGTTGCCTTAGAGCCATCATCTTCGGTTTTTCCAATCCCGTTTCCCTATTGGCTTGTTGTCCCCATGTCATAGAGAGGGACCCCAACGAGACTTAAGGAGTTCTCTCGCTCACGGTCTTGTGTTAGGAGCCAGAAGTGGGCTAGATTCCTCCTCCCGCCCTGACCCTTCTCCCTTCATTCTCCTGTCTTGGAATAACTGTTTCTTTGCACCCACACATATTACACAGAGGTCCCATTATAGTACATTTGGAAAATGAAATAAATGGGGAGTGGAGGAGGTAGGGTCAGGTCATCTGTTACTACCCACACGTAACCACTGTGGCATTTTGGGGTGGATATCCTACCCTTTTGCATAACAAAGACTTTTAATGCAATTTCCTTAAGGAACAAAAGCCCCACTGGGTCTGTCTGAAGTGTGTGGATGTTCTCTGGAGGTCAGAGCAAGAAAAAAACCTCGCTTTTCCTGCAGCTTTGAGAAGCGTATGTGCCTGGTTGTGTTTCTGCAGCCTCTGGGGACAAAGACCCTTGTCCCTCTTTTGTGTCCCTCTTCGGCCAAGCCTGTCTGGAGGCCACTCCGTGTCACGTGGCTGCTTCACCCCTTGGCCTTTCCACTGGAATCCTATTGAAGTCGTGGGCCCACGTGGGTCTGTCCTGGAATGGGGTCATTCCCAAAGAATCACAGATCGACGGCCAAAAACTAATTAAAACGGAATTCCATTCCCTATTGTGCCCTTAAAAATGTCAAAGGAGACCCAATTCCTAGCCCTGGCACCCTTCTCTGACTCTTTTGTCTCCCTGCTCTCTCACACCCCACATGCCAAGGCCCCAAATCCCTCAGCTCTGCCTCCAGGCACAAGGCTTGCTTTCCTTACCACCCCCGCCGCCCCCGTCCTTTAGGTGGTTCCAGGCAGAGGAGCCTCTCAGATCCTGCATCAGAAATCCAGGAACCAGAGGGGCAGAGAGAGACCCTCCTCAAAGGCTGTAGGGCTGGTGGGAGAGGGTGGCGGGCAGGAATCAGGCTGCATTTCAGGAATCAGACGGCAGGCTGTGGGAGGAGAGAGACTGGCATTTGTTCACACCCTGAGGACAGAGTCCATGCTCTGGATTAGAAATGTCCTGGGAAAGAGTAAGCCTCCAGCCCTGGTGCTATTCCAGCAGAGGCTGAGCGTGCAGCCGGTAGGCTGTTATAGGGGATTTATGCCCTGGAGCTCTTAGAATCCTGGGGGCATGGAGTGGGCAGGGAAGCTGCAGGCCACACAGTAGGTGCATGGTGAATGGCCGCCTGTTACTATCGTTGCTGTTCATACCTGCCTCACTGTAGAGAAAAGGCACCCTCAGGGTGGGCTCCCAGGGTGAGACTCATAACCTCCTGTGTGTCGTTGGCAGGCGGGCACCACCTGGCAAATGTCAGATCCAGCCTGCTCAGGTGAAGATCAGAAGCCGTCTCATCCCCTTTGTGCCCAAAGAAAGTAAGTGCCTGCCAGTGGGACACTGAGGGTTGGGGGAGAGATCCCGCAGCCCACAACGGCTGCCTTTCCAGCCAGACTCGGGTCTTACCAGCTGGACCTAGATGCCCCTCTTCAGCCCCTGTGCCTAGCACTGTGCCTGGCACACATTAGACATGGTGGTAAGGTGGATGGGACTTTAACTAAACTGGGTCTTGCTTGATTGGTCACAATTCCTTAAACCAAGAGAGAAATAGCTGGTGCCAGGCAAGGTACTCTGTGAGTTCTTGGGAGGGACAGAGAAAGAGGATGTATCTGTGTGTAAGCAAGGGAGACCGGAAGAGTTGTTTGTGGGAGGGGCTGGCATATGGGCTGGGCCTTCATAGATTGTTGACAAGCCTGATGAGGAGAGACGACAGAGCAGGGCCACAAATGACTGCCCATGGGGCCTGGGACTGGGGGAAGGGGATGCCCCAGGCTGGGGCTGTTCCCCTGGGCCCAAGTTAGGTGGGAACAAAGACCCTGTGTTGCCAGGTCTTCCAATTCTTCAGAGAAGCAGAAAATCCCCCCATCCACTCATTCACCACGGACACGTGCCCTGCCCTGGGGATACAGCACACGGCGAGACACTGCAGTCCTCGCCTTCTCAGCCTGTTAGGTACAACCTCCCAATTCAAAGTGTTGGCGACTAGTTCAGAATTTTAAAAACCACTCCGCGAGCCAAGGAAAATATTTCAGCAGGCCAAGTGGGCTCAGCAGGCCACCCATTGGCAGACTGGGTGTGTATGGGGGTGGGGAGGGCAAGAAGAGAGGGAGGCTAGGCACCTGGGCTGAAGAGGTACCCGGGTAGAGGGGGAAGGGTCTGAGCTCAGTGATTTTGGAAGTGAGTTCTGGCCACAGTTGGTTTCAGGGCTTGGTGAGTTTTTCATTTACTCATTCAGCAGTTTCTGGCACTTTTGTTAGTTACTGGCTCCATGCTGGATGCCAGAGCCACAGTGAGAAGTCAGACTAGGCCCTGTTCTGGCTGGGACGGACAGAGATGTCATTTACTGTCCAAGGCCTTGTGATCGAAGTGTGTGCCAGGTACCGTGAGGACCCACCCAGAACAGTGGAGACTGGGGTTGGGGGTAGGGGTTCCTGGAGTCTGAAAAGAAGAGGAAGGGTGCACCAATAGGGGGTTGCACTGAGGGGGGTGGCAGCTAGGGGGATGGCACTGAGTGGGTATGGCACTGAGGGGGGTACACCTGGAGGGGGTGCACTGAGGGGGATGGCATGGAGGGGGGGTGCACTGAGGGGGGTGGCACAGAGGGGGTGGTGCACTGAGGGGGGTGCACCTGGAGGGGTTGCACTGAGGGGGGTGGAATGGAGGGGGGTGCACTGAGGGGGTGGCACGGAGGGGGTGGTGCATTAAGGGGGGTGGCATGGAGGGGGGGTGCACTGAGGGGGGCGGCATGGAGGGGGGGTGCACAGAGTTGGGGGATGCACCCAGGCAGGTTGCACGGGGGGGTGCACCTGGGGGAGTGCACTGAGGGGGGCTGGCACCAAGAGGGAGGTTCACTCAGGAGGGTGCACCGAGGGGGGTGGCAGTGCAGGCAGAGGGAACAGCAAGAGCCACAGTGGGAGAGGTGAGGCAGCCTGAGGAGCAGGAGGTGGGGGCCAGGGGCCAGGGTGCAGGGACAGGGAGCGCCTTGCCCATGTCATGGTGCTCTGGGCCCTGGCCTGTGCTTGGCCTTGTGCTGAGAGGCCCTTTCTCAGCTCTCTCTCAGTGGTTTTCAAAGTGGGACTGGCTGAAGTGGGGCGGGATTAAAGAGGTTTGGCCTGGTGGCCCCAGGATCCTCCCCATAGTAATTGAACAGTCTTGGGCTGTGACGCATGGCAGTGCCCAGTGCCTGGCACTGCACCTGTGTGGAGTAGAGCTGGGCACAGCAAAGTGTAGATTGAGGTCTATCCCTGTGGCTGACCTGGGCCAAGCGTGTCCCCACATTCTGCAGAGACAAAGGAAATCACCTGCCTCAGCTCCCTAGCACCGACTGCACCCAGGCTCTGTGGTGGGGTATAGGGGCTCTGCCTTGTTCCCCAGACACAACCAGAGTTCCCCCATCGTACCCGCTGTGACAACCCGCTGGTGCCAACCTTGGGAACCAGGAGGAAAGAGATTCACCCTGACCCCAGGGATCCCTGTGTGTATCCCGTTCCCAACCTGCTGGCCACTGGCCACCACAGACCCGCAGCAGTTTTTACCCATCTGTGGGCCTCAGCTTCCTCACCCTCACAACCAAGGCCTGGAAGATGAAACGGTGACTTTCTCTTAGAAGCCTTCCCAGACACTCCTTCCTTTCATTGCCTTCCAGAGTTATGAAGTGCCAGGAGCTGGCTCCCCCACCAACCTAGGGACTCCTGGGAAGGTGGGGCTTGGGGTAGGGAGACGCAGCAACAGCAGACTGGCACAAAGCAGTTGATAGTGTTTGCTGTATGACTGAAAAAGCCCCTGGCCCCTGAGTCCAGGCCGGCATCTTGCTGGGTCCGGGTGACCTGGGAAGCACGACTGGGAGCGCAGGCGGCATCCCGTCTTCTGGGTGTGAGTGCAGGACAGACCCAGGACATCCTTCCCCGAGTCTGCGCTCTCCGCACAGGTTGCAGGGCAGCACAGGGTGGGCAGCAGGGCTGGACAGGGGCGCCTGGGTCCCTCTGACGGCATACTCTTCCTCTGCGCAGAGTTCATCCCGAAGACACGGAGCACCCCGCGGCCTACAGCGCGGGCGCCCACGCGGGCGCCCCGCCGAGGGCGCCCCACGGCCGCTCCCCCCGCGCCAACCCCGCGGCCAGCGCGGCCCACCCAGCAGCCAGGGAGCCGGAGGGGCGGCGGGCGGCGGCGGGGGCGGCTGAACTCGGCGAGCCGGGCGTTCCGGGATGGCGAGGTGCGCCTGGTGCGGCCCGCGGGCCTGAGCTCTGGCAGCGGGCGCGTGGAGGTGTTCGTGGGCGGACGCTGGGGCACCGTGTGCGACGACTCCTGGAACATCAGCGGCGCCGCCGTCGTGTGTCGCCAGCTGGGGTTTGCCTACGCCGTGCGCGCCGTCAAGAGAGCCGAGTTCGGCCAGGGCGGCTCGCTGCCCATTCTGCTGGACGATGTGCGCTGCGCGGGCTGGGAGCGGAACCTGCTGGAGTGCCAGCACAACGGCGTGGGCACCCACAACTGCGAGCACGACGAGGATGCGGGCGTCGTGTGCAGCCACCAGAACCCCGACCTGTAGGCAACACGCCGCTGCCCCAGGCCATCCCGCCGGCGGGGGAGCCTGGCAGGGGCCGCTCCGCCCTGTGTGCGCCCAGCGGGTGCACACGTGTTCTAGAGTGAAGGGGGTGCGGGTGTGTGCTGTCCTGGGGACATGTGTGAGGCGCTGCAGTGCATGTGTGTCCTCTGCAGACCCAAGGCAGGAGTGTGTGTTGGGGGCGGTGTGGGCTCTGGAAGTGCATGGTCCATCATGGGCGGGAGGAGTTCCTTTCTTACCTCCAAGCGTTTCAGACACCAGCAGGAACAGCAGCCGGGCTGTGGGACCCTGAGGAGGGAGGGCAGCCAGGCTTCGAGGACGGACATGGCCCCTGGCTGTGCTAACAGAGGCACAGCTTGCAGACTGAGGGCGGTGGGGAGAACCAGGCTTGTCCTGCCCACAGCTGGAATGGAAGGTGCAAGAACAGCCGGAGGGTGGCCTGAGGAATGTGGCCCGGACAGCATGGCCTGGTGCCCGCATCCCCCCCACCCCCTGGCAGTCAGAGGCGCTGGAGAGAACCGGAAGGCATCCAGTGGGGAAGGGAAAGCCTTCTGGAAGGTGGGAGCAGGGTGAGCTGCAGGCCTGGGGCCCCACTGGAGGGGCAGGCTGCGTGGAGGAGCCAGCACCTGCTCAGGGAGGATGGCTGTGAGGACTGGATGACCTCCAAGGCCGTATGCTGGAGAAGCCACTCAGCAGCATACTCAGTCCTTGTGGGTGCTCCTGGGATGGGACCAGCCTCCTCCAACCCTGAGGCCTGATTCTCTCTTGCTCTTGGGGCAGAAGCCACCCACACTAGCTGGGCAGAGCTTTCACCCTGGCCCTCCAGTGAGTCGGTGGGCCTCCACTACTTTCAAAGCTGTGTTTGGGCCCTGGGGCCACCTCTGTCCTTTCCATCCCCATCCCTGCTCAGTGTAAACCCAGGAGACCTGATTCCTCCAGCCCTACCTCGGGGCTGACCAGGCTGGGGGTCCAGTGAAACTACTGACACTTTTTCACCCAGGGCTATGCCAATAATGTGGCTGTTTACACACCACTTTCCTGCCTCCTCTCTGACCTGCACCTGTGTGGGAGCCGGGGTGGGAACCAGGAGAAAGGGGTGAGGCCTCCCGCTTCCCACCTGCATCACAGGTGGAAGCTCCTTCACTCCAGGGATGCTCGGCCCTGGCTCTGTGCCAGGCCGCAGAGGGGCACTTAGTATGACTGCGCTCAGCCTCGGATGGGAGCACGGGTGGGGGGTGGGTAAGCAGATGAGTCACCAGGCAGTGAAGACAGGATGTGGCCCATGTCGGGGGTTGGAAGAGGTCTGGGTGGGGCACCCAAACCCAACCTATGGGGGGGCTTTGGGAGGGGGTGATGCTGTGCCAAGTTCTGGGAGCTGGCACCAGGGGTGGCTGGGCAGGCCTTGGGGCAGGCATGAGTCTGGCAGGGTCTCCTAGCTGCTAGTATAGGGTCTCCTAGCCACTAGTATAGGATCCTGGGCTGCAGCAGAAAGCTTTAGGTCACTGTCTTGGACTCCTCATACTCTGTGCTTTACAGAATGGGAAACTGAGGCACACAGAGGTTAGATATCTTAGGGCACCAAGCCAGGGAAGGGAGAAGTCAAGTTTGAATACAGCAGCTTAGTTTAGAGTCCCCGCACCCTAACCACTGCCCTCCCCAGCTACACTATGCCTGCAGAGAGCGGTGTGCTGGGGCTCCTGCCTGGTGTGGGAGTGCCAGCCTGGCTGGGAAGCAGCTGATGGAGATCCCTGGGGGCTCCTCTTGCCTGGCAGGTGCCCCCGCTGCTGGCCTCATGCTCCTCTCGGGCCTCCAGTGGCCCAGGGGAGGTTGAGTGGGCATCTTCCTGGGATGCAGGGGAGTTCTGAGCTCTGACGCCGGGCGTGTTAGGAGATAGCAGGCCGTTAATGACCATCCCAGCCGAATTCCTCACTGTGCAGATGAGGAAGTGAGCTCAGGGAGGCTGAGTGTCCCAGGCCTGTTGCCAGATGAGGCCACGCTGAGACTGGAGCCAGGGAAGGTGCAGCAAGCCTTGAGGCCCTCAAGAATGCAGCCGAGCCAGGGCCCTGCTTGCCTGGCCCCAGAAGCTGTTTTGCTCAGAGCTGGATTAGGAGGGTTGGCAAAGGGAGCTCTGGGTGCGGCCTCAGGCCCTCCAGTACTTCTCTGGGCAGTTCGGGCTTTGGCCTTCAGTCTTCCAGGCCAGGCGCTCTTCCTCCCCAGCCTCCAACTCATCACCTCTCAGGCCCCAAACCAGGCCTGGGCTAGGCTGCAGCCTGCCTCCTGGGGACTCACTCCACAGTCCCCAGGTCAGTGGTCCCCAACCTTTTTGGCATCATGGACTGGTTTCATGTAAGACAATTTTTCCATGGATGGGGGTTGGGGGGATGGTTTTGGGATGAAATGTCCCACCTCAGATCATCAGGCATTAGATTCTCATAAGGAGTTCACAGCCTAGATCCCTCGCATGCACAGTTCATAGTAGGTTTCATGTTCCTATGCGGATCTAATGCCACTGCTGATCTGGCAGGAGGCAGAGCTCAGGTGGGAATGCTTGCTCCCCACACTACCCTGCCCCACTGCCACTCACCTCCTGCTGTGTGGCCCGGTTCCTAACAGGCCACCCATCAGTACTGGTCCGTGGCCCAGGGTTTGGAGACCTCTGCCCTAGGTAGTAATAAGAGTGGACAGCTGTTATATGTAAATACTTGTTCCCCGATGCTGGAAAGAAATAGCACTAAAACATAAATTTAATTCTTTCAGCAAGGCAATTTTACTTTCTGCAGAAAGGGTGCTCATCGCAGATGGAACAATAGTGAGAGGACACCTGAACAAAGGAGGGAAGCAATTGTTAGCCCTTATGCAGTTTGTCCCTGCTACTGTGTCCTATGTCCATTGGCAGAAGCCAGACCGCACAATCTAAACTAAAACCCGATTGGCTGTTTAAAATTTTTCTAAATAGGTAAAAGTAATGGAAGGATAAAGGAAAAGAGGAAGTTGCTTACGAAAGGACTTAGAAAAGTAATAATATTCCCAAATAAGGAAGGGGTATAGGCTGTGAGCTGGGACATGCCTGTGAGCACGTCCAGCACAGATATCTTGGTTAAAGTATAAGGACATAGAACGTACTATGTGCCTGTGAGCACGTCTAACAGTTACATAGAATAGGGCTTGACAAAGAGTTATTAGCATAAAGCAAGGAGGTTTGAAGGAAGTTCGTCTTTAAAAGAAACCATTATTTCTAACACTTACGATTTATTCTTTAACAAGAAGGGAAACTTTCAAGAGGAACTTTTACTTTCTACAACAGCTGACCTCTGCTGAGCGCTTACTACATGCCAAGCACTGCTCTGAAAGTTTAACATACCATTCACTCATGTAATCCTCATATTAATGCACATTTACTCACGTGGAAGCCGAGTTCCAGGGCATTTGTCACTTACCAAATGTCACATAGCCAAAATTTGAATTTGAGCCCAGGTAGTCCAGCTCTGGGACCCTGCTGTGGGCCTTCCTGCTGGGCCACCTCAAGGGCATTGAAAGCCAGCCCCACCCCACTGGGACACAAGTTCAGAGAAGGGCAGAGCTGGCTGCCTGTCCAGTGCTTCTTTCACTCCACCACCTACAGCTGGCCGCTGAGGGAGCATTCACATGTGACTCTGTCCCCAGGGACTCCGATCTTGCCTTAAAGTCCTCCAGGGCCTCTGAGGATGGGGGCACAGCCTTCACCCTCACCCCCTCTAATCCAACCTCTAGTCAATAGCCAGGATCAGATTCTCAGAGAGGGGCTGCCCTGCCCAGTGCCACACAGCTTAGTGCTGGAGCCTCAGGGTCAATGCTGCAGGGGTGGCCCAGTGTCCAGGACTGTGTTCAAGACATCAGTCAGAGGTCACAACATCCCAGGCCCTAGACTGAGCCTAGGGGTCACCATGTTGATACCTTAGAAATGTTTGGGAGGTTCAAGGAAGCTGGAAACTGGGTTCCAGTCCTGGCTCTGTGCCTCTCTGAGTCTCATTGCAAAATAGAGGTCACCAGAAGGATTACTGGATGAAAAATGAGGTAGCATTGCAGACGTGCATGGCACGTACACTCTAGGTTGCTTCCTAGACAGAAAGCTCAGTTCGAGGCTGGTGGCATCCATGCTGGCAGCAGCCAACTGTCTGCGACAGAGTGAGGAGGGGCATGCCACGTGAAGGACCAGCATCAGAATGACATGGGAAGAAACTCTCACAATAGCAGAAGAAAGAGCTCCTTCAGCCTAACATGTAGAACTCAAGTCTTCTTGTCGCGCTTCTGTCCCCTCGCCCCTCCTCCCCCACTGAGAACTAGCTTTTACTGAGCAGTTATTACATGCCAGCTACCTCGGGTGTGTCAGCTCATTTAATCTTGACAACAGCTCCACGAGACACCCTCAATATCACTGTCCCTGTTTTCCAGATGAGGGGACAGATTCCTAGGGTGTTATGTAAGTGGTCCCCGGGGCTTTAGAGGCAGGTTTGCACCAAGGCCCATTCTCCCAGAGCCGGATCCTTCTCCTTCCCTGGGATACAGCACCTCCACCCTGCCAGGCCACCCATGTAAAGGCAGCCAATTCAGAGCCACCTCTTATGCCTGCATCTCCCCAACAATTCCTGCTGGGAAACCACTCCTCGTATGGTGTCATCTACACCAGTGGGTTTCAAGCTTGAGAAGAATCAAGTTCTACAGGGCTGCTTAAAACACAGGTTGCTGGGTCCTGTCTCTCAGAGTTTTTGACTCAGTCTTGGTTGAGAATTTTCAGTTCTAGAAGCTCCTGGGTAATGCTAATCCTCCTGTTCTAGGGGCCATAGTCATTGTCCATACTGGTGCTATCCAATAGAAACATAATGTGAGCCAAATAGGTAATTTAAAATCTGCTTGTAGCCATGTTAAAAAAGTAAAACAGGTAAAATTAATTTTAATAATATATTTTATTTAACCCAACATATTCAAAATATTATCATTTTAACAGGTACCTATATATAAATATCAATTTTTTTTTTTTTTGAGACAGGGTCTGGCTCTGTCACCCAGGCTGGAGTGCAGTGGTCCCATCACTGTTCACTGCAGCCTCAAACTCCCAGGCTCAAGTGATCCCTCCACCTCAGCCTCCTGAGTAGCTGAGACCACAGGCATATGCCACCATGCCTGGCCAGTTTTTTTGTTTGTTTGTTTGTTTTCATTTTTTGTAGAGAAGTGGTCTCCCTATGTTGCCCAGGCTGGTCTTGAGCTACTGTTCTCAAAAGATCTATTGCCTCCACCTCCCAAAGTGCTGGGATTACAGTTGTGAGCCACTGTGCCTGGTGACCTTTTTTTTCCATTCTTTTTTGGTATTAATCTATGATATCTGGTGTGTATCTTACACATAGCACATCTCAATTGGACTAGCCACATGTCAAGTACCAGAAAGCCACATGTGGCCAATGGCTGCCACATTGGATAGCTTACTCCAGACCCTCCAGTGAAGGAGCAGGTGGTTGGCCACGTGCTTCCAGGCAGCGCTGCCCACCCAGGAAAAGGGCTTTCAGCCCTGGGACCTGGAGCCTTGGTATGCAGCCTGTGTTCCCTTACCTGATCACAGGATAGCTGGGAGCATCAAATGAGGTGGTGATGGGACAGCTGTGGGCTTGGTGCCTAGGGAGAGGGGAGACTGTTGGCTCACAGATGGGAACGGCAACTGCTCTGGAAGTGCTGCTCCTGGGGTAAGCCATGGTCATGTTGAGCCAGAGATCACTGGTGCTGCCCGATGTGTCAGAGAAGACGTATGCCCACTCCTCTCCTTAGCCGTATTTGGAGAGGTTCACGCTGACCACTGCTCCCTGATGCTGCTCTACACCTGCTTTCTGTGGGGCTCCAGGCTGTGCCTGGAGCTGTTCAGGACCTGGCTCTTCCCTCAAGGAACTGTGACAGTAGGTAGTCAGGCAGACATGAGCAGGGCAGGAGAGGGCCCTCCCCCAACGAGGAATGTCAAGTGGCCATCAGATGATGGTCAGGCAGTTGATAAACTGCTTCTCTCAAATAATAATTGGTCGCAGCCAGTGCCAGGGAGAGGCAGTCTCCCAACAGATGGAAACACCTGAAGCTGGTGATCAGCTTCCCGATAAGATCTCAGGAGCTGGGCGAGTGGGCTCAAGCATGCACACTAAGAGGCAAAATGGCAGCGATTAACTGGTAGATGACCTTCCTCTAGGAACACCGGTAAGGGAAAAACACCTCAAATGAGCGCGCACATAACTTCAGTAAACACAGCTGTGCATTCGGCCCCTCCCAGGTGCTGACAGGCCACCGCGCACGCAGACAGCCCGCCCCAAGGGAAGAATCAGGGGCGAAGAGAGATGCAACCCCCCGGGAGCATGCCAACCTACAAAACCCCGAGTCAAAGGTCAAGCCACACACTTGCCTCTCTCAAGTCACCTGCTTGGCCCTCTTCTAAGTATACTTTACTTCCTTTCATGCCTACTCCAAAACTTTTTTTTTTTTTTTTTTTTTTTTTTTTTCTGAGACGGAGTCTCGCTCTGTCACCCAGGCTGGAGTGCAGTGGCGCAATCTCGGCTCACTGCAAGCTCCGCCTCCCGGGTTCACGCCATTCTCCTGCCTCAGCCTCCCCAGTAGCTGGGACTACAGGCGCCCGCCACCACGCCCAGCTAATTTTTTGTATTTTTAGTAGAGATGGGGTTTCTCCGTGTTAGCCAGGATGGTCTCGATCTCCTGACCTCGTGATCCGCCCGCCTCGGCCTCCCAAAGTGCTGGGATTACAGGCGTGAGCCACTGCGCCCGGCCTCTAAAACTTTTAAATACATTTTCACTCCTGCTCTAAAACTTGCCTCTCACTCTGCCTTACGCCCCTCAGTCGAATTCTTTCTTCTGAGGAGGCAAGAACTGAGGCTGCTGCAGACCCATATGGATTTGCTGTTGCTAACAGTACCATTGTTCCAGGGGTCTGGAGAGACAAGGCAAGAGAAAGTCCTCTTCAGACAGTGCGATGCACTGTGTAATCTCAGGGAGCCGTTCCACAAACTGGATACTAAATGTGATGCCGTCACATTTCTTTTCTAGCTAACCACCCCAACCCACCTTCCAGTGCGCAGGAATCCACACCCTCCTTCTTGCAGCCTCATCCTCCCTCCAAATTGCCCTCAAGCCCCGGAGCTTTCACAGCCCACAGGGGACCTGGTGGCTCCGTTCCACACCTCACCCCAGCAGGGCCAGCCTGAGTTACCCTGTGGGCCTGCGGCTGCCTGTCACCGCCGCCACACGGGGGCGCCATAGCAAGCCAACATCCCCGAGTCCAACTGGGCGGCCGGGCCAGGCGCCGGGGGGATGGATGCTCTGCTGCCCACCTGTCCAGGCTGCGGTGGCCCCGAGGGCAGAAGTCCCGCCTCCTCCGTGCTGGGCACGGCTCTTAAGACTTGGCCGTCTCCGTCGCCCCTCAGCCCACACCCCTAACAGCCATGTCCCATGTCCCTAACTATACCTGGGAAGGCGGTACCAAGGTCCCCTTCGTTTTCCAACCCCCAACCTCTCCAGGACTGGCTCAAGCGTGGGGCAGGGGCATTGCCTCTTCTCAGAAACCCAGCAGCATCTACACTCCCTGGGCCTCTACCTCCAGCCCGGGGGACCTTTACCTGGGCTAGGAGTGGGCACACCTGGCCTTCCCCTGCCACGACTTTCACGCTGGGTGGTCCCTCGGGATAGGAATTGGGAACTAAAACGCCCAGAATTGGCCTCATCTTCATACGGGATGGGCAAGGAGACGCGGGTTACGACAGAGGGGGAAGCCCTGGTCATTATTTCGAAAATACCTTCTCCTCCGCTACCCCCGCCTCCCCGGCACATTTCCCGCTTTCCCTGGAGGGCGGACCCAGATTTTCATCCCTCCAACTCCAACTCCTTCGGGCCTGAGCCAGCGCCTCAGATGGGGCTTCGCCTGGTCTAGGAGGGTCCGCAGGCCCCCGAGTCTCTGGGAGAACAGCCTCCGGCCACGCCGTGCGCTCTCGGTCGCAGACACAGGCGTCCCTGGGTCCCGCAGGATCCTGCCACCAGCCCGCGGGCCCCGCTGGCGGACCACGGGCGCTAGGCGTGGACTGTCCGGGCGGAGGAGGCGCCCCGGGGCAACTGGAGAACAACTTTGGGGGTCTGGGGTTCCAAGGAGAAGTTTGGGAACAGTCGGCGTTATGCGGACTTTTGCAGGCTGGGATGGGGTTTCCGGGCAGGTTTGGGGGAAAAAGGAAGGGGCCTAAGACCGCGCGCGGAAAGATGCCGTTATTTGGAGGCGCCGAAGCGGGCGGAGCCAGCCAGCAGGACTTCGCGCCGCCGCCGGGCCAGAGCGCTGAGGATCGGCGTTGCCAGGGACAACGCGTTCTGGGCGGAGCTGCTGCTGGGGCGGACCTGAGTCTGAAGAGGTGGGGGCGGAGCCTGGGGGGCTGAGCCAGAAGCGGAGTTGTGATTGGTGAAGACCACATGCTCGGGGTGGGGCCTGGGCTGGGGCGGTGTGGAGGTTGGGGCGGAGCTCTGGGGGGCGGGGCGGGGCGGGGGAGGGCCCGGAGCGCCGGAGCCGGAGGCGGAGACGTGGTTGGCGGGGACTGTGCGCCCTGGGAGGGGTCGGAGTCGGCGGGGGCGGAGCCGAGCGGGCGGGGAGGGTGCTGGGTCGCGCCTGGCCTGGGGCCGAGGCGGCGCGCGGCGCTGACAGCTGAGTCGGCTCGCGGCCTCCCGGCCCCCTCGGCGCCCGGCCCGACCCTGGCCTGGCCTGCCCTGCCCCGGAGCCATGAGCCCCGGGCTGCTGCTGCTCGGCAGCGCCGTCCTGCTCGCCTTCGGCCTCTGCTGCACCTTCGTGCACCGCGCTCGCAGCCGCTACGAGCACATCCCCGGGCCGCCGCGGCCCAGGTGAGCGGGGCTGGGGGCGGGGCCTGGCTGGGGTGCTGGGACTGGGGGCCTGGGGACAGCGTCTAAGCCGGCGTCCAGGCCGGGGGTCCGGCCTCGCCTAGTGCGCGCGGCCGCTGGGAGTCGGCGGCCCCGAGAGGGGCGCTAACTATTCTTAGTAACAAATTACTCACAGCCGCAGCAGCTGCTGGGCGCCCACCGCGCACAGCTGGGCCCCACAAACGTGATGGCAGCCACAGCCCTTTCAGGTAGGCGCTATTGTTAACCCATCGTTCAGACGAGGAGACTGAGGCGCTCAGAGGCGAAGTCACCTGCCCAAGGTCACACGGTTGGTAAGCCTAGATTTAAGCCCAGGTCAGCCTGCCTCCAAAGTGGGCGCTGTTAACTTTGGGACTTGGACAGGGTCAGCCTGGATTGGAGCACGCTGTACTTCAGTCATGTTTCCTTTTGCTTGTATTTCTGTTCTGGGACACCCCATTTGTCTTCTCCTTAGTACTTACAATTGCATTCTTGGTCCCCACCCCCACGCAACTTACACCCCCCTCAACTTGCCAACCCCCCCCCACCCCCAGCTTAGCTTTGTGAAGCTTAAATTAAATGTGTCATTTCCCTGCTCCAAGGGCTTCCCATCACTTGACAACTAAATGCAGTTCTAAATTAAGTCGGCTGCATGGCCCGCGAGGCCCCTGCCGAGCACTCAGAACCCACTCTGCAGCTTGCTCTTTCCTCTTGCTTTCTCACTACTGCCCCCAGCCTTTCTTCTCCCAGCCTCCCCCTCCCCCCGCCCCCCCCGCAGCTTCCCTCCCCCCGGGTCCTTTTCTCAAGCCTGGGCCTGGCGGGCTTCTTCCTCTGCTTGTCTCAAACAGGCCTTGCCCAGCACCTTGTGTAAAGACCACCCAGCCCCAGACTTCTCAGGGGCCATCACCTCTGAGGTTACCTTCTTTCCACCTGTTGACTGTCTGTTCACCTGTTGACTGTCTCCCCCTCTAGAATGTGAGCCCCGGGAGGACAGGGACACTCTGTGTTCGCTTGTGTATCCCCAGTGCCTGGCGTGTTGCAGATCTCAATAAATATTTGTTGAATGAATGAATAAACAATTGTATTAGACACACTTTTTAAAATCTCAGGACATGAATATTCTGGAAGGCACCCATCTCCAGCACAAGCCAGATGTACTGGCGTTAGAAGCCTGAATCTCTGCTTGATGGGTTCAGGAAAGATCTCTGTGGCTGGTGACATAGGGAGGCACCTGTTCTCCCTGCTGGCTCTCTGCCCTTCTGGTGCTCTCTCTCTCTCTCCTTGCTTAGCTCCTCTGCCTTCTACTTTACCTGGATGCTTCTTCCCCCAGCCTTCCAGGTTTGGCTTCAATGCTAACTCCTCAGGGAGGTTCCTCCTGCTCCCCCAAAAATATTATGTTCATTTTATAAACCCTGAAATCACTGTAATTTTCCTTTACAGCATAATGTTAATTGGGCAATTATTTGTGCAAGTTTTTCCTAAGTGTCTCTTTTCCATGGGCCCCCTGTCTGTCTCAGTCACTGCTGCATCTCCGACATGTAGCAGCACATTGTACATGCATAGTAGACACTCTATGAATAGCAATTCAAGGTTGAATGGTGGAAATCTCCCGTGAGTTCCGTGGTGGACACTATCACCCTCTCAAGTTTTCAGAGAAGCCATCAGCACTTAGAATTGAATGAGTTTGGTGCTTGTTCTGATAAGTTTCATCGTTACTTGGTCTTCTCATAAACTCAAATGACCTGTTCTGGTCTCTGTGTCTTGAGAAAGCAGAATTTAAATCATCTTAAAAAAAATTGAAATGTAACTTGCATTCCACAAAATGTATTCTTTAGTGTATGATTCAGTGGTTTTTGGTACATTCACAGCACTGTGCAGCCATCGCCACCGATTTCAGAACTGTTTTGTCACCCCAGAAAGAAACCCCGTACCCATTAGCCATCACTCCTCATTTTCTCCCACCCCTCACAGCCCTGGCAACCATGAATCTGCTTTCTGTCTCTGTGGATTTGCCTGTTCTGGACATTTCATATAAATGGAATCATACAATATGTGGCCTTTTGTGTCTGGCTTCTTTCACTTAGTATAATGTTTCAAAAGTTCATTCATGTAGTAGCATGTATCCTTATTGCTTTCCTTCTTATGGCTAAATTCTTCCCAAATCTTATACCACAGAGTCTACATGTGACCTGAGTGTGTGGGGTGCGGAGGGAGCAGTGGGAGGAAGATGAATATAATCATGATTGGGCTATTTATTCTAAGGAGGTGAACTGAACAATGCATATATAAAAAGATTTTGGATTAAAAATTGGTTAGTGGTCAAATATAAAACTGCACTAAATGAAAGTTCTGGAAACTCTTCTAGCAGAAACCCGATGCCTTGACATTAAAAGCCTGGATCTTTAAACTATGATTGGCGATACTGTGGTTGACGAGAGATCTGTGTGTTGAGTCTCCAGTAGTAGCATTTGCCCCCGGGTACCCCAGGGCTTTGCCAGCTGGCAGGCAAGGAACCCTCTCGCTGCAAGAGGCAACTCTTCATCTTCCTCATTCTACAGGAGGCCCTCCCTCAGTGCCCCTCCTCTGTGCTTTTCTTACCACATCCTACTGCACCGATCCGTGTAACAGCTGAAAACTCAGACCCCCACACTCAGATCCCACACAAACACCTGTAGCTTCTTTATTTCTCTGTCACTGTTCTAACTTCCCTCATCAGCCCCTACTCTCCTGGTAATGTGGGAGTGGATGTAAACTTGACAATGAAAGGTCTTTCTCTCCCAATTTTTATTTATTTGGGGATAAATTGACTCCTCCTGGACAGTTCTGGTTCCACTCCGATTTGCCCAGTTGCTGGGGTGGGGCTGTTCAGCAAGGAGCAGGGTGGCCAGCCATGGGGGAGCCCCACAGCTGGCTCTGGCGGGTGGTGCATCTGATGAGCTTTGGGTGCCCAGCTGAGCACTCGCCACCCTGCCCCTCTGGCATGAGCCACAATCATGGTCCCTCACCCTCACGCCTACCCCTAGTGGGTAGCCCGCTCCTCCACTACTGGAGCATTCCCTTCATCCCTCTGGGTGACTTCACTGTGGGCTCTCCAGATGGCCTCTCCTCGTTCACTGGCCAAGGTTTTCTCTGCCCACAGGAGAGCTTGGGTCCCCACTCAGCCAATCATGATGTTGCAGGAAACTGGATGTGCTGGAGAGGTGTGGGGTGGTGGGCGGTGGGGGATTGCCTCTCCTCTCTCCCAGGGCTGCTCTGCTGTGTCCAGTCTATCACCAGGGACATGCCAAGTGGGCTTCTGCCTGCCGGGGCGCTGAGCAACAAGTCCCCATGTCTGGCCATGGTGTTAGCCTTACCTGCTTGTTTTTAACACCTGGGTCTTCCTGTTCTGTTGTCGCCTCCCCAGCGCCCCCTGCAGGTGCCAGAAGGAATGGGTTTTTTTTCCCCTTTCTTGGTGGGCCATGAGGACCCCACCCCTCTCTGTGCCCTCTGTCTTCCTGAGATGGCACTCACCTTCCTTCCCATGTGGCAGGGAACCCCAGGGGTTAGGGTGGAAGCTCTGGGCTCAGACTCTGTCCTCACTTAAGTGACTCAAAACTGAGAACATTCCCCCAGAATGTGAGCTTTGGGAAGCGACAATGAGGACACTAGATTACTCTGGAAATACATCCAGGCATGTGTGATGATCACAGCCCATCTTCCTGCAAGTTCAAGGCCACTCACCTGGCGTGGGCCTCCACTGCGGGCAGGCGGCCACCCCGTACTTCCTTCCCCAGGGCGTTTATTCGCCTACTCTCCCTTCCTGCTTCAGTCCCCATCACCTCCCCCTCCATCCGCACTCTCAGCTTTTATTCTTGCCTCCTACTTCCCTGAGCAAAGGGAGCAGCCGGTGAGAGTTTCCTTCCTGGGCTCCACTGAGCAGCTGCCCACCTCCTGCCCCAGGCCCACGCACACCTTCCAGCTGTTCCGGGAGGGTAGCCCAGGCCAACCTGCCCCCTCTGCTCAGCAACCCTGTCCTAGGAGCACCCCCACCTCCAAATCAGCACTTTTCCTCCTCTTCTGCATCATCCCCATTTTTATATAATATGTAAGAATTCAAAGCTTGGAACAAAACCTTTCCCTTCACCCTCTCGTTCCCTGTAGCTGCCGCCCCCTATGGTAACCCACCTGGCTGACTGCCTGCCTTTGGGCCTCCCTTTTCTCCCCTCTGGTTCTCTCTGCCCCATACCTCTCCACCAAACTTGCTGGGGGCTCGGTTCCCGGTGATCTCCATGTTGTCGCACCCAGCCGTCAGCCCTGGATCCTCGTCTGACCTGGCCCCCAGCAGCCTGGGCAGAGCCGATGCCCCCTCCGCCTTGTCCCGCATCCTCCTCTGGCTTCTCACCCAACTCTCCTGGCTCTCTTCCCTCCTCCCCAGTGCTCCCGCTCAGTCCACTTGGCTGGCTGTCCCTATGCTCCCAACTTCTCAGTGATGGCTTAGTTCTTGGTCCTCTTCTCTGTCTGTATCCATTCCCTTGTGGCCTCATCCAATCACTGGGCTGGAAATACCACTTCTCTGCTGTGGGCTCTCAAATTTATGTCTCTAGCCTACAGCCCTTCCCTGGGCTCCAGATCTGAGTGTCTAACTTCCTGCTCAATAGTCCACCACAAACCTTACCGGTCCCAAGCCAAGCTCCTAATTTCATCTGCTTGTCTGAGATTGGTCCCCCCAAAGCTGATCCTGAGATAAGAAATGAAGTGTAAGTAGTTTAGGAGGTGGGGGATGATCCCAGTTTGAGCAGTGGGAGGAGGAGAGTGGATAAAGAAGGTAAACAAACCAATAAAACAAGTTACCTCTTGGGGAAACAGGTGCAATTCCCTGGGAACCCTGGGGACTTGTGTAGAGCACATGCCCAGAGCTACCCCAGAAGTGGAGGGGCTGAGGTCATTGGTGGAGGGCTGCTCAAAGTGGGTTCATCTCCTGTGGGCAGAGCCAGAGACGGCCCTGGCAAATTGCAGGGGGTGGGCACGGTGGCTCTGCCACCCCAACCAGCTCCTCCTCATCTTGGTAGATGGTCGCTCCATCCATTCTTCCAGCAGCCCAGGCCAAAAACACAGAGTCATCCTCACACCCCCATAGCCAAACGGCACGTTCCAGTATTCCGCCTCACAGAGCATTCAGAATCTGACCTCTTCTTATCATTGCCTCCGCTGCCCTGCTCTGTTCTGAGCCCTCGTCACCTCTCCCAGTCCTTCCCTGTCACTAGTGTCCCTGCTTCCTCCCCTACCCTGGTTACTCTCTGCACTGCTGCAAAACAATCCATTCAAACCCAAGTCAGATCCCATCTCTGCTCTGCTCAAAACCCTCTAGTGGACCCCAGCTCACCAAAGTCAAAGCAAAAATCTGGACCACAGCCCACAAGGCTCTACATGACCTGCCCCCAGTCTTGGTGACCCACCTTGTACTCTGTTTCCCTCAAGTACTCTGCCCGAGCCACACTGGCTTCCTCACTGTCCAAGCACACTCTGACCTCAGGACCTTGGCACCTGCTGTTCCCATTGCTTGGAAGGCTCTTCCCCCGCTTCTTGCAGGTCTCATCTCACAAGCCACCCTCTTAGAGGGACACTGCGTGCCCTGCCTGCATTAACCCATTTATGCCTGAGGTTGCAATTTTTTGAATTTGAAAAATCAGACCTTGGTGTTGACCTTGAGCAGTAGGACATAAATAACTTCCACAAGCTTAGCGTTCCAATAATGGAACACTAGGCATAAATGGGTTTTAAACGGACACCCACACACTCATCCCCAGCCCTTCCTCTTCCCCGTACTCTGTTCTCTTTTTCTCCTATCACCCTCTGACATTGTCTTTACTTGTTTATTTACTCTCCGCCTTTCCCTGGGAGAACGTGATTTTGTTGTCACCCATTGGGGATGCTGCATTGAGCTTGGTAGGAATAAAGTCATACAGGAGACAGGAAGTCATGGGCCCCTTGGAATGAGCTTCAGGATGACACTGCACTGGCTTCTTTACAATTTGGTGAACACAGCAGATTTATATGACCAAACCATCCCTTGCTGAGATGGGCTTTGGGGAGCCCTGGTACCAGCTGTGCAATTGTGGGCAAATGACTTCACCCTTTCATCTCGGCTGTCCTATATAATACGGTTAATAACAGACTGATCAGCCATGTGGGGAGGTTGGAGGGGTGAAGCCTAGCGTGGTGGTGCCCAGCCTGGTCAGTATTGGGGAATATCTGAGGGTGATCCCACACAATATTATTGAGTCCTTTCTATCTGCCAGCCCCCAACTTCTGTGCCAGGGAGACAGGAAAAAAAACTGTTTCTTCTCCAAGGGGGTCTTTGGAGCTGGTCAGACCTGGGTTTGCATCCTGTCTTCATTCTTACTGCCTGGTGTCCCTGAGCCAGTGCTGTAACCTCCCCATGCCTCGGTCCTCCTGTCTGTGAAGTGGGCCTAGTAATAAGATCTTGTGGGGAAGGGAGCGTTCTTTCCTGTTGACTGCTGGTAAGCCTAATGTTTCCTGTTTCTTCTAGTTTCCTTCTAGGACACCTCCCCTGCTTTTGGAAAAAGGATGAGGTTGGTGGCCGTGTGCTCCAAGATGTGTTTTTGGATTGGTGGGTTCTCATTTGTCACTTGTTGCCCTTACTCCAGGTTCCCTTGGGGCAGCTCCCCCAACCCAATCCAGCACACAGACTCCCAGCCTCACCTTCCCCTAGCCCAGGTTACTCCCAGCCCCAGCAGTTCCTCCCCTGAGTGGAGGCAGGTGAGGCTGGCTTGGAAGCCATGCTCTGCCATTCATCCACTGCAGGACCTTAGACCAGCCGTCAGAAGCTCTCTGAGCCTCAGTTTCCTCATCTGTAAACTGGGTGGGGGGGTGTGACCAGGTAACAGTCATTGTTTGGTGTGTCACTTTTTTACATTTTTCAAAGTACTTTCAAAGATGCGAATCATTTGATTCCCAGGACAACCTTTTGGGACAATCAAAGAAGGAGTGTTTCCAACCCTATTCCATGGCTGTGGAAACTGAGGCCTGCTGGGGGACATGACTCGGCAAGTGAGCAACAGGGCAGAGCCTTGCCCCCAGGGCTCCTGGGCCCCAGGACAGCACTCTTTTGGTAGCATGCATTGAGCACCTTCTGGGACGGGAAACATCGGTTTCTCAGCTGGGCGGGGTTGGTGATGGTCATACCTCAGGTGGTTGACAGTTTCCTTCGGGTCACTTTGGTTTCCAGGGCTAAGAAGTATGGACCTGTTGTGCGGGTCAACGTCTTCCACAAAACCTCAGTCATCGTCACGAGTCCTGAGTCGGTTAAGGTAGGAGGAAGAGTGGTTTCCATGAGGGAGTTCCCTGCCTTTCCTTGGGTTGGGGGAGTGAAGCCTGGTCCCAGAGACTTTGGATGAATGTTCCAGAGCCAGGCGCATTTCGGCTGGTTTCCCAAAGATCCAGAAAGGAATGGCATCTTTCCCTCTAAGCACCCACTCCTTGGGGACTCTTGCAAGCATTGCCTTTTGATGTGGGGAGTAGATGGGGACCTTGCTGTCCCCATTTGGGTTGGAAGTTTTGCCCAACTAGTGCACACACGTTTAGTTTGCCTCTCTTTGCCTCAGTTCCTTCATCTGTGAGATGGGAATTATAACTCTATCTCCAGGGCTATGATAAGAATTAAAAATTGATCAGTTTATTTAACAAATAATATGTCAAAACATCCTTAAAGAGTGCTTACTATGTACTTTTCTATGCACTTCACAATTAGTGACGCATTTAATCCTCATAGGAGTAGGGACTCTTATTAGTCCCTTGGCCAACATGGTGAAACCTCATCTCTACTAAAAATACAAAAATTAGCTGGGCATGGTGGCAGGCACCTGTAATACCAGCTACTCGGGAGGCTGAGGCAGGAGAATCACTTGAACCTGGGAGGTGGAGGTTGCAGTGAGCAGAGATCGTGCCATGGCACTCCAGCCTGGGTGACAAGAGTGAAACTCCATCTCAAAAAAAGGGCCAGGCACAGTGGCTCATGCCTGTAATCCCATCACTTTGGGAGGCTGAGGCTGGTGGATCACCTGAGGTCAGGAGTTCGCGACCAGCCTGGCCAACATGGTGAAACCCTATCTCTACTAAAAATACAAAAATTAGCTGGGTGTGGTGGTGGGCGCCTGTAATCCCAGCTACCTGGGGGGCTGAGGCAGGAGAATCGCTTGAACCCGGGAGGCAGAAGTTGCAGTGAGCTGAGATCGTGCCACAGCACTCCAGCCTGGGTGACAGAGTGAGACTCCATCTCCAAAAAAGAAAAAAAAAAAGAAGTGAAATGAGGGAACCAAGGCAGGTGGCATTGTCTGTCCTGTCTGCCATGAAGGTTCCAAGAATGGGTATCT
Organism: Homo sapiens; assembly: GCF_000001405.40. Lineage (NCBI taxonomy): Eukaryota > Metazoa > Chordata > Mammalia > Primates > Hominidae > Homo > Homo sapiens. The sequence continues at coordinate 99,692,924 of NC_000014.9, forward strand.
GCTGTGGAGTTGGCAGAACTGGGCTCAACTCCGGGCTCTGCCACCAACTGGCTGTGGGACCTTGGACAAGTTGCTTCATTCTGGGCCTCCATTTCCTCATCTGTGAAATAGAGTTGGTGCCTCTGTTACAGGGTGGTTGTAAGAATAGAACTAAAATAATATAAATGAGCCATCTAGCCCCTGCCTGGCACACAGCAATTGCTCAATAAACAATGATGCATTTTTTTTCTTACCATGGGTGCGCAGCAGATGTGTGGGGCAATTCTCTGCAATGGAGGGTGGCTGTGGTGACTCTGAGAGGGATAAAATACAACTTACAGTCAAGACAAGGAGACAGGTTGAATGAATAACCAGGAATCTCTAGCAGAATGTTAAAAATAATTTTTCATTAAAAGTTTAATTTCAAACATAGACACAATTTAAGACTTGTAAAAGCATGCTACCAAAAACCATGCACAAAGACTTTCGTGATGCTTAATGAGAAAAGAAGTTTAAAGATATATATTGATATAGTGAATTATACTGATTGATTGATATTCAAATGTTAAACCAATCTTGCATTCCTGGTCATGATATATTATCTTTTAATTATTGTTAGATTCAATTTGCTAATATTTTGTTAAGAGTTTTTGTTTCCATATTTATTTGATTCTTGTAATGTCTTTGACTGGTTTTGACATCAGGTTAATACTGACCTCATAGGATAAGTTGGGAAGTGGTAACTTCCTCCTCTATCTTCTGTAAAAGTTTGTATGGGAGTGATGTTATTTCTTCTTTTAATATTTGATATAATTCACCAGTGAAGTCATGTGGGCCTGGAGTTTTATTTGAGGGAAATTTTTATTTTTTTTAAGTTACAAATTTAATTTTGTTTACATTGTATGTTTTAAATTTTAAATTATGATAAAATGCACATAACATAAAATTTACCATTTTTAGGTGTAGAGTTCAGCAGCATTAAAGACATTCACATTGTTGTACATCCATCACCACCATCCATCTCCAGAACTTTTTCATCTTCCCTAACTGAAACTGTGTATCAGTTAAACAATAACTCCCCATTCCCCTCCCCCCAGACCCTGGAAACCACTATTCTACCTTCTGTCTCCGTGAATTGGACTACTTTATGTGCGTCATACATGTGTAATCATATGGCATTTGTCCTTTCGCATCTGACTTATTTCACTTAGCATAATGTTTCCAAAGTGAATTAATCTTGTAGCATGTTTCAGCATTTCCTTCTCTAGTTGACATATGGCATTCAGATTTTCTGTTTTCTTGAGTTTGATAATTCACATATTTCAAGAGATCTGTTCACTTCACATAATTTGCTTAAATTATTGGCATAAAGTTGTTCATGAGATTTTCTTTCTTTTTTTTTTTTTAATGTCTGTAGGATCTGTGATATGTTCCCTCTCTCATTCCTGAGAGTAGTAATTTGGGTTTTCTTTTTTTTTTTTTTTCTTGATCAGTTCACCAAAAGGTTTATCAATTTTATTCATCTTTCCAAATAAGTAGCTTTTAGTTTTATTGGTTTCCTTCATTGTTTGTCTTCTATTTCATTGATTTCTCCTCTTTTTTTTTTTTTCTTTTTGAGATGAAGTCTTGCTCTGTCACCTAGGCTGGAGTGCAGTGGCGTGATCTCAGCTTACTGCAACCTCTGCCTCCCAGGTTCAAGTGATTCTCCTGCCTCAGTCTCCCGACTAGCTGGGATTACAGGCGCCCACCACTGCACGTGGCTAAATTTTTATTTTTTTGGTAGAGACAGGGTTTCACCATGTTGGCCAGGCTGATCTCGAACTCCTGGCCTCAAGTGATTTGCCTGCCTCAGCCTCCCAAAATGCTGGGATTGCAGGCGTGAGCCACCACCCCCAGCCAATTTCTCCTCTTTCTTATTTCCTTTCTGTATTCACTTTGGGTTTAATTTGTTCTTGTTCTGATTTTTAGGATGGAGTTTAAACAATTGATTTTAGACATTTTTTCTGTTCTAATGTAAGCATTTAGAGCTATACATTTCCTTCTAAGCACTGCTTTAGGACAAATTTACCACAAATTTTGATATGTTTTATTTTCATTTGGTTCAAAATATTTTCTAACTTCCCTTGTGATTTATTCTTTGAACCATGGATTATTTGGATGTATGTTATTCAATTTTTAAATATTAGGGGATATTCTAGATATCTTTCTGTTATTGATTTCTAATTTAATTCTGTAAAGTCAGAGAGAATACTCATCATCATGATTTCAGTCCTTTTAAATTAATTGAAATTTGTTTTATGGCCCAGCATATGGTTCATCAAAGTGAATGTTAATGAACCCTTAAAAAGAGTGTATGTTGTGTTATTGTTGAATAAAGTGTTTTAGAAATGTCGATTAGGTCAATTTGGTCAATAGTGTTATTCAAATCTTTTAAATCCTTTCTAATTTTCTGTCTACTTGTTCTAGTGGTTGCAGGGCAAGGAATGTTGAACCCTTCATAATCATAGATTTATCTATTTCTACTTTCAGTTCCATTAGTTTGGCTTCCTGCATTTTGAAGTTCTGTTATCAGGTGTGTACACATTTAGGATGGATTTGTCTTTATGATGAATTGACTCTTTTATCCTTAGAAATGTTCATCTTTATTCTTAATAACATTCTTTACTCCAAGTATATTTTGTCTACTTTAAGCCATTCCAGCTTTATTATTATTATTATTATTATTATTATTATTATTATTATTTTGAGAAGCAGTTTCGCTCTTGTTGCCCAAGCTAGAGTGCAATGGCGCTATCTCGGCTCACTGCAACCTCCACCTCCAGGGTTCAAGTGATTCTCCTGCCTCAGCCTCCCAAGTAGCTGGGACTACAGGTGCCTGCCACCATACCCAGCTAATTTTTGTATTTTTAGTAGAGATGGAGTTTCACCATGTTGGCCAGTCTAGTCTTGAGCTCCTGACCTCAAGTGATCTGCCCACCTCAGCCTTTCAAAGTGCTGGGATTACAGGCGTGAGCCACCATGCCCAGCCTCCATTCCAGCTTTCTTATGCTTAGTGTTGCATGTTATATCTTTTTTCTGTTATATTACTTTTAACCTATCTGCATTTTTATATTTAAAATGGGTTTCTTATAGATAGCACACAGTTGATTCTTGCTGTTTTATACAGTCTGACAATCTCTGCCTTTAATTAGAGTGCTTAGGTTGTTTACATTTACTGTAATTATTGATATGGCTGTGTTTAAATCTACCATGTTACTGTTTGTTTTCTATTTGTCCCATCTGTTTTTTGTTCCCTTTTCCTCCTTTCCTGCCTTCTTTTGGATTAAGTATGTTTTAGTATTCTGTTTCATCTCTACTATTGTCTTATTGATTGATTGATTGATCGATTGAGACAGGATCTCACTCTGTTCCCCAGGTTTCATAGCTCACCACAGCCTCAAACTCCTGGGCTCAAGCAATCCTCCCACCTCAGCCTCCTGAGTAGCTGAGACTACCACCATGCCCAGCTAACCACTATTATCTTATTGGTTCCTTTTCTCTCTTTCTTAGTTGTTTTCTTAGGGTTTATAATTTCATCTTTAACTTATATAAATATATCTTCAAATAATATTATACCACTTCATCTCAGTCTACTGTTAAGATTTTTCTCTTTATCACTGATGTCAGCAATTGATTATGATCTGCCTTGGTATACTTTATTTGCTGTACTTTTCTTTGTTAATTCTATTTGGGATCCTTTGAATTTCTTAGATATGTGGGTTCCATGATCATATTAGTAATACATGTTTTATAGTTCTTGTCTGCTAGTTCTATCATTCCATTATCTGGGCCTGGGTATAGGTCATAATATCCTGCTTTGTGGCATGTCTAATGATTTTTTATTGGATACTGGACATTGTGAATTTTACATTTTTGGGCACTAGGTTTTGTTATATTCCTTTAGAGATTCTTTGACTTCATTCTGAGATGATAAAGTTACTTGCAGATCAGTTTGATCCTTTCCAGGCTTGCTTTAAGGCTTTTATAAGTGGGAGTCTAGAGTAGACTTTTACTTGAGAGCTAGTTTAGCCCTACTGCTAAGGAGTGACCATTCTGGGGCCTCTGCGGAAGGTCTTGTGTCTGAGGTTTGTCTATTCTGGGTAGTGGAAACTTGAATAATTATTGGCCCCGTGTAAGCTCTGAGAATTCTTCAGTCTGTAGTCACCCAGTAATTCTTCTTTCCCCAGAAGTTGTTTTGGCCAGTCTTCTGAAGTTCCACCCTACATTTGCATAGATTGGTATACATCCGAAGACCTAAGGGACCCCATGCAGATGCTGCGTAGGAGCTCTTTCCATGCATAGCTTCTCCCTGGTACTTTGTCCTGCTCTTTCTATGCACAGCTTCTCCCTGGTACTTTGTTCTGCTCTTTCTATGCATAGCTTCTCCCTGGTACTTTGTTCTGCTCTTTCTATGCATAGCTTCTCCCTGGTACTTTGTCCTACTAATTCTGGCCTCCTTTGGTCTGCCTAGCCTCTGATCTCTGTCTATTCAACTTGGCACGTCTGCTGGACTGCATTTAGGTCTTTTCTCTTTGTGCTGCTGTCCTGGAATTGCCTCTGGGTAGAAAGCTCGGTAATCCTAGGTCATAGGTCTCACATTTTTCCCCTCCTTCTCTTGAGGTTCACAATCCTGCACTGCCTGTTGTCCAGTGTCTGAAAGTAGACATTTCATACATTTCCCAGGTTTTCTGGTTGTTTATGGCACAAGGGCAAGTCCTTAGCAGTTTCTCCTTCCCGGGTGGAAGTGTGCCATCGGTGTGTGTGTGACCAGAGGAAGCAGCAAGGCACTGGGGGTTCCCTGTGCATTCCTCACATCCCATAGTTTATGTCACCAGGCCATCACAGGATCCCCAGCCTCTGGGACAGCAGGCCATGGGGGTGCCTGGTTGTGGGGGTCACCTGGTCAGACCCTGACTGAGGCTACTCTGCCTTAATGGTAGGGATCTTCAGTTCAATCTAAGAATGGCTCACTTAGACCTCAGGTGACTCTAGGGTATTTGAGAGGGGCCTGTAGGGTGGGCATTTACTGTCACAGTCTTCCTCTTGGTGGGACAGAACTTGGGTTACAAATGACAGTGTTTGGGTTACATTTGAGGTCCCTGGAATGTGGTTCCTGACACAAAGTCAGGCATTTCTGGGGCTTCTTTTCAGCTGAAAAATCGATATTAAACCCCCAGGAGCTAATCTCAGAGAAGGTAGCAGCACCTGGGTTAACCGATAGTTGAGTCATCCTCTTACTGCTTCCCAGCACCCACAGGATAAAGCAGTAGCCCAGAGGGCAGGCCTCTGGGCTCTGGGTCCTGCAGCACGTTCCCCCTCATGTACCTCTGCCTGAATGTACCAGGGGACCTGTGGTCCCTTGGTCTGGATCATAGCCGTCTCTCCCCTCTCTCCGCAGCAAATTGCCTGGATTCAAATCCTGTGTCTACCATTTACTATGTGTGTAACCTTGGGTCAGTTTTCAACCTCAGTTTCTCCATCTGTATGTAAGATGAGCATAAAAACAACACCCGCAGCCAGGTGTGGTGGCTCACACCTGTAATCTCAGCAACTTGGGTTGACTGGGCATTGAGTGAACCGCAGGGTGCAGCTGTGCACCTGGCATTTATTGAGCACCTGCTATGTGCCGGGCACCATTCTTAGCACTTCTTATGTAGAATTGACACTCTTCACAACAAACTTGCCAGGCAGGAACTCTTATATCCATCTAAGATGAGGAAACTGAGGGGCAGAGGAGGTGAGTAACTCATCCAAGGTCCCAGAGTTAGCATGTGGTGCAGCAGGGATGCTGAGCCCAGATCCAAATTGAAGCTGGCTGACTACACAGCCCACGCTGTTAACCACTGGGCAATCCTGCCTCAAGAGCTGTTGGCTGATGTTACTGTTGTTACCATCCAGCTCTTGGTGAGGTAAGTTGAGCTTTCCTCCGGGGAGTTTCACAATCCTGCACTGCCTGTTGTCCAGTGTCTGAAAGCAGACATTTCATACATTTCCCAGGTTTTCCGGTTGTTTATGGCACAAGGGCAAGTCCTTAGCAGTTTCTCCTTCCCGGGTGGAAGTGTGCCTTCACACTTCCTTGACTGCCCGGCTTGAGTGCATGCTAGCAATATTAAATGTGTGCCAAGTGCCCTTCCTGTGACCCAGAAGCCCTTCCTCTCCCGGAAGGGCTTCTCCCCTTCTCACTCTGGTTTCAGAGCAGCATTTGCCTTTTCCTGTTTTGCTGCTTTGGAAGGTGACATGGTATGGGGTTCCGAGTGTGACATTGGAGTGAGCAAGCCCTCCCCACGCTCTCTGACTGTACGTCCACAGGAAAATCACTTCGCCCCTCTGTGCTGCATTTTCCCCATCCCCACACAGCTGATGTTACTTGAAGATAGGGACGATTGTGTGGGATCATGCATGGGAAGTGGGCACACTGCGGCTGAGACTCAGCCAATGGTGATTATTTGGGGCATGTCTCAGAAGAGCATCTTGCAGCTACTCATGGGTGCATGAGCCTATGTTGGTTTTTTGGGGATATTTAGAAGTTCCTGATGTCAACCAAGTACAACAAGGACTCCAAGATGTACCGTGCGCTCCAGACTGTGTTTGGTGAGAGGTAAGGAGGTATGGTGGAAGGCCTGGGTGGGAGGCCAGGAGAGCCCTGCTGTGAGTGAGGGCCAGTGCGGTCCAGAATGTGGGGTGTAGAATTGAGGCCTGAGGCCCTGGCTGCCAGGCATGTGATGAGTGCCCCGTAAACAGTGGCCCCACTCTTGTCACGAGCAGTTTCCTCCTTCTCCCCCAACCTCCAGATGGCAGGGAATATAGAGGCCACTGAGGTTGGGTAACACGATCATCCTTTTCCTTTTTAAGTTATTTTTAAAATTCCGGTAAAACTGACATAACATTCACCATTTTCCCCACCTTAGAGGGTACAGTCTAGTGGAATTCAGTGCCTTCACAATGTGGCGCAACCGTCGCCACCGCCTAGCTCCAATACCGTTTCCTCATCCCAAAATATGACCCCAAGCCCATCAAGCAGTCGCTCCCCACCCCCCACCCTCTTTCCCGCATCACGTGTGTGTCTCCTACAGACTCTTCGGCCAAGGCTTGGTGTCCGAATGCAACTATGAGCGCTGGCACAAGCAGCGGAGAGTCATAGACCTGGCCTTCAGCCGGAGGTGAGTGTGGCCGGAGGCTCCGTGGCTCCTGCCTGGCCAGAGGCAGTAGGGGCTGCCGAAGTGTAGGTGGGCCTTGGGGAGGGAAGTGTCCACCCAAGGGGGCCTCCCTCAGCTGAAGGGAGAGAGGAAAAAGGGGAAAGACAGGGTGTTAATAGTCAAAAGGGAGAGAGAGAGAGAGACAGGCTGACCAAGTGGGGATGAATGAGGCCCCCACGCAGTTTGGGAACATCAAGGGCTGAGTGCCCACGATGGCCAGAAGCATGGGGGTTCCTGTCCTCCAAGAGCTCCCCACATCAGACCTCATCACTCCTTGTCAGGGCTTCTTCTTTTATTCATTTGAGTTTTTATGTTTTGGTGATATAGTTGTGCTTTGTATAACGATGTTTCGGTCAACGATGGAATGCATATGTGACAGTGGTCCCGTAAGATTATAATGGAGCTGAAAATTGCTATTGCCTAGTGATGCTGTAACCATGGTAATGGCGTAGTGCAATGTGTTACTCACATGTTTGTGGTGGTGCTGGTGTAAACAAACCTGCTGCACTGCCAGTCATGCCAAAGTCTAGCAGATGCAATTATGGACAGTACGTAATATTGATAAATGATAATTGACTATGTTACTGATTTATGTGTTTACTATACTTTTAAACATTCTTTTAGAATGGGTTCCTTCTACTTACAGATTTTTTAAAAGTTTACTATACAACAGCCTCAGGCAGGTCCTTCAGGAGGCATCCAGAAGAAGGCATTATTATCATAGGAGATGACAGCTCCATGCCTGTTATTGCCCCTGAAGACTTTCCAGTGAGGAAAGATGCGGAGGTGGAAGGCAGTGATATTGATGATCCTGACCCTGTGTAGGCCTAGGCTAATGTGTGTGTTTGTGTCTTAGTTTTTCACAACAAAGTTTTAAAAGTAAAAAAGAATTAATAAAAAAGCTTATAGAATAAGGATACAAATAAGATAATATTTTTGTACAATTGAACAGTGTTTGTGTTTTAAGCTAAATGTTATTACAAGAGTCAAAAATATTTAAAAAATGAGAAGTTTATAAAGTAAAAAGTTCTAGTAAGCTAAGGCTAATTTATTATTGAAGAAAGAAAAAAAATTTTTAACTCAGTGTAGCCTGTGTCTGGTTTTTATAAGTCTACATTAGCGTGCAGTAATGTCCTAGGCCTTCACACTCACCACTCACTCACTGACTCACCCAGAGCAACTTCCAGTCCTGCAAGCTCCATTCACAGTAAGTGCCCTATCCAGGTGGACCATTTAAAAAAATCTTTTAGACTGTATTTTTACTGTACCTTTTCTATGTTTAGATATACAAATACCATTGTGTTGCAGTAACCTGTTGCACAGGTGTATAGCCTAGGAGCAATAGTCTAGACCATATGGCCTAGGTGTGTAGTAGGCTATACTGTCTAGGTTTGTGTAAGTATACTCTATGCTGTACACACAATGAAGACATTCCCTAACAACACATTTCTTAGAATGTATCCTTGTCGTTAAGTAACACATGACTGTACTTTACTTTTTAAATAACTATTATGGAGGTATAATTCACATACCATACAGCTCACCCATTTAAAGTGTACGATTCAATGGCGTTGGTATATTCATAGAATTCTATAACCATCAACACAGCACATTTTAGAACATTTTCATCACCCTCAAAAGCAGTCATTCAGCCAGGCGTGGTGGTTCATGCCTGTAATCCCAGCACTTTGGGGGGCCAAGGCAGGCGGATCACCTGAGATCAGGAGTTCATGACCAGCCTAGCCAACATGGAGAAACCATATCTTTACTAAAGATACAAAAATTAGCTGGGTGTGGTGGCGCATACCTGTAATCCCAGCTACGCGGGAGGCTAAGGTAGGATAATCACTTGAACCTGGGAGGCGGAGGTTGAAGTGAGCTGAGATCACTCCACTGCACTCCAGCCTGGGTGACAGAGCGAGACTCCATCTCAAAAAAAAAAAAAAAAAAAAAAGGCAGTCATTCCTCATTTCTTCCCAATTCCCCTACCTGCTGGCAACCACTAATTACCTTCTTTGTCTATGGATTTTTGCATTCTAGACATTTTATATAAATAGAATCATGCAATATGTAGTCCTTTATGCCTGGCTTCTTTCATTAGCATCTTGTTTCTAAGGCTCATCCATGGTGTCATCTATATTAATGCCTCATTCCTTTTTATTGTCAAATAATATTCCATTGTATGGATATACCACATATTGTTTACCCATTCATCAGTTAATGGACTTTTGGGCTGTTTCCACTTTTGGGCTATTATGAAAAATGCTGCTATGAGCATTTTTGTACAAGTGTTTGTATGGACATATGTTTTCATTTCTCCTGGGTATTTACCTAGTGGAATTTTTGAGTCACATGGTAACTCTATTTTAACATTGGAAAGAAGGTAATCTTTGATATAATTTTGAATTTATAGAAAAATTGCCAGAATAGTGTAAGGGACTCTTATATATCTTTTACCCAGATTCACTTATTATTTATTATTTAAATCACCATTTGCTTTATCATTTCTTCTCTTTATGAGTGTATATGTAAATATATTTATCACTGTGTGTATATACATATATTTATATTTTTTATATAGTACATATTTTAAAAAACCATTTAAGAGTTAGAGACATTGTGCTCCCCACCTTTAAATACTTCCATGAACAATGACTACAAACTATAGTTTATCAAAATGAGAAAATTAATAATATTAATCTAATACTGTTATCTAATTCACAGTTCATATTCAAAATTTGTCATTTGTACAGTTGTAGCTGTTTTCTTTGTCTAAAATCTAATCCATGTTCATGTTTTTCATTTAATTCCCCTGTCACTTTAGCCCCCTTTATTCTAGAACAGTTCTCAGCCTTTCTTTGGCTTTCTTTACCTTAACATTTTTGAAGATGACAGGACAGTTTTGTAGATGGTTCTTCAGTTTGAATTTGTCAGCTGTCTCTCTGCACTGTTAGACTCAGGCTATCCCTCTTTGGTGGTAATGCTACAGAGTGATGCTGTGTCCTCTGTGGGGCATTGTATCAGGAGGCACATGCTACTGATTTGTCCCATTGCTGGCCATGTTAAGTTTGCACAGTGGTTGAGGTGGTGCCTACCAGGTTTCTCCACTGTGAAGCAATTCTTGACTATGTAATCTGTGGAGAACTGTATAAACATCCTTGCCAGAACTCTTGCTACAGCCTCCTCATTGGCCTACCCTCCTCCTGTCTCCCTCCTCCAATGTATCCACTCACCATCCTGAAGAGATCTTGCTAAAGCTCAGATCTGACCATGCCACTCCCCTGTTCTGAAGCCTTCAATGGCTTCCTATCATCTGAGAGATGAAGATCAGACCCCATTCACCCTCAGTCTGCCCCTAAACCCCTCCAACCTTTGCATCCCCTCTCCCCAGCCTTTCTGGAAACCACTGTGCTTTTTCTGGCATCTCTGCTGTTCCCACTGCCTCAATGTGAACCTCTGGGGAATTCCTGTTCCTCCTTTGATACCCAGCTAAGATGTCACCTACTGAGGCTGAGTTCATGCCTCCATCAAGGCACCTGTCACACCCAATGTAGTGCTTCCATTCATGTCCACCTCCCTCACTAGACCACGGATCCCTGAAGGCAGAAGACGCACCCTGTCCCTGAGTCCTGCGCCCAGCACCAGGCACCCCACAAGCCCTCCAGGAATGCCCATAGAGTGAATGAATGCGTAAGTGAATCAATGAATTGGAATAGTCTCAGTCTTACTGGAAAGTTGTCAGAAGTGAAAATGGGAAGGAGTAGACTGGAAAGAGACATTTATTTAAGAAATACTTATTGTGCCAAGAGCCAGGGTTGCAAAGGCCAGCCAAGCAAACTTCAGGAAGCTTTGAGGTTATGGGAAACATCAATTCTAACCAGATGATGGCCCACATGATCATGACATAACCATGTCATTGTCTTGAGGAAGCATCTCCAGCACATAGAACCTCATGTTTGAACAGTGCTTTATAGTTTATAAAGTGCTTTCACAGACATTTTTATTTTTTTAACTTTTTATACACACAGCATAAAGTTTGCCATCTTAACCATTTTTAGGTGTGCAGTTCAGTGGTATTAAATTCATTCGCATTATTACGCAACCATCACCAGATATTTTTATTTTTTAATCTCACAATAAGATGTTGTCTTAGAGATGACTGTTCTATAGTAAATGCCAAATTTACAAGGCTTTATGAAAGAAACTTTAGAAGATGCCTGTGTTTATGAAAGTATTATTGAGCCTTGGTGAATCCTAATTCACTAATGAAGAAAAAATAGGAACCACTGATGAGTTTCATCTCCAACCATTACCCACACAGAATATAATTTTGTACTTTTAATAAAACTGTGAGAGTAAATTGCTAGTTTCTACTTTTCCAGATTTTGGTTTTATGGGAAGACCTCAGTCTGAGTCCACCAAGGGAGTCAGGATTTTATTGTTCACCTAACGCTGTAGCCCAGTTTTGTTTCTACAATAGCTGCAAGAGATTCAGTGTTTGTATGATAACCGGCCACATACTATCTGGATAATCAACTTAAATGAGATTTTTTTAAAAAGACAACTACAAATCATCTTGCAAATAAATATATACTTGCCAACCATGTAAGCATTATGAGAAAAAGTCAAGGGTGCTGTGGGAGCATATATTGCACCTACCTGGGGCTCAAGAGTTACTGCCTGAGGAAGCGGCCTTTGAGTGTCCATCTGGAGAAGGGAGACATTCAGGTAGTGATGGTTGTGGGGGATAGAGGGTGAGTGCTCCAGGAGAGGGGATGTGTGTGCACCAGCCCCATGGTGGGCAGGAGCATTGTATTTGGAGGAGCCAAAAGGCCCCTGGAACAGGAAGGCAATGTTATAGGTGGAGGTCAGCGAGAAGCAGACTCCAGCTCTTAAGCTCAGGTGAAGATTTTCATCCCCCTCCTAAGAGCAACAGCATGCTTCAAAGTGTTTTATGTTGCAAAGGGACCAGATGAGAGTGGAGAGCCCCAGGCTCACCTGCTGCCAGGCATGTGCGTCGGCTAGTTGGGCAATGAAAAGCTGGTTACTATTTTAGTTTTTCTTCTCCCATTCTCTCTCTCTTTTTTAGAGACAGGGTCTCACTCTTTCACCCAGACTGGAGTGCAATGGTGTGACCATAGCTTACTCTAACCTTGACCTCCTGGGCTCAAGTGATCCTCCGGCCTCAGCCTTTCAAGTAGCTGGGGCTACAGGAGTGTGCCACCATGCCCAGCTAGTTTTTATTTTTATTTTTTGCAGAGACGGAGTCTTGCTGTGTTGTCCAGGCTGGTCTGGAACTCATGGCCGCAAGCAATCCTCCTGCTCTCGCCTTCCAAAGTATTGGGGTTATAGGCATGAGCCCCTGGCCCTGGCCCCATTTCTCTTTTTAAAAATTTTCTATTTGGAAATAATTTCAAATTTTCAGATACGTTTCAAGAATAAGAATAGGACAAAGAATACCCATGTACTCTTTACTCAGATTAATATTAAAAGATTAACATTTCTAGGTCCGGGTGCAGTGGCTCACACCTGTAATCCCAGCACTTTGGGAGGCCAAGGTGGGTGGATCATGAGGTCAGGAGTTTGAGACCAGCCTGGCCAACATGGTGAAACCCTGTCTCTACTAAAGATACAAAAATTAGCCAGCCATGCTGGCACATGCCTGTAATCCCAGCTACTCGGGAGCCTGAGACAGAAAAATTGCTTGAACCCAGGAGGCAGAGGTTGCAGTGAGCCGAGATTGCACCACTGCATTCCAACCTGCATGACAGAGCAAGACTCTGTCTATGGAAAAATAAATAAATAAAAATAACATTTCTTTTAATTATAAAAGCAGCATTTTCTCTTAGCAAAATTTCAGAAACATGTAATGTACAAAATGGCAGTCTCCTCCTTCCAGCTCCCTTGGGGTTGCCATTTTTGTGAGTTTGGAGTGCATTCTTCCATATCTCTTTCTAAGCTCTGTGCCTGGGAGGGAGCCCTGTGGGTTGGGAGCTCTGGGGTGCGAATGGTATCTGAGGACTCATTTCCACATAGAGTTGGACACCATGATTGCTCAAGGACAGGCAGTGAAGTGGGAAAACAAAATGCTGCAGCTGGTGCCCAGGGCAGGGCAGGTAAGGAGAGCAGGCAACGGGAGTAGAGGGCAGGAGGGGAACCGGGATTGCCCTCTCATGGACTGTAGGAGGCCCAAAGTTTCTACACTGTCACGTCCCTTTGAGGTCAGGGCTGAAGGGCCACAGTGACCAACAGAGTACCTGTGGAACTGTTAGGACAAGAGCAAGGGAACAGCATCCATCCTGAGTGGAGGAGAATGGTGAAACCCCAGGGTGTAGTTCAGTTACTACAACTCCAACCTGCAATCTGGGTCTCAAGGGGAGGCCAGAAAGACTGGGAGGGACCACCCACCTTCACTCTGCACAGTATCCTCTCTGTGGAGAGGGAGGGCACATGGCAGTCCACCATATTGGGCTGGCCAGTGGCCGTTGATGCCTGTGCTGTTTCTCCAGCTCCTTGGTTAGCTTAATGGAAACATTCAACGAGAAGGCTGAGCAGCTGGTGGAGATTCTAGAAGCCAAGGCAGATGGGCAGACCCCAGTGTCCATGCAGGACATGCTGACCTACACCGCCATGGACATCCTGGCCAAGGTGATGGGTGACAGTCGGGCATGGGGGCCAGGAGGGCCACATGGGGTAGAGGGGTCTCTTCTCTCCCTCTTCCCTTCTCTCTTCCCCTCCCTCCTGCTCCTCTAACATACCAGCAATTCCTCTGTGCTTCATATATTCTGTATACATTCTGTCTCCTTCAATATTCAAAGCAACCTAGTGTGAGATTGGGGCTAGTAACTCATTCTTGAGCAAGGGACAGGTGCAGGGCCTGGCCTGTAGCTGGTCAATGGCAGAAGCAAGATTTGATCTCAGGTCTGCCTGACTCTCAGCCCAAAGGCTGCCTTCCCTCTGCACTCCCTATAGGGTATGACTTGGCTCTTCACCCCAGTAGACTCAGCAGTGGGCCCAGTAACCCCAAACCCCACTTTATGTGGGGGCGGGGCAGGTCAGGGAACTGCAGTGTGGGGACAGTGACTGGATTCCTCTTTATCACATTGCTATTCCTTTATCATTTTTGCTATCCATTCACTTCACTGTGAAGCTAGTATAGAATGAACACTTAAGGAAGGTTGCATTTCAGGGGAAATGCATCTTGTCAAGGAAGAAAGCCAAGTTTATTGAGTAGCTACTATGAGCTACTTCATCCTCATAGCATTCCATGGGGATCAAATTATCATGGGTCATTGTAAGCAGCTGATGATATGATGCATATAAACCCTTAGCCCAGAGTCCAGGTGTCTAGCAGAATGATGCCAGGCTTTGCCCTGGATCTGCTGCCCTTCTGTGCCCCAGGGATGACCTTGCCCTTCTCTCTCCCCCAGGCAGCTTTTGGGATGGAGACCAGTATGCTGCTGGGTGCCCAGAAGCCTCTGTCCCAGGCAGTGAAACTTATGTTGGAGGGAATCACTGCGTCCCGCAACACTCTGGCAAAGGTACTGCCTCAGCACCCCCTCTGGTGACCAGCCACCAGAGCTGTTGTCTTCATTTGCTGAAGAACCTCCTTCAGTGATTTTTTTTTTTTTTCCCAGAATGGGTTTTGAGTTCTGGTATGTCTGAAGTGACTTCTGAATCAGGATTTGCATGCATTGCCTAAAGTAAAGGCTTAAAATCAAATTGCCTTAAAGTAAATTAGGAGTTAATCTTTCTCTCATGTGAAATGATCCCCAAAGCAGGCAATGTAGGATGACTATGATGGCTCCATGGTGTCAGATTTTCTGGATCCTTCTGTCTTCCTGTTCCACTGTCTCAGCACATCACCTCATTGTCATAAGATGGCTGCTGCGAAAGGTGCACCCTGCCTGCCACTGCCCGTGCCCACATGGGGCCTGGGAACCAATCTGCCCCACCCGCTGCAGCTACCACCACCTGCACGCACTGTCCAGGGACCAGACATGCCCCACCCACTGCCAGCACCCGTGCGCATCATCTAGGGGCCTGAGGAATGGTCTACCATGAGTGCTGCCACCAGCGCCTGCCACTGAGAGGGCCTGAGGAGAGGCCTGCCCCACTTGCCGACACTGGCCCCCACATGCATCATCCACGGGCCTGAGGAATGGTCTACCATGACTGCTGCCACCAGCGCCTGCCACTGAGAGGGCCTGAGGAGAGGCCTGCCCCACTTGCCGACACTGGCCCCCACATGCATCAGCCAGGGGCCTGAGGAATGGTCTACCATGAGTGCTGCCACCAGCGCCTGCCACTGAGAGGGCCTGAGGAGAGGCCTGCCCCGCTTGCCGACACTGGCCCCCACATGCATCATCCAGGGGCCTGAGGAATGGTCTACCATGACTGCTGCCACTAGCGCCTGCCATTGAGAGGGCCTGAGGAGAGGCCTGCCCCACTTGCCGACACTGGCCCCCACATGCATCATCCACGGGCCTGAGGACAAGCCTGCCCAGCCCACCACCCACTGTTGCCTGCACCCAAGCATGCCATCTGGAGGCCTGGGGATTGGCTTGCCCTGCCTAATGTAGGTAGTGCCTGTGTGCAATATTGGAGGACACCTGAGGATAGGCCCATCCCTCCCGCTACTGCTGGCGCCCACATATGCCATCCAAGGGCCTGAGCACAGGCCCATCCTACCCACTGTTGCCACCAGTGATGCTCAAGGACTGGCCTGCCTGGCATCTCCATCCTCAGCAAAGCCTCAGGATGGCCTCCACTAACAATGACAGTCTAAGCCACTGAGAAACTCAGAGATACCACTGACACTGATTACAGCTGAAGAAATTAAACAGAAACTATGTTACTGTGCCAATCCATAATCAAGCCAAAGCACCCTACCCACCCAACACTATAAATGCCCCTATAGAAAAGTCTTTCCCTATGAAAGCCAATCCATAAAATTGGAAGAAGTAACTATTACACTAGATGCACAAAGGGGCAAAAGAAACATGGAAAAAGCAAGGAAATACTATACCTTCAAAGAAACAATAACTCTCCAGCAACAGATTCCAAAGAAAATAAAATTTATTATATGTCTGAAAAAGAATTCAAAATAATGATATTAAACTCTGAGATACAAGAGAACACAGATAAAAATGCAAAGAAATCAGGAAAACAATTCATCACCTGAATGAGAAATTCAACAGAGAGACAGATAGATGTAAAAGAGAAACAAACAGAAATCTTAAAACTGAGGAATTCAGTGAATAGAATAAAAATATAATTGAAAACTTCAACAATAGACTAGATTAAGCAGAAGAAAGAATTTCTGAACTTGAAGACAGGTCTTTTTTGAAGCAACCCAATCAGACCAAAAAAAGAAAAGATTGAAGAAAGCCTTTGTGACATGAGACAGCAGTAAGTGACCAAATATTCCAGTTCCGGGAATTTCAGGAGAAGAGATGGGCAAAGGCATATGAAACCTATTTAATCAAATAATAGCTGAAAACTTCTCAAGTCTTGCAAAAGATATAGACATCCAGGTACAGGAAATATAGAGATCCAGGTATAGTCATGCTTTGTATAATGATGGGAGCTCAAAAATCTCCGAGTAGATTCAACCCAAAAAGGTCTGCCTTCTCCAAGGCACATTATAGTCAAAGTGTTGAAAGTCAAAGACACAGAGAGAATTTTAAAAACAGCAAGAGAGAAGCATGAATTCACATATAAAGGAATCAGACTAAAGTAGATTGCTCAGTGAAAATCTTACAAGCCAGGAGTGATTGGGATAATATATTCAAAGTGCTGGAAATTAAAAACTGTCAGTCAAGATTATAGTACCCAGTAATGCTATACTTCCAAACTGAAAGAGAAATAAAGTCTGTCCCAAACAAGCAAAAACCGAGGTAAGTCATCACTACTAGACTGGCCCTACAAGAAATGTTTAAGGGAATTCTGCATCTGGAAGTGAAAGGACAATCTCTATCATCATGAAAACACATGAAAGTATAAAGCCCACTGATAGGGCAGATCAGCAAATGAGAAAGAGAAAGGAGTTAAACATTACTATTATAGAATGTTTACCAAACTGCAATGATAAACAGTAAGAGAGGAAGACAGGCACAAAATATATACAGAAAACAATTAATCAAACAACCAGAAAACAATTAACCAAATGACTAGAGTAAGTCCTTACCTATCAATAATAACCTTGAATGTAACTAGATTAAATTCCCCCACTTAAAAGATATAGATTGACTGAATGGATAAAAAAATTACCCAACTATATGCTGCTTACAAGAAACTCACTTCGCCTGTAAAGACACATACAGACTGAAAGTAAAGGAATGGAAAAAGATATTCCACACAAACACAAGCCAAAGCTGTCAGGAGTAGCTATAATTATATCAAATAAAACAGACTTTAAGTCAAAAACTGTAAAAAGAGACAAGGTCATTATATAATGATAAAGGGATCAATTCTGCAAGAAGATAAAATACTTCTAAATATATTTGCACCCAATACCAGAGCACCCAGAGATAGAAAGCAAAGATCTAAAGGAAAAGATAGACTCTAATACAGTAATAGCTGGGGACTTCAACACCCCACTCTCAGCACTGGACAGATCATCTAGACAGAAAATCATCACAGAAACATTGGATTTAACTACACTTTAGACCGTATAGACCTAATAGACATTTACAGAACTTTTCATCTAATAGCTGCAGAACATACATTCTTCTCATCAGCACATGAAAGATTCTCCAGGATAGATCATATCTTAGGCCACAAAACAAATTTTAAGAAATTGAAATCATATCAAGTATCTTCTCAGACCACAATGGAATAAAACTAGAAATCAATAACAAGTGAAACTTTGGAAATTGTACAAATACATGGAAATTAAACAATATACTCCTGAATGACCACTGGGTCAATGAAGAAATTAAGAAGGAAATAAAAAAATTCTTGAAACAAATGAAAAGGGGAACACAACATACCAAAACCTGTGGGATACAGCAAAAGCAGTGCTAAGAGCGATGTTTATAACAGTAAACACTTACATCAAAAAAGTAGGAAGATTTCAAATAAACAGCCAAATGATATATCTCAAGGAATTAGAAAAGCAAGAACAAATCAAAGCCAAAATTAGTAGAAGGAAATAAATATCAGTGCAGAATTAAAGGAACTAAAGACTAAAAAAGTACAAAGACCAATGAAGTGAAAGGTTGATTTTTGGAAAAGATAAAATCAATAAACCAAGCCAAGAAAAAAAAGAAGACCCATATAAATAAAAGCAGAAACTAAAAAGGAGACATTACAACTGATACCACAGAAATACAAAGGAACATTACAGATTTTTATGAACCACTATACACTAACGATTGGAAAACTTAAAAGAAATGGAATTCCTGGACACATACACCCTGCCAAGATGATTGAACAAAGAAGAAATAGAAAACCTGAACAGACCAATGGTGAGTAATGAGATTGAAATACTAATAAAAAGTCTTCCAACAAAGAAAAGCCCGTGACCAGATGTCTTTACTGCTGAATTCTCCCAAACCCATGAAGAAGAACACCAATTCTTCTCAAACTATTCCAAAAAATTGAAGAAGAGGGAACTCTTCCTAACTTATTCTATGAGGCCAGCACTACCCTACCCTGATACCACAAACAGACAAGGACACAATAAAAAAAGAAAAACTACATGCCAACGTCCCTGATGAACATAGATGCAAAAATATTCAACAAAATACTAGCAAACAAACCTAATCCAACAACACATTAAAAAGGTAATTCACCATGATTAAGTGGGATTTATCCCAGGGATGCAAGGGTGCTTCAACATACACAAGTCAATAAATGTTATACATCATATTAACAGGATGAAGGACAAAAGCCATATGATCATCTCAATAGATGCAGAAAAAGCACTTGATAAAATTTAACACCACTTCATGATTAAAAACTCTCAACGAATTATGAATAGAAGGAACGTAGCTCAACATAATGAAGGTCGTATATGATATACCCACAGCTAACATCATACTTAGTGGGGAAAAGCTAAAAGTCTTTCCTTTAAGAACTGGAACAGGATAAGGATGCCCACTTTCATCACTCTTATTCAACGTAGTACTATTAATAGAAGTGCTAGCCAGAGCAGTCAGGCAAGAGAAAGAAATAAAAGACGTCCAAATTGGAAAAGAAGAAGTCAAACTGTCCCTCTTTGCAGAAGACATGATCTTATATTTAGAAATTCCTAAAGACTCTACCAAAAAACTCTTAGAACTGATGAATGACTTCAGTAAAGTTGTGGGGTAAAAAAAAATCAGCATACAAAAATCAGTAGCAATTCTATACACCAATAATGAACTCATGGAAGAAGAAACCAATAAAGCAATCCCATTTACAATTGTTATGTAGAAAATAAAATACCTAGGAATAAATTTAACCAAGGAGGTGAAAGACCTATACAAGGAAAACTACAAAACACTGATGAAAGAAATTGAAGAAGACACAAACAAATGAAAAAACATCCCATGCTCATGGATCGAAAGAATTAATATTGTTAAAATGACCATGCTACCTAAAGCAATCTAAAGATTCAATGCAATCTCTGTCAAAATACCAATGACATTCTTCACAGAAATAGAAAAAGCAATCTTAAAATTTGCGTGAAACCACGAAAGAGCCAAATAGCCAAAGCAACTCTGAGCAAAAAGAACAAAGCTGGAGGCACCATACTACCCGATTTCAAAATCTACTATAAAGCTACAATAACCAAAACAGCATGGTATTGGTTTAAAAAATAACAACAGACATAGACCAATGTAACAGAATAGACAGCCCAGAAATATATTCATGTATTTACAGGAAACAGACTCAACAAAGGCACCAAGAACATACACTGGGGAAAGGGCAGTGCTGGGAAAACTGGATATCTAAATGCAGAAGAATTAAACCATACCCCTGTCTCTCACCATATACAAAAATCACCTTAAAATGAATAGACTTGGCCGGGCGCAGTAGCTCACGCCTGTAATACCAGCACTTTGGGAGGCCAAGATGGGCGGATCACGAGGTCAGGAGATGGAGACCATCCTGGCTAATATGGTGAAACCCTGTCTCTACTAAAAATACAAAAAATTAGCTGGGTGTGGTGGCACACACCTATAGTCCCAGCTACTTGGGAGGCTGAGGCAGGAGAATCACTTGAACCCGGGAGGCAGAGGTTGCAGTGAGCTGAGATCATGCCACTGCACTCCAGCCTGGGCGACAGAGCGAGACTACAAGACTACATCTCAAAAAAAAAAAAAAATTAATAGACTTAAACATAAGACCTGCAACCATAAAAACACTAGAAGAAAACATAGGGGAAATGCTCCAGGACATTGGTGTAGGCAAACATTTTATAGCTAAGACTTCAAAAATACAGGCAACAACAACGAAAATAGACAAACGTGGCCAGGCATGGTGGCTCATGCCCGTAATCCCAGCACTTTGGGAGGCCAAGGCAGGCAGATCACTTGAGGGCAGGAGTTTCAGACCAGCCTGGCCAACGTGGTGAAACCCTGTCTCTACTAAAAATTCAAAAATTAGCCTAAAATACAAAAATTAGCCAGGCATGGTGTTTGGCATTTGTAGTCCCAGCTACTCAGGAGGCAGAGGTTGCAGTGAGCCGAGATCATGCCACTGCACTCCAGCATGGCTGACAGAGTGAGACTCCATCTCAAAAAAAAAAAAAAAAAAAAAAAAAGACGTGTGACTATATTAAATGTGACTATATTAAACTAAAAAGGTTCCGCACAGCAAAAGAAACTATCAACAGAATAAAGAGACAACTTGTTAAATGGGAGAAAGAATTTACAAACCACTCATCTGACAAGGAACACAACAGCAAAAAAAAGAAAAGCAAATAATTCCATTAAAAAGTTGGCAAAGGATCTGAATAGACATTTCTCAAAAGACAAATGGCCAAGAGGTATATGAAAAAATGTTCAACGTCACTAATCATCAGATAAATGCAAATCTGTGAGATATCATCTTATCCCAGTTAGAATGGCTATTATCAAAATGACAAAAAATAACAGATGCGGGTGAGGATAGAGAGAAATGGAACTCTTATGCATTGTTGGCAGGGATGTAAATTTGTATAGCCATTATGGAAAACAGTGTGGAGGTTTCTCAAACTAAAAAGAGAACTACCATATGATTCCGCAGTCCCACTACTGGGTATTTATCCAAAGAAAAATCAGTATATCAAAGGAACACCTGCACAATAGCCAAAATATAGAATCAACCTAAGCATCCATCAACAGATAAATGGATAAAGAAAATTTGGTGTAGCTGGGTGTGGCGGTTCATGCCTGTAATCCCAGCACTTTGGAAGGCCAAGGCAGGTAGATCCCCTGAGGTCAGGAGTTCAAAACCAGCCTTTCACATGGTGAAACCCCATCTCTACTAAAAATACAAAAAATTAGCCAGGCATGGTGATGGGCACCTGTAATCCCAGCTACTCAGGAGGCTGAAGCAGGAGAATCACCTGAACCTGGAAAATGGAGGTTGCAGTGAGCTGAGATCGTGCCATTGCACTCCAGCCTGGGCAACAAGAGTGAAACCCCATCTCAAAAAAAAAAAAAAAAGAAAAGAAAATTTGATGTATATACACATGGAATGCTATTTGCCCATAAGAAAGAATGAAATCCTTACATTTGGAGCAGTCTGGATGGAACTGGAGATCATTATGTTAAGTGAAACAAGGCAAGACCAGAAAGACAAATATTGCCTGTTCTCCCACATACGTGGGAGCTAAAAAAGTTGATCTCATGGAGGTAAAGAGTATAATGATAGTTACTAGAGGCTGGGAAGGATGAGTGGGGGGATGAAGAGAAGTTGGTTAATGGGTACAAACATACAGTTATGTAGAAGGAGTAAGTTTTAGTGTCAGTAGCACAGTGTGTGACTATAGCTAACAGCAAGGTATTGTATATTTCAAAAACAGGGAGATTTGAAATGTTTCCAACACAAATGATAAATGTTTGAGGTGATGAATATCCTAAATATGCTGATTTGACCATTGCACATTGTATTCATGTATCAAAATATCACATGTACCCCATATGTGTGTATAATTATTATGTATCAATTAAAATATATAGATTTTTAAAAAGATGGCTGCTGCAGCTCCACATATCACCTCCTTATTCCAGTCATGAAGAAGGAAGAAAGGGGAAAGGTGATAGCTGAGTTCATCTCAGGGCCCCCTCCCGTTCCCTGGGACTTCGGCCCCTGAGCTTGCAGCCGCCAATGCCGCCCCGTCTTTTTGGCAGTTGATCGCACTCTACTTCCCACTGCTTGGGATTTCTTCCTTCGATGCAAGCCTAGCTGCCTCCACTCATCAGGGGTCCCTTTTTACCTTGCAGGGCCACGTGGATGTTTTAAGCCATCCCGCCCACCACTGCTAAGGATTTGGTGCAGGAAAGGGAGGCTGAGGCCTGGGCTCAGTCTGCCATCTTGATCCAGTCTCCCTGGCTGCTTCATCTTTTCTAGAATTTCTCACATTCTACTGACCTCCCAGCTTGCCAGTGCCGCTAACGTCATTTCGGGGTGGTGGGGGAGAGGGGAGAGGGAACATGCGTGTTCACTTGGCCATCTGGAGCTGAAACTCTTGTTTAGTTCCTGCCAGGGAAGAGGAAGCAGCTCCGGGAGGTCCGGGAGAGCATTCGCTTCCTGCGCCAGGTGGGCAGGGACTGGGTCCAGCGCCGCCGGGAAGCCCTGAAGAGGGGCGAGGAGGTTCCTGCCGACATCCTCACACAGATTCTGAAAGGTGCAAGGGCCCCCTCTGCGGACTGGGGAGGGCGGGGTGGGCCAGGACGTTCCCCAGGTGATACATCGCCACTGACTCTGTTTGGCTTAAGAGGAGAAACACAGTTAGTTATTTTATGAGCCATGGGGAAAGGGAGCAAAGATTTGCTGGGAACTGAGACTCTCCTTGTTTTTCAGCTGAAGAGGGAGCCCAGGACGACGAGGGTCTGCTGGACAACTTCGTCACCTTCTTCATTGCTGGTTTGTAGCTTTGGCGGTGGCCAAGGGCCCGGAGCTCTGCAGAAATGCTGTGGACCATGGATCCCTCAAACCCAACTCTTTGGGATTTTTTGGGCTATCTGAGCAGAGCTCACCGCAGGGCTAGGGGGCTGGGCTGAAGGGAGCAGAAGCCCCATCTCCTAGCTGTCTTGGGGGCCTCTGACCTGGTAATGCAGCTGGCAATTGTGGGGATGTGTGAAGCTGGCCTGTCAGCTCCAGAGAGCTTGGCTGTGTGAATGCAGGCATCCCCTCACTCAGAATTTGTGGGGAGGCCTGCATTAGACTGGCACAAGAAGAGATGCTAAGCAGCTTCATTCATTTGCTCATCAGATATTTCCTGAACATGGTTCTTCACCTAGAAGACTCCTCTTCAGCCGTCAGTGAGCCCTCGCATGCCTCCTCCCCAGGGAAGCACAGGCTGCCTCAGGCACTCAGCTAGAAGCTGACCACAGGCCTGGGGCTCCTCCCCACCACCCATCTCATTGTGTTAAGCTGTTTATTTATTTGTGGTAATTGAGTGACGTCTGTTCCCCACCAGACTTGATGAGCGAAGGGTCAGGTTGTTTTGCTCACCTCTGTTCTCCTGGGGCCCAGTGTGGTAGGGAATCCCATGAACATTGAATGAAATACACGAACAAATGATTGACACTGGGCACTGGGAAGATGGAGGTGAACAAGATGAGGGACAGTTTCTAGCCTATTGGTGGAGGTGGAAAGACAGAGAGACAAATACTGATGGACGAAGAGGTCTGCAGGTGAAAGGCATGGAGGAAGGCCCTTTAGGTGGGAGAAGCACTTGCAGATGCCCCAGGAGATTAGAAGCGGCCAGTGTTAAAGCAAGGCTGCAGGGCGCCATTCCCTGCAATGGATAGAAAGGACTTGCGGAACCAATGGCTGGTCCTCATTCCTGCAGCTGGGAACCCAGGTCCTGGATGAGGCTTCTGGACAGACCTAGCCTCAGTCTCCTCATCTGTAAAATGGGGGCCTTGAGGAGCTCTCCAGGCTTCTATCCAGCCTTCCAGAGAGGGTTTATTAATCCCGTCTCGTCCCTCCAGTCTATCCCTGAGCCCTGCGTCCAGATGCTATGGGGGACTGGCCGAGGGCACGGTGGGTTGTGTCTGTCTTTCCCTTTGCCTGTGAGGAAACTGAGGCCGAGGAGGGAAGTGGCCTCCTATAGTCACAGCCCGCGATGCAGAGCTGGGGCCAGGGCTGCTGTGTTCTCCCACCCTGCTCCCAGGCTGAGGGCTCCGCTGGCTGTGTGAATGGCCCACCTCCACACCCTAGGAGCTGGGCCCTGCTTCCCAGCTCTGACTTGCTGTAAGTTATAGGCCCTTCTCCTGCATTCAAGCAGGCCCCTCAAGCCCCCTGGCTCCTTTAGAGTAAACTCACGTCTGTTCCCTCCCAGGCCAGCTTGGAGGGGTTGACTCTATCACCTTGGCCAGACCCTGCCAGAACTCAAAATCAGCCTCCCGAAATGTCCACCACCCCCTCATAGAACCTCAGGGTCATGGGGGGCTTTTGTGTGCACCCTGCATCCTGGGAAGGCGAGGCCTTGGGCTCACGGACTTTGAATTGTGTCCCCCCCACTCTCCCTGCTGTGTGACCACAGAGACCCATTCCTCTCCACCTCCACTTTCTCTTCTCCAAAATGGAGGTGAGCACCTCCCCGGGCCAAGTGAGACCTAGACGATGGTTCAAGGAAGGGGCTTTTAGAGCCAGATGCCTGGGGGCACATGCCATTTACATGCCAGCACTGGCTGGCATAGAGGCAGGCACAAACTGTCTCCTTCATCCTGTGGCCCCATGTGGAGCAACCACCGTCCTCCCTTCCCACAGGTCACGAGACCTCTGCCAACCACTTGGCGTTCACAGTGATGGAGCTGTCTCGCCAGCCAGAGATCGTGGCAAGGTATGGGGGCTGCTCTTGGGGCTGGCAAAGAGGTCTGTCTGATTTCTTGTTCCTGAGGGCCACCTGCCCCCACCTCCCATGGTTGAGTCCCCTCAACATGCCCTGCTTCCCCTGGGCCTTGGCACATGCTGTTCCCTCTCTTGGAAGCGCTCTCCCTGCTTTTCCCCTGGAGAACACACCTCCTCCTCCCACTCCTCTTCTAGAAAGGGCTTCTCAGATCCCTAAAGGAGCCACCCCACGTTTCCCCTCCGAGCCTGCTCCCGACTCATGAGTGTGTTTCCCTGGGATTGTTTCATGTCTATTTCAGCCATGAGACCAGAAGCTCCAGGAGGGCAGGGACCGTGGTTTTTTCCCTCCCCACAGCGTACCCAGTGCCTGGCCAGGGCCTGGCAGTGAGGATGGAGCAGAATCCCTGCTAAATTGCCAAGAGCGTGCTTGTCTTCTGATGGCAAGACAAAGGAGGGTGTCCCTGGGGAGGTGGTATTTGAGTCGGGCCATTGGTTTCCTTAAATACAAACAGGCTCCCTCTGGGACAGTTGCATGGAGTGGCTGAAGCAAGGGTCAAAGCTCTCTGAATGCACCAACAGGCTGGGTGGGAGCTCTGGGGAGGTGGGGTCAGGCCTTCAATTACAATTATTAGTCATCAGCAGCATATAAGGGCGGAAGTGAAAGATTGTGTGAAAATATACAATCTTTCTAGGGTTTAAAAATAAGTATAATTGTAATAAGCATTTCGTATAAAAATTTTGGGAAAAGCAGAAAAGCTATAATAATAATAATAAACCCACCCATGGCACCCCACCCACCCAGCGGCACTTCGCTGTTAACTGCTGAGTATCTGTTCAGCACCTTCTCACCTACGCATGAGCAGCTTTGCCGTGTTTTTTGTCACCTGGTTGCACAGCTGGCTTTTATTCCCCATGAGCCTTATCACAGCATTGCCTACCTCATTGTAACCTCCTCCCAAATCCACTCTTTAAAAAATTGTGGTAAAATATACATAACATAAAATTTTACATTTTCATTGTTTTTAAGCCCACAGTTTAGTGGCATTAAGGGCATTCACATTGTGAATGTCATCCCCCTCCACTATTTTTATTTTTACTTTTTTGAGACAGAGTCTTGCTCTGTTGCCCAGGCTGGAGTGCAGTCTCAGCTCACTGCAACCTCCGCCTCCCCAGTTCAAACAGTTCTCCTGCCTCAGCCTCCAGAGTAGCTGGGATTACAGGTGTGCACCACCACACCTGGCTAATTTTTTTTTTTTTGTGTATTTTTAGTAGAGACGGGGTTTTGCCATGTTGGCCAGGCTGGTCTCAAACTCCTGGCCTGAAGTGATCCACCCATCTTGGCATCACAAAGTGCTGGGATTACAGGTGTGAGCCACTGCTCCTGGCCTCCGTCTCCAGACCTTTTTCATCTTCCCAAACTGAAAATCTGTCCGTTCTCGCCTCCCCATCCCTGGTAACCACCATTCCACTTCTGTCTCTGTGTGTTTGTCTATTCTAGGTGACTTATGTAAGTGGACTCATACAGTATTTGTCTTTTTTGTGACTGGCTTGTTTCACTCGAATAATGTCCTCCAAGTTCATCCATGTTGCAGTATGTGTCAGAACTCCCTTCCTTTTTTTTCTTTTCTTTTTTTTTTTTTTTTTTAAGACAGAGTCTCACTCTGTCGCCCAGGCTGCAGTGCAGTGGCACAATCTCAGCTCACTGCAAGCTCCACCTCCCGGGTTCACGCCATTCTTCTGCCTCAGCCTCCCAAGTAGCTGGGACTATAGGTGCACGCCACCATGCCTGGCTAATTTTTTTTGTATTTTTAGTAGAGACGGGGCTTCACGGGTTAGCCAGGATGGTCTTGATCTCCTGACCTCATGATCCACCCGCCTCGGCCTCCCAAAGTGCTGGGATTACAGGCATGAGCCACCGTGCCCGGCAGAACTCCCTTCCTTTTTAAGACTTACTAATGTTCCATTGTAAGCATCGGTCCCATTTTGCATATTCATATATCTGTCCATGGGTACCTGGGTTGCTCCTACCGTTTGTCTATTTTGAATAATGCTGCTATGAGGATGGGTACACAAATATCTTTTTAAGTCCCTGCTTTCAGTTGTTTTGGGTTTATACTCAGAAGTGGGATTGCTGGATCATATGGTGATTCTATTTTTAATTTTTTGAAGAATCACCATACCGTTTTCCATAACGGCTGAACCATTTTACATTCCCACCAGCAGTGCGCAAGGGTTCTTTCTGATTTGTCCACATCCTCTACAATACTTTTGTGTTTATTGGGATGAGAACCATCCTAATGAGTATGAAGTGGTCCAGATCCACTCTTTTTTTTTTTTTTTTTTGAGACGGAGTCTCGCTCTGTTGCTAGGCTGGAGTGCAGTGGCTCTACCTCTGCTCACTGCAAACTCCACCTCCCAGATTCATGTGATTCTCATGCCTCAGCCTCCCAAGTAGCTGGGATTACAGGCACCCACCACCACTCCCGGCGAATTTTTGTACTTTTAGTAGAGACAGGGTTTCACCATGTTGGCCATGCTGGTTTCCTACAGCCAATCCCAAACATCAGACACAAAGGGTGGATGTTTTAGGGCCCCTGCAACATAGTTCCCAGTGGTTTGGGCACTGTTTTGGATGTGGCCATCGCTGGATCTCTTTAACAGTCTTTGGGCTGGGCACAGTGGCTCATGCCTGTAATCCCAGCACTTTGGGAAGCTGAGGCGGGCAGATCACCTGGGGGTCAGGAGTTCAAGACCAGCCTGGCCAACATGGTGAAACCCTGTCTCTACTAAAAATACAAAAATTAGCTGAGCGTGCTGGTGGGTGCCTGTAATCCCAGCTACTTGGGAGGCTGAGGCGGGAGAATTGCTTGAATCCTGGGGGGAGGGCGGAGGTTGCAGTGAGCCGAGATCACACCACTGCACTCCAGCCTGGGCGACAGAGCAAGACTTTGTCTCAAAAAATAAAGCTACAAGTAACAGTGTTTGTGAGTGGGGAGCCCCATGCGTCTCTCTTCACGCTTCCTTCCAGTGCCCCCTTCTTAAAGCTAAGTAAGTCGGGGACAGGCTCCCTTTGGAGACGAACTTGTCTTTGTCTTACCCCACAGGCTGCAGGCCGAGGTGGATGAGGTCATTGGTTCTAAGAGGTACCTGGATTTCGAGGACCTGGGGAGACTGCAGTACCTGTCCCAGGTGTGGGAAGTAGGAGGGAAGCTTCTGGGCGGATGTGGGTGATCATGTCATCATGCCTGCTTCCTCCCTGGACCTTTCAGGACAGTGGTTCTCAAACTTTGCTGCATAGGGTCCTCCCCCGGAAGATTTAAAGTATCCTGAGGCCCAGGCTGCCCCAGACTAATGACATCAGAGTCAAAGAGCTCCCCAGGTCACCCCAGTATTCAACTTAGGTTGGAAACTGGCCCTTTAGTAAATGGTGCCGTATTTGTGCTTCCCGGCTAGGCTGGGGTTCCAGATCCTTAAGCTTCCCCTGGTGGAGTCAGGCTCAGCAGCGCCTCTCCATGCTGCCGCCGCACAGCAGGAGGGCTTGCAGCTTCTGCTGTGGCTCTCTGGAATGGTGGGACCCCTGATTCCTGGTCCCAGCTCTGCCATTGTGGCCTTGCACACTCCCTTCTCCTTCTGGACCTCAGTTTCTCCATCTGTCACGTGACGGTGAGGCTGATGTCCCAGGGGCCTGGGACCCAGGCCAGGGTGAGGGTATGCACTCAGCCTGTGGGTGGGAAAGACAGGGGTCCCAGGCATGCCGCCGGCCGGCATGATCTGTGGCCTCTCCCGACTCTCCTTGTTATCTCCCCTTGTGGCTTCTCTAGGTCCTCAAAGAGTCGCTGAGGCTGTACCCACCAGCATGGGGCACCTTTCGCCTGCTGGAAGAGGAGACCTTGATTGATGGGGTCAGAGTCCCCGGCAACACCCCGCTCTTGGTGGGTGGAGGCCCTGGGGGTCCTGGGGTGGGCTGGGCTGCTTGCCCCAATGGTGGTGAATTTGGGACTCACCAGGGGAGCCTGTGGCCCTGTTCCCATCATTGCAACGGGCCTCACTGGCTGCCCTGGTCTTTCTCATGGAGTCTCACCATAGCCCTGTGAGGGCTTTTTCCCCTCCTCACACTGTCCAGCAGAAGATTACAGGGGGTCATTCTGGAAGGGAGGTGCCCCATTTACAGCTGAGGACACTGAGGTTCAGAGAGGTTAGGTCACTTTCCTGGGGTCACACAGCTGGTGAAAAGCAGATATGGAAATTGCCCAGTTTCACAGTTGACCCAAACTTGTCCTGGTTCCTTCTCTCCTCACGTTTTACAGCCCTTTCTCTCTCGGCTTTCTCCCCAGACCTCCTTTATTTTGTGTCTCTTTGTTTGCTTACTTGTTCATTTATCCATTCATCCAGGCATTTACTCATGTATGATAGCCCCTAAACCCACCCCCAAACCAGGAAACTAGGATATAGTCACTCCCTGCTCCGCTGACAAGGAATCACTAATCTGAATTGTGTGTTTGCCATTCCCGTGTGTGTGTGTGTGTGTGTGTGTGTGTGTGTGTGCCTGTGTGCATTCACGCAGTAATATATTGTAGGACTTGTTTTTTGACTCAGTATAAAGTTGGTAAGATTTGTGTAGGTTTCTCCACAAGGCCGTAGGACAACCACCATCGCTGATCAGTTCTCAGGTGACAGGCATTTGAGAGGTGTCCAGTTTGTCCCTATCTCGAGCACCACAGCAACGATGCCATTTCTGTCCGCATGTCCAGGAACAGTGTGCAAGCCAGCTCCTCGGACATTTACCCAGAAGTGAGAGGGCTGGGTTGTAGGACCCCTGACTGTTCAGCTTTACAAACGAACGCCACATTGTTTTCCAAAGTGGCTGCACCAACTTGGATGCCCAGTAGTGGTGAGAGAGAGCACCTGCTGTTCTTCATCATCTCCAGCACTTAGCATGGTCCGATTTTGTATCTGCTGCCATCCAAATATGTGTTTTTAAAAAAGTATTTCACTGTGGTCTTGATTTATGCTTTCCTGATTACTAACTAGTAAGCGTGAGCATCTGACCCTGCTTTCTCTGTCTCTGAGATGTGGGCTCAGTTTCCCTTTTGGGGTAGTGTGTTTTTTCGTATTGCTATGTAGAGCGTTATTTTATTTTATTATTTTTTACGGCATACATTTATTTACTATTATTTTCATTATTTTGTTTTTAAATAGAGTCTTGCTCTGTCCCCCGGGCTGGAGTGCAGTGGCGCCATCTCGGCTCACTGCAACCTCTGCCTCCCGGGTTCAAGCGATTCTCGTGCCTCGGCCTCCCGAGTAGCTGGGACTACAGGTGCACACCCCCACGCCTGGCTAATTTTTGTATTTTTAGTAGAGATGGGGTTTCACCAGGTTGGCCAGGCTATTCTCAAACTCCTGACCTCAAGTGATCCACCTGCCTCGGCCTCCCAAATTGCTGGGATTACAGGCGTGAGCCAGCGCGCCCAGCCCTAGAGCTTTCTTTTAAAAACTCACGTGTTAATCTTTTGTCTGGTATGTTTGTCATCTTTGTGGCTTGTCTTCATTAATGTGTTTTTGATGATCTGCATGTCTTAATATTTTTAACAATTACTTCTTTTGCTTTGTCTTGTTTAAGAAATCCTTCTCTATCCTGAGTTCAGGACATTCACTTACTTTGTCCTCAGTTTTACATTTTTCTTTTCAAAGTTGAGCTTGTAACTACCTGGAATTGATTTTGTGTGTAGTTTCAAGGTAGGGACCTTTCTGTATTGACTTGCCAGGGCTGTTGTAACAAAGTGCCACAGACTTTGGCTTAAACAACAGAAATTTATTTTCTCCCAGTCCTGGAGGCTGGAAGTCTGAGATCAAGGTGTTGGAGGTTGGTTTCTTCTGAGGGCTCACTCCTTGGTGTGCAGACAGCCACCTTCTCCCTGTGTCTCCACATGGTCTTCCTTCTGTGTGTCTGTGTCCTAATCTCCTCTTATAAGGACACCAATCAGGTTGGATTAGGGCCCATCCTAAGTACCTCATTTTAAGTTAATTACCTCGTTAAAGACCTTGTCTCCAAACACAGCCGCATTCTGAGGTACTGGGGATTAGGACTCCAACATATGAGGATTTGTGGGGGGCAAAATTCAGCCCATGACAGGATCCTTTTTATTTTTACCTGTGAGGAAGGAGGAGCCCCAGTCCCTGCTCCCAGCCCCTCTCCTCCCAGGGTTCTGCCCTGCCTCCTCCAGCATCCATCCAAGCCTCATCTGTGGCCACTCTGCCATCTGTTTTGCCAAGCTTTCTTTTTTAATGCTCCTGTACCAATACCACTGTGCCTTAACAGCCATCTCCTTAGATCCCCTTACAGCCAGCAGGGGAAGCCCTGTGGCTCACTCTCAGCCTGGGGGTGCCACCCTGTGGGCTTTGAGTGGGCAGACTGGGCTCCAACCCCACCTCTGCTCCTGGCTGGCTGGGTCATCTCCATCAGGCCTTCGGCTTCCTCTTTGTTAGGTGGGGGGAGTGGTGAGCATCAGTAGGATGACGTACATCATGTGTCTGGCAACAATCCCCGGCACATCTTAGGTGCCCTAAACCCAGCCCCCACACCGGATGTTCCCACACACTTGCTGGAGCTCAGCTCCAGGGCTCCCTGCACCCTCTGCTGCACTGACCCCCAGCACAGAGAGCCAGGGGTGGAACAGGCTTAGGAGGAGATTTTGTCCCAGTGTTTGGAGGCCAAGGACACAGAGTGAGCGTCAGCCCCACTCAGGAGGCACCACACGTGCACGTGGAAGGCTGGTGGGGTCTGCAGTTCCTCCACTCCCACCCCTGCTGAAGTAGGCCTTGAGTTGAAGAGAAACTGAATATAACAGTTCTCGGGATCTAGAGGAAGTTGGCCTCACAGAGTCAGATCTGAGTTTGAATCCCGGTTTGGCCATTTATTTGCCTGGTGACTTCAGGTGAGTCACTGAGCCTCTCTCTGGGTCTCAGTTTCCTCATCTGTAAAATGGGGACAATGACGGCTCCCCTACAGGGCTGAGCCCAGCACAGGATGACGCAGTACGCCCAGCTGGCACAGTCAACTGTCCCCGCTCTTCCTCTTAAGGGATTTTCTAGGGGGCCAGTGCAATGGACACCAACCTAGATGAGGGGTGAAGACATGGGGGGAGGAGAGTGGGACCCACTCTGCTCTGAGTAGCCCTGTTGGGTGGCCTCAGTGGCTCAAGAGGTGCCAGGGGAACAACCTGGGAACCAGAGATGAGCGGACCCTTTGCCCGCAGTTCAGCACCTATGTCATGGGGCGGATGGACACATACTTTGAGGACCCGCTGACTTTCAACCCCGATCGCTTCGGCCCTGGAGCACCCAAGTAAGTCCCTCCTGGAGCTGCCCATGAGTGGGGCTGGCGGGAGAAGGACAGACACAGCGGCCTCTGGTCTGAGCCAGAGGCACCCACTCAGCCCACATAGCCTTCCAGATCCCTGTGAGGTGGTTGTGGAGGAAATCACAGCTCAGAGAGGTTAAGTAACTTGCCCAAGTGGCAGAGCAGGGGTCTGGCCCCAGCTCAGTCTGGTTCTAAAGCTCATGCTCATAAGCAGCACCAAATACTGGGAAGCTGGGTGACTTCACCTCCCCAAGCCTTGAGGTTCCTGTCTGAGAAATGGGACCATCCGTGGCTGCATCTGCAAGTTGCTGTGGGGGTCAACGCGTTAAGGTACCGAAGCCATGGTGGGAAGAGCTGGACTCCACAGCCTGCCTGAGTGTTCAGATCCAGGCTCTGCCCAGAGCTGGATGTAAATTTATGACCTGGAGTGAGTTGTTTTGCCCCTCTGAGCCTCAGTTTCTCCATCTGTGAAATGGGGACAACAGCAGTTCCTTCCAGGAGGGTAAAAGGAGGAGAAAAAGAATGCAGATCCAGCCCTCGGCAGAGTCAGCGGTTCATGCTTTGCATGCAAAGTGCCCAGCCCCTGGCTCAAAGTCTGTGTTCATCCAGACCTGGGTTAACTACTGTCTTCCTTATGTTGTTCCTGTGGGGACGCCTGGGGCTGCTGGCCTCGTGATTCCTCTCTTTCCCTGCAGGCCACGGTTCACCTACTTCCCCTTCTCCCTGGGCCACCGCTCCTGCATCGGGCAGCAGTTTGCTCAGGTAGGAGGGGCAGGGCTGTGGTTCTGCCCAGGAGTAGCTGCAGGGGTGGGGGCTCATCCTGAGCCGGGAAGCATCTCCGAACCCCTGCTCTGGGGCTGCTGGGCTGTGGGCTCGGGACCCAGCGGAGCCAGACCCAGAGGACTGGCTGTGTTTTGCACGGAGGAGAGCGCAAAACAGGAGGCTCCCCAGGCTCTCACAGGCTCTCCAGGAGGAGAGCCGGCTGTGACATTTGCTGCTCATTCACTCACTCATTCTGTCTTTGCTCCTTCATTCCTTCCTCATTTTGCCCGCTGGGCCCAGATGGAGGTGAAGGTGGTCATGGCAAAGCTGCTGCAGAGGCTGGAGTTCCGGCTGGTGCCCGGGCAGCGCTTCGGGCTGCAGGAGCAGGCCACACTCAAGCCACTGGACCCCGTGCTGTGCACCCTGCGGCCCCGCGGCTGGCAGCCCGCACCCCCACCACCCCCCTGCTGAGGGGGCCTCCAGGCAGGACGAGACTCCTCGGGCAAGGGCCGTGCCCGCCCACCTCTGCTGCCCACGGCCACCCACCCTTCTCCCCTGCCCCGTCCCCTGGGCCACCCTTCACGCTGGCTTCCAGCGGGCCCTCTGCCGACCGCCTGCTTCACACCCCTCAGCGCTCCCTGTCGCCTGCGGACTCCATGGCCCTTCCTGGACTGGCCCTTGCCCAACTCCCAGCCACCACCACTGTCCCTACCACTGAGCCCTTGCACAGGCCACTTGCTCAGACGAGACACCCTAACTCTTGCTCACTCCCTAAAGCCCTCTTCAGGGGTCACCTCCTCCAAGAAGCCCTCCTTGCCACCCCCCGCCGGCAGGGGCCCCTCCTCTGTGCTCCCTCGGTCACCTGTGCTACCTCTAACACCACACTGACCACACTGTATCGTGAGTGTCCGTTGACGTGACCAATTGCCCTGCCAGGCTGTCAGCGCCTCAAGGGTAGGGTCTGCGTGTGATTTGTCTCTGAGCCCCCTGTGCCCACCCAGGGCCCGGCACAGAGTCGATGCTCAATAAATGTGTGTTGACTGCATGAATGACCTGGAACCAGGCCATGCGCTCTCGCCTCAGCTTGCTCGTCTGTGAAAAGGGGGAGATGCGGAGGCTGGCACAGCTTTGGAAGCCACCAGCCCGCAGATGCCCCGCAGATGCCCTGACAACGCTGCCTTGGGAGAGACTGCCCCAGGTTACCAGCCTGTTCCCTGTGCTGTATTCACGGCCATGCCCCTGGGTGTTGTGTGAGGTTGGGCCTGGGTGGGTGACTGGCTCTGAGAGCTGGATTTGAGAGGTCAGAGAGGCCCCTGGGCCTCTCTTGGGAGCAGCTTGGTGGAGCTGAGCCCCGTGCCTGTGGGCACCTGCTGCCCTCCTGACCTGGCAGGGGGGCAGGGCAGGTGAGACTGCATCCCTCGTGGTGGTGATGGGAGAAGCCGTCCCTTCCTCTCCAGGGCCGTGTCCTCTGAGCTCATCCAAGGAAGAGGTCCTGCCCTGAGTTTCTCCTTCGGCCATTGGGAGCTTGTCTTTGTGCAGAGAGAAAAAGCGCCCTCATGGCCCGGTGCGGTGGCTCACGCCTGTAATTCCATCACTTTGGGAGGCCAAGGTGGGAGGATCACCCGAGGTCAGGAGTTCAAGACCAGCCTGGCCAACATGGCGAAACCCTGTCCCTACTTAAAAATACAAAAATTAGCCGGGCATGATGGTTGGGTGCCTGTAATTCCAGTTACTTGGAGTCTGAAGCAGGAGAATCGCTTGAACCGGGGAGGCAGAGGTTGCAGTGAGCCCAGATCGCACCACTGCACTCCAGCCTGGGCGACAGTGAGACTCCGTCTAAAAAAAAAAAAAGAAAAAGCTGCCCTCTCCCCTGCCTGGGCCATGTGCCCCCTGGGAAGACCCCCTCCCCAAACAGGGAAGGCACAGATGTGTGCCGGCCCGTGATGTGCATTGTTGGCCTCCTTCGGTCCTTGCCGCAGTCTTGAATGATAGCTCCAAGGGATGGTCCCATCAAGCAGATAAGGAAACTGAGACTCAGGGGCGGGAGTGACATGCTCAGTACAGGTGGGGCCTGGTGTGGCTCTGAGAATGGAGGAGACAAGTGTCTGGGTTCCCAGCCTGCCCCTCTCCCCAGCCCAGGTGGGCCCTGAGAATGCACACCCCGGCCTCTGGGCAGAGGGTCGGGCCCCGGGATGCCTCGAGAACTGCAGCGTTCTTGCAGAGCGAGGGTCCTCCTGCTCCCCTAGCACCTCGCCTGACCACGTGGGCACCTGGCCAGCCCATCATCAAGCTGCACCCTCCACCCTCTCCATTTCCAGCTCGCTGTCTGAGGGGCCCCCAAACTCACCACTCACTTTGAGAATGGTATGCCCGGGCTCAGCCTCCAGCCACCTGGTCAAACTCATCCCTGGCCAGAAGCAGCCCCTTCCCACAGCCACCCCAAATGCTGCTGTCTCCCAGCGTCCTGTTCCCAAGCCCCCAGCTGGGCACTGTTCCCCGACCTGCTCTGCTGTGCCCCCCACTCCGCCCTCTGCAGCCCTTCTCTGAGTCTCTGAGGTTCACCAGTACCCACACACCTGCCCACGCTTCCCACAGTCCATGCCCTCTGCCTCCTGCTGTGGCTGGGCCTAGTCCCCACAGTACAGCACCTCCTTCACAGTCCATCTAAAAGGGCCACAGGCCACCAAGCCTCAGTACTGCAGCAATGCAACCCAGCATTGTCTGGAGGGGCCTGGAGGGATCGGCTCCCTCCAGAGACTTCAAGTTCCCGGCTTGACCATCCCCTGATTTGGCAAATATCTGTCTGTTGCTGAGCCTGAGCCTTCACACCATGATTTCTTCAAATCCTGCCAGGAAACAGGAGCCAACTATGCCCCATTTCACAGATGGGGAAGTCCAGGCCAGAGCCACAGCTGGGCCATAGTGGAGTCAGCACTTGAACCCATGGCCCTTTGCATCCAGTGGCCTTCCACAGGCTCAGCATGCCCTATCCCTGCAGGCCTGGGCTTGTCTTCTGCACGCCCCAGGAATCCCAGATGGCTGGGAAGTGCAGAGCCAGAACCCCCCAGCCCCACTGTCACTGCCGGTGGGGCCATCCTGCCCTTCCTTTCTGAGCCACTTCCTCTTCCATAGACTGGGCTTTCTGTGAGGGGCAGGTGGCTCTCAGTCCATGCTGCATGGGGAAGCCACCTGGGCCAGGTGAATCAGCCTCTGGGGTGGGGCCCAGAAACTCTTCTTTTTCTTTTTTCTTTTTTGAGATGTAGTTTTACTCTTGTTGCCCAGGCTGGAGTGCAGTGGCACAATCTCTGCTCACTGCAACCTCCGCCTCCTGGGTTCCTCAGCCTCTGGAGTAGCTGGGATTACAGGCATGTGCCATGACGCCCAGCTAATTTTTGTATTTAATATATTTTTTTAGTAGAGACGGGGTTTTACCATGTTGGCCAGGCTGGTCTCGAACTCCTGACCTCAGATGATCCACCCTCCTAGGCCTCCCAAAGTGTTGGGATTACAGGCGTGAGCCACCGCGCCTGGCCCAACTGTTTTCTTTTTAAGTCTCCCAGTAGATCCCAATGTGCATGGGCCGGTGCCGCCAGTCCAGGTGAAGCTGACCCCCGGGACCCAGGCAAGATGGATAGGATTAAACCCAAGGCTGTGCAGCAAGGCTACCTGGGGTCAAATCCTGCCCCCACCTGCCTGGGCCTCAGTTTCCCCATCTGTAAGGGAGGACAAATAATAGGACCCACTTCCTAGGGTTGGAGGGGAATTAGTGTCCACACGAGGGTCGGGCTCTGGCACTGTGAGTCTGGTCATTGTCACCTGCAGGGAAGGGAGGGCTTTTCTGCAGGCAAGGCGGCGCAGTCCCCGGAAGACCCGCACGGTGGCGCGCTGGCGCAGAGCTCGGGCTCGCCCTCCCGCCCAGGCCGAGCGGGCGGCGCCGGCCCCAGGCGCGGAGGGTCCCGAGGCGCGGAGTGGGTGGGCCGAGGGGACGCCAGCCCCGCTCCCGGAAGCGGGGTCAGCGGGGAGGCCGGGGGTCGGCAGTGGCAAGCTCTGGCCACGGCGTAGGGGTGGGATAGCCACCCCCATTTCACAGATGGGGCTCCCGAGGCGCGGTGAGGTCTGGCAGCTGCTGGGGGCGCAGGCACGGCCCCCCGGGCGGGTGTAGCGGTCGCTTGGCGGGTGGGTCCGCAGGCCTCGCCGGGAGCCGGGCCTGGGTCTGGGGCGCTGGCAGGCCGGCCGGGAGGCGCGCCGGGCGGGAACGCGCAGCTCTGGCGGGAAGTGCGTGGGGTCGGGGGGCTCGGGCGGGGTGCAGGCTGCTGCTGCCACCGGGGAGGCCCGGGGGATGCCCTCACTAAGCGGCTCCAGAGACTGCGGGCCCCGCCCTGCCCTGCCACTCCCTCTCTTGTGACCTCGGCCAGTGGCAGCCTTTTCTGAGCCTGTCCCCTTCTCTGTAAACCTGGACGTGTTTGATCTACGCTCGCGTCCCGGCAGGAGGCTTCCAGCCTGCACATTCCTGGGGGCCCGCCTTCCCCAGGCACTAGCTTACCCAGGGCTGAGCTGCTGAACTCTGAAAACCTTTGGAAACCTCCCTGCCCTCTGCCCTAGCGACCTGCGGCTGGAGACCCTGAGCTGGCCCAGCCCTCTAGGGTGCCTAGGAGCCTAGGCTGGGTTGGGGGTGGCTTCAGGAACCTTGGGCTGCCGGGTGTGGGGTGAGAGCCTTGGCCCAGCTATGGCCAGGTGGGAGGTTTTCTTCCTCTGTGCTCTGGGTGCTGGGGCTGGAGGCGGTGGCTCTGCTGGGCTTCAGTGACAGCCAATGTGGGTAGACAGAGGACCATGCCCTGTGTCCCAGCAATTAGCTGCCCACCTGGGAAGGTTCTGGATGGGACTTGGCAGAAGCCTGAGCCGGCCCCTCCTGGCAGTCCTGGCTGAGCGGGCACCGAGCGCCTTATGCTGGTCCAGTCAGTTGGAGTGACTAAATTCACATCTGCCCAGACCTCACCCTGGGCTCCGGACCTCACCCCGGGCTCCAGCCTCACCCCGGGCTCCAGCCTCAGGCATCTCTGGATGTCCAAAAATAACCCCCACCCCCACCCGCACCCTCCCCGGCAGTCACTGGGGGTATTTCTGGCAGACGGAAGGGGACTCACAGTGGGAGGGAGGGTCATTTCTCTGAATCCAGGGCCAGGGGTGGGGAGGGACAGAGTCAAGGCCCTGCCTTGGCTTGGAGCTTTAAAAACACTCATTTCTTCTGGAACGCAGCCTCTCCCCAGTAAATCCTTCTCACCAGAGAAAACCATAGTCACCTACCTGGTGCTCACTTCTTGGGCAGCCCCTGCGGGGACCAGACCCCGGGTGGCCAGGCAGAGGGGTCCCCCCCACCCTGCGGGAGGCAGCCTGCTAATTCTGGGTGCCAAGGGTAAGGCTGCAGGTCCCTGTGCAGGACACCTGCTAGCTGCATCCCGTTTGGAGCCTGCCCTGGATGGGGCTCCATGGGCCCAGGGCGAGGCCAGGCAGAGACCGGCATGAGCAGCAGCCCGCACAGGAGCACCCTGGGCCCAGGGCAAGAGCCCATCGGCCAGTGGCAGACACTGGGTGAGGATCCCCGATGATTCGAGTCACACTGTGCTGGCCATGAGCGTCAACTGTTGGGCGCGCTGTACGGCCAACCCTGAGCCAGCTTTCCTGTACCTCCAGGCCCCTGTGCTACAGACGAGGCTCCGAGAGGTGGCGGCCTGCCCCATCTCAGGGCCAGAGGGCAGAGGGTGCGGTGGGCTGTCCCTGGGGCCCTTGCCCCTGCTGTTGAGCCCAGGAGCCTGAACCTGGGAGGCCTCCCCATCACCTCCCTGCCCCCTCCCAAATGACAGTGGCTCCTTGGCCGCCACCCCAGAGGTGAGGGGATAGCCCAAGGAAGCCAGGAGCTGCCCACACCCTCAGCCCAGGAACACCCGGTGCAGCTGCATGCGCCTCGCGGGCTTCTTTCCTGGCTGGGAGCCTGGACGCTGGGAGGGTTGCCCAAGGCCACCCAGGCAGCGGTCAGTCAGGGGTGCCTGGGCTGGACAGGGGGCCCTGGGTGTTTGGAACCAGCTCGCAGAGCTTTGCTGGAGCAGGTGCACGTGTGTGCGTGCATGTGAGCCCCACGTGCAGATGTGTGTCTCTGCGTGTCTCTCCGTACCTCTTCGTGTTCCTGTTCCCTTGTCTCCGGGTATCTGTCTGGCCCCCAGTGTGTGAGGCTGTGCGGATGAGTCTCCACATCCGTGTGTGTCTCATGCTCTGTGTGGAGCTGGTGTGTCAGGCCTGACCTGGACTACAAGGAGGTGTCTCTTTGAACCCAAGGCAGTGGACAAACATCAGACGCGTCGCCGTGGGCTGGGCCCCTGCCGTGTGGCATGCGTTCTGTCCTCACCCCACGTCCAGCGAGATGGGCTAACCTGCCCAAGGCCACACAGCCAGGAGCTTGGGGCCATCCAGTGTGGACATCCATTGTCCTTCAAGTCGTGGCCACCAAGGCCCCACGTGAGGCTCCCTGCTCCTCACCTGTCCTGGCTCTGTGTACAGGGGGAACCCAAGTCTGAGGGGTCTCCAGCAGGGAGAGGCTGCACTCCTGAGGCCCAGCCAGGGCCGGGTGAGTGCGGGGCAGCAGGTGTCAGCGGTGGGGGAGGTACGGGTGGGAAGCGGGGCCTCTTCCCTGACCCCCGCCACACTTGGCTGCCCCTCCACCTTTGATCACTGACCCTCCTCTGTCCCTCCAGGGACACTTTCCCGCCAGTGCTGGTGCTGGCTGGCCAAACAGTGTGGGAACCCAGGGACTGGCCTTCC
The DNA here is from genome assembly GCF_000001405.40 of Homo sapiens. Lineage (NCBI taxonomy): Eukaryota > Metazoa > Chordata > Mammalia > Primates > Hominidae > Homo > Homo sapiens. The sequence continues at coordinate 99,733,070 of NC_000014.9, forward strand.
TCCAGGCGGTGGCAGCCGGGGAGGGGCCTGGGCACACCGTGGGTGAGCAGTCACTGCAGAGCCTCCCCTGGGAAGTGGCATGATGCTGTGGTGTCTCAGGGAACCCAGGAAGGGCACTGGCTCTGGGCTGGGCCCCACAGGCATCAGTATATGTGTGCCCCTCCCTTTGCCCCATGCCCTTCCAATGACCCCAACTCCTGCCCGACCAGATTTCACACCACTGTCTGGCCATCTCGAACCATTCCTGGGTGCCCGAGCTCTTTCCCACCGCTAGGCCCATCTTATCCTATCCATCCCCATCCCCATTCCTCACTTCCCAGGTCTCTGTGTGGATGACTCTCAGAGGTCCTCGCTGACCACCTGCCCTTCCTTCCTGACCTCAGTTCCTTCACCAGCGCCCTCCACCCACAAGCCTGTGGGCCCTGAGAGGCTGCCCCCAGAGCTTGTTCAGGCCCCTGCAGCACCTGCCCCATCATGGTGACCGTGGAGTAGCTATTGAGACCAGCCAAATCACACATAGGTGAGCCCTCGGGGGCCAGCGGGCACACAAACTGTTGCAGCTTCAGGGTGAGCTGCAGGAGGCGCATCATGCACACACACACCCGACACGCAGACACACTCCCGCACGTGGACATCACAAGCTCCCATGGGCACACACACCCACACATTCTCACATGCACACGCACTCCCCCACACATGTGCCCGCTGCCATGCACCCGTGCACACACGTGCATCATCACACACGTTCACTTACACATCCTTGCATGCACACACTCTCCCACACGTGCCCACTGCACCTGTGTACGTGTCCCAGTGGACACACAGGCATCACACACACATCCACTTACACACATTCTTGCACATGTGCAGTGGCCTCAGGAGCAGGGGACTCTAGTTGTTTATCCCCAACACACGTTCCCATGATAAAGAAAACAGGAAGGGACTTGGAGCCAGACACAGGAAGGGGAAGTGGCCGGCCACAGGGAACCAGCTCCAGCCAGTGGACACTGGGCGGTCTGCTTGGGTGAGACACAGGGGCAGCCAGACAGATGGCCGCAGGGTGGGGAGCTGGAATGCCCCTCCGTGGCATCTTGCCCTGGTTTAATCTTCACCACAGCCCCAGTGGGCATCACCCCTTCTAGGCAAGAAACCGAGGCTGGGGCCAGGCTTGTGCCCGTCACCCAGGAGGGCTGCTGGAGCTGGGATTTGACCTGGGTTCACCTGACACCAGGCTCCTCCCAGCCCTGGTCCCGCAGCCCACTTGGGTGAAGGTGAGGCCTCTGTCGGGGAGGCGGGTGGTGTGGCGGGGCTCTTTTCTGCAGTGCCAGTTTGTCCAGCACCAAGATGCATCCCACACCTGTAGAACCCCGGGTTGGACTCTGGCAGTCTCATAGGGGTTCCTGGGGGGTCAGCACTGGCCCCCTCTGTCCCACAGCGTGCCCCTCCATCAGCCCAGCCCATCCCATCCCATCCCAGGGAGCCCAGAGCAAGGGTGACAGGAGTTGAGACCCGAGATGTGGCCACAGGCCCTGCCTGGCATTGACCCATGGGCCTGGGTGTGCCAGACAGCAGGCACTGAGAGGGGCCACAGTGTGTGAAGCCCATACAGCGGGGTGGGACCTAGGAGACAGGTCAGCCCCCAGTCCATGCCTCCCATTCCCTCCAGTGCCTGACACCAGCTGCCGCGCCAAGGCAAAGCAGAGGTGCCCAGCGAGGGACTCACGCCAGTCCTTCCCTGGTCACACCCCCTCCCCGGGGATACAGATGCCACCTGTGCATACCCGAAGTCTGCCAAGTGCCGCAGAGCTACCTCAGTTCAGCCCACAGCCGGGCAGGCGGGGCTCCTCCCACTTTGCAGGGGAAGACACTGGGCTTCTGTCTTTGCTGACCTGCACCCGATTTTCTCCCTGCCGCGCCCTCACCCCAGCCCAAGGCACAGAGCACCGTGGTTCCACCTCCGCCCCTCCCCCAGAGTTGTCCTGGAATCACACCTAGGGGATGCGGAGGGACGAGGGGAATTTTCGGGGTGGAGGAGACAGTTCCAGGGGAGGTCTGGCTTTGTCTTTCTCTTTTTTCTCTTAAAATTAAATTTTCAGTTAGGAGGAAAGAAAACTTCAGTTAGGAGGGACCCAAGATGGCCACCAGTCCTGGTTTGTCTGAAGCTGGTGGGGGGTCAGTTTCCAGGATCCATGGAGGACATTCAGGGCTAAAACAGGGGAAGTCCCAGGGAAACGGGACAAGTTGGTCACCTGGGAGGGACCCCACAGCCATTTAACCCTACATGATGCTTGAGCTCCCTCCGCTGTGTCCCCGCCCAGCAGCTGCGCAGCCCTGCTTGAATACCATCAGTGATGGTGAGTTCATTATCTGACAGGGCAGCAAGAGCCAACCAAGAGGGGGACACAGCCAGGACTAGGCACTGACCACAGTGAGGTCGGAGTTGGCAGAGTGGAGTGTGGGGCAAGGGAAAATGGAGCAGGGCCCCTGAGCTGCCTTTAGGGGCAGCCACAGCTTCCCACGGAAAGAGGAGGACAGAGAATTCCTAGGCCAAGGGAACAGCACAGGCAAATGCCTATACCATAGAGATTGAGTTCTTTCTCTCCGATGGCCAGTGCAGGGGTGAAGCGTGGAGGCTGTGACTTCACAGCCTTCTTCCCCACCCCACCCACAGATAGGGCTTCCTTTGGAAACATGGAGGCCTCGTCCTCCTGCCTTCACTCCCCAGGTCCCTGAGCCAGAAAAGGCCTCAGTGCAGATGGAAGAGCTGCCAGGATGCCCCAGCACGCTGCTCCACCCGCCTCTCATTTTCCTGAGGCTCATTAGTCCTCAGCACCAGCATCTGCCCCCTCCTCCAGGAAGCCTCCTCTGACTTCCCCAGCCCTGAGGCCTCCCCTGCCATAAGCATCATCCTTCTTCTCAGGCTTGCTGCCACCTCCAGCCCTGCCAGCGACCCCTGCCACCTCTAGCCCTGCCAGAGACCCCTGTAACTCTTCAGCCGGGCTTTCTCACCTCCACACCTGCTGGCTTCTCTTCCTAGAACACCCTCTATTCCCTTCAAAAAACTTTCTGGGCTGGGTGCGGTGGCTCATGCCTGTAATCCCAGCACTTTGGGAGGCCGAGGCACTTGGGGATCACTTGAGGTCAGGAGTTCAAGATCAGCTTGGCCAAACGTGGTGAAACCTTGTCTCTACTAAAAGTACAAAAATTAGCCGGGCATGGTGGCAGGTGCCTGTAATCCTAGCAACTCAGGAGGCTGAGGCAGGAGAATTGCTTGAACCTGGGAAGCGGAGGTTGCAGTGAGCCGAGATGGCGCCACTTGTACTCCAGCTGGGCAACAGCAAGACTCCATCTAAAAAAAAAAAAAAAAAAAAAAAAAAAAAAAACTTTCTGGGCTGAGCACAGTGGCTCATGCCTGTAATCCCAGCACTTTGGGAGGCCGAAGCACAAGGATTGCTTGAGCTCGGAGTTCAAGACCACCCAGAGCAACACGGTGAGACCCCCCCCCCGCCTACAAAAAATAGCTAAGTGTGGCAGCACAGACCTGTGTTCTCAGCTAGGGAGACTGAGGCGGGAGAATCACCTGAGCCCAGGAGGTTGAGGCTGCCGTGAGCTGTGATCATACCACTGCACCCCAGAGTGACCCTGTGGCAAAAAAAAAAAAAAAAAGAAAGAAAGAACTAACTTTATTTTCACTTAAAGATAATTCAAATGCCTGCTCTTCCAGGAAGCCCTCCTGGATCTCTCAGATTGAGTTTCTCTCCCTTCTCTTTAAGCCATTTCATTCCCTCTGGTCTCTGCATACAGAACTAGGTAGACCTAGGGCCTGGGGGGCCCAGCAAAGCCCAACCCTGGGGTGATGCCTCTGGGATCTCCAGCCCTTGGCTGGTCCTGCCCTGCACTTTGTGGGGACCAGGGGAGGGGCTGGATTGGCTCTGAGCCAGGTACACAAGAGCATACTAAGAGCTTGCTGGAGTGCATTCTTTCAACCAGTTTTTCCTGAGCACCCACACTCTGCCAGGACCACATGACTGCCCCTGGGGATCCTGTCTCCATCCCCTGTCGACCCCCAACACGTGGCACACTCAGCACACAGTAGATGCCCGAAGTGCTGGCTGCTTTTGGCCAAACAATCAAAGGCAAGGGACGGCCTTCCTGCAGCCTTGGAGACAGACAGCCTGGCTCCAGATCCTGCTCACGCCCCGTACTGACCCGGTGGCTTGGGTGGGTCCCTTAACCTCTCTGTGACATGGACATGATGGTCGCAGCAGCTCTGGAGAGCAGTGAGATGACAGGGGTGGCCACACTTCACATAACTGCTGGTCCCGGGCATGTACTCAGTGGTAGCATCACTTGTTATTCTCCTTCCCTAAATGTCCGTAAACGTCCCTTGCTGGCTGGGTGGAACCGTTCCCAAGGAAAGAGTGTACAGGCATTCCCAAGTCCCCAGGAGCTGGAGTCTTGGGGACTGACCAAGCACCTAAGGGTGCAGTGGCTTCTCAAGCAACATCCTGGGGCTGCCCCAGAGAGGCCCTGGGCGGGGGAGGGCAGTGCCCAGATTTATCCACCAATCGCACAGGCTGCTGGCACTGAGCACGTTCTTATCTGCCCAGCCCAGCATGGGGGGGTGGCCAGGCCGGCCGGGGCGGGACGCTGCCTGGGGCTGGACGCGGAGGAGCCCCAAGCCCTGCTGGGTGGGTGACAGCCGCTGAGGCTCTGAGTGACCCTGCAGGCTGGTGGCCAGCCGGCCGCCCATCTTCCACACCATGTCGGACGGCGAGGGCCCCTCCGCCGGTGAGTGGCAGCGCTATATTTACCCGCTGTGGCTCCGGTTGCAGAGCCAAGGCCGCCAGTCGCCGAGGGCACTGGGGCCCCCGCAGGCTGCAGGCAGCTGTGAGCTGGACCCCCTTCCTCCTTGCCCGACGCCTGGGGGGCCTGTGCCGCTGGAAGGGGGGAGCTTGACTTTCAAAGCTGGGTTCCGCCACACCCCCTGACTGCCCAGTGTAGCCAGTGCAGGAAGCTGTGCCTGATTCAAGCTCTCCTGGGGCTGGCAGCCGGGGCCAGAGCTGACCCAGGACAGAGGGGCAGGGGCTGCGACGGGACCCATGGGTGGGCTCAGGATGCCGTGGGCCACTGGAACCGCATGCAGACGAGTGTGTGTGAACACTTAACGGCGGGGGAGAGCACACAGCTTCCGTCTGATTCCCCAAGTCTGAGACCTCTGGGCGTTCTGAGTCCCTGGTCCGGCAGCACCAGGCAGGCCCTCTGTGTGCCCTCATATCCTCTAGGTTGAAAATGGCCAGCGACACAGGCAGGCAGAAGGGCGATCAGATTCTGGGGTCTGCCCACTGCCCTTTGCTCTGCCTGAGGCCAGAGGCTGTGGTGGGGACTGGCCACCTATGTGCCTGGCTGGCTGCCCCCGGCTCCTGCCAGTTACAGAGCCAGCCTTGGCGGAATGGGGGCTGGGGACGGCCAAATCCAGGGGGACTCTGGAGTCAGGCTGTCCAGGTTCAAATTCCAGTTATTTCACCTCCAGGCTGGGTGGTCTTGGGCAGGTAGCTTAACTTCTCTGAGCCTCCGTGTCCCCAGGTAAAAATGGAGACTGTGGTCCTAACCCCCCAATGGCTGTGAAAATTAAATTTATGATATTGTGTGAAAGCGCCTGTGGGTGCCTGGGGTGCACTGAGTGCTCAGGGCCCTGCGTGCTGGCAGCAGGTGGGCACCCTGGGCAGCAGATGGGCATCCCAGGCAGCCCAGGCAGCCAGGTCTGGCCTCCTCCAGCAGGGCCTCCTTCGTAAGCCACCGATTGTCGCTGGCACGTGGATTCCTTCTCCATAAAACCCCACCTCGGAGGCTCTCGGAACTCATCAGGGTCTCCTGGGGGGTGTGGGGCAGATCGTGGGTGACAGCACCCTGCAGATACCCTGTTACTAATGAACAGTGCCAGCGCCTTGGCCTGGCTGGGTAGGATTTGGAACAGAGCAAGTGAGAGTGTGAGAGTGTGTGTGTGTGTGTGTGTGTGTGTGAGAGAGAGAGACAGAGAGAGAGAGAGAGTGTGTGTGTGTGTGTGTGTGTGTGTGTGTGTGTGTTGGGGAGGGGTACATTGACAGAAGGGGCCTGACCTCACCCTCTTCCACTGGGTGCCAGTTGTCCTGGCTGCCAGAAATTGCCCGCCGGGGCTGCGGGAGCCCCGGGAGCCAGCAGACAGCTCTTTCTGGCTGGCCCTGCCCCACACCTGACGCTAACCCGGAATAGCTCTCCCTCTCCACCAGGGACATGGCCCTGGTTTTAGCAGTTTGTAAAGCCACCCGCATGGAGATGGGTATTTCAGGAAGGCCAGGACAATATTTAGCCCGTCGGAGCAAAGGAATGGGCACTGAGCATGCACGTGTGTGCGCAGCCTGGAGGCTGGGAGGTGACGTGGGCCTCACCATCCCTTCCCCATCTAGGAGAGGGTCAGCCCAGTTGGGTTGGGAGGTGGGGCTTGGATTCCAGGCTGGCTCTGTCTGCCCTGGTGGGCAGGTGGCCCTGGGCAGGCTCCAGGCTTGGTTTTCCCATCTATAGAATGCCACGTGACGGTCTTTTGTCTCTAATATGTGGGTTTGAAGTTGAACTTGGCTGGCAGGAGTAAAGGCGGCATCTTGGTGCAGGAAGGTATATTTACTTATGGGTAGAAGGGGGTCTTCTGGAGCACACAGTGTGAAGTTCAGGCCTTTCTAGGATTCCTGCCCGGCAGCAACCAGTGGTTGCTCCAAGGACACTGCTCTGAAATATTTTCACCTGTTTTCAGTAACCGATCCCCAAGCCGTGTCGGCAGTGGGAACATTCTCAGCTCTCCACTCGTGACTGGTGTGACCTAGGGCAGACTATTCAAGGGCACTGTGCCTCAGTTTCCCCATCCATTAGGTGGGGACAATACTGGGACATTAACTCCTCAACGTGCACTAAGGATTAAATGGCTAACAGCATGTAACACACCTAAAATAACGCCAGGCTTATTGTTAGTGGTTATAGCTCTTATTATTTCACCAATACATAAGCAACCTAGAGAGGGAGATGAGGGGAGCAGAGGACCCACTGTGTCCTGGACACACTGTTTTGTTTATTACCTGGAGGTGGGGGCTATCAGCTCCACCGTGTAACTAAGAACACTGAAGCTCAGAGAGGCACATGTGAGGTCACCCAGCTGGTCAATGGCAGAGCAGGGATTCGAACCCAGTTCCTCAGACCCTGTTAGCACAGAAGCCAGGTTAGGCCCCTCTTCCCGGGAGTCCCACCTGCACACCCAAGGAGGGCGAGGCTGGCTATTTTGTGGGGCTTTTTGGCTTGCACCTGAAGAAGCAGCTCTCATTTCAGGGTTGGCTAGCTCAACATTGCCTCCAATAGCTTGCAACCTGTAGAGAAAAACATAGTGCCTTGTTAGGGTGTCAGGAAAATTCTGCAGAGCAGGAGCACAGCAGGAGGTGGCCGGCCCCTGGATTTATGGCCCTGTGCCTGGGTGGGTGAGCCGGAGCTAAGGTTACCCGGGAGTCAGCACCGTATTTATAGCAGGAACTCTCCTGCATCAAGTACCGGCCCACACACCACGGCCAGCAAAGGCGCTTCCTTTACAGTTGCCTGCATTCTAGGCTTGGCTCTGTCTCTTCGGGGCAGAGTCACGTCACCTTTCTAAGCCTCAGTTTCTTCATCTTTAAAATGGGGGGTTCGTCAATTCTCTCACTGGGTCTGGAAATAGGATCTGTAAGTGCTTGGCACCTGCCTGGCATAGATGGGGCCTCAGAAGATGCTGGCTCTACACATCCTGGGTCTGTTGATTGTCTTTTCCTGCCTTTGACCTTGTGATTTACCCATCTCCGTCCTGGCCAGAATCTGCAGGAAGAGAATCCAGGTCTCTGTGCTGTAAGCTGCACCCATGCTTGGGAAAGTTTCCAGCAAAGCAACTTTACAATCCTAAGCACCGAAGAGCAGGCTGTTCTGTTTTCAGCAGAGCAATGAATGCAGGTCCATCAGAGACCAGGGTTCAAATCCCAGCTCTACCACTCCCTAGCTCTGTGGCCTCGGGTGAGTCACTTAACTTCTGTGAGCCTCTGTGACAGATGGGCATTTGCCCTGCTGCAGCAGGTATGGTAAGGACAGGCCTCTAACCTGCAGAAGTGTTCAGCCAGCAGAGTGACCCTGTCTCTCCTCCTGTGTAACCTTCCGCCAGTCCCACTGCCCTGCTCTGGGCCACAGTCACCCTGTTCGTGTGTTGAGACATGGCTGCCCTTGCTGGTGCGTTTTGTAAGTGCGTGTGCTGGGAAGTTGTTCCCCCGTCTTTATCACCTCCCCCAATGCCCTGCAGCTTCTGATTCTCACCAAGACATTCAGCTGGGTGAGCTGACAGATCCCTGGTGTCCCCAAAAGGCCCCCAAGTACTTGGCTCTCCAAGTACCTCTCTCTGCCTGAAGTCAAGGATGGTTTTCCAAGCATAGGGCCTGCAAACATTAGTGGGGCCACCCAACTGCTCACTCAATTCTCCCTGGCATCCCAGAACCCAGACAGCACCCCAGCTTTTTGCGCCCACCCCCCCCCAGACCTCACAGTGGGCCCCTCACCAGGGACCAGGGCAGCGTCCACCTTCTCTTCCTGTCCCAGCCACCCCCAGCTCTCACCTCAGTTTCTCCTAGAAGGCCTCGCCCCCCAATTTATGCCATCCCAGTCCCCAAGGAGGTCGCACTGCTCTCTGAGGTGGGGGGGCCTGGCGTGGTGTCCCTTCCCTGGATTTCAGGGCAGACAAGTGCTGGAAAGGGTATGAGATGCCTGGAGTGGCCCTGGGATATGGGAACACCTCTGAGATGACCTGGTGAATCGTGCCAACGTGGCCCCCTGCCCTGCTCGTAGGAGTCCCGAGCTGTTGGATGCTACAGGCCTGTCTAGGGGCAGTGGGAGCCTTTGGTGCTGAGTGACCCAGGGCAGCCCTCCTTCGTGTGTGACCTCAGAGAGGTTAAGTATTAGCCATCCACAGGCCAGCACACGGCTCTGGACACATGTCCCGAGTTCTGACATCAAGTACCCCCCACCTCAGCCCCTGTGAAGGGCTGGGCCTGCCTGGGTCTCTCTGAGGGTCCAAGCCAGACTCCATGCCCTGTGCCTTCTGGGTGCCTGCACATAGGGTGGTGGCAGGGCATGAGTCCCTGAGGAGCAAGAGGTGGTTTTATGTGACGTCAGTGGTTGCCAAGGCTGGAGGCAGCAAGTGGCCTGGGTTTTCACTGGGTTTATGGTTACTGGCCAGTTCATCCCTTGGGGATAGGGAGCCAGTGAAGGCTCTGGAGCTGGGGATGGAGAAGGTACATGGCTTGCTTCAGTGCAGTGGGTGGAGGAATTGGAAGGAGGATCTGGAGGCCCAGAGGCCAAGGAGGAGGCTGGTGAGATGGTCCTGGGGAGAAAGGGTGAGGTCCACACAGAAGAGGAGGGACCCGGAGGAGGGCACAGGGAGATCTGGCAACTGCTGGGGCTGGGGTGCTGGGACGGTGCAGTGGAGGCTGAGCCTGATACTGCCGCCCCTATTAGGAGGGCCCAAAGGACATACTGTCACTTTCAGGGCTCCATGGGGTGACCTGGCAGTGTTTCAGGGCTCAACTGTAAAACTTGTGGAGTGCGTGGAGGGCTGGGTAAGATCCGAGCCCCATGTGCCCTGGCCCTGGACACAGGCAGGTCCCTCTCCTCTCCGAGCCTCGGCGGTCTCATCTGTAAAGTAGAGGTGACACCATAAGCTCAGGGGTGTCATGGGTATTGGACGGGATGACTCCTTTTAACTCCTTATGAACTGTGGGGCACAAGGGAAGTGTGGGTGATCTCCAGGCATGAACCTTTGAACAGCACCGCAAGTGTGCCGGGCACCTGTGATATTGACACCAAGAAGGACTCAACCTCAGCAGCATCCAGCGACCTCTCACGAGAGGCTGGGCACCGGGTGGGGACATGCAGGAGGAATCCGCAGTTGGGAAGTCCCCCTTCAGTGCCCCTCACGGCGCCCCTACGTTGAGGTTCACACCGCACTCCCAACCCATGGGATCTCCATGTTATGGAGCAGGGGAAACTGAGGCCCAAGAGAAAGAGAGACTGGCTCAGTCACCCAGCGAGGGCATGGTGAGCTGGGGCTCAGGCTGGATTCCCAGGCACAGGTCGAGCCCCTCCAGCACTTTTGCTGAGGTGTCTCCTACTTGTCCCATCGTCCAGGCTCAGTGGAGGCCTGCCTCCTCCAGGGACCCTTCCCTGAGTTCTGCAGCCCCTGGGGACCCTGCACCCTTGGAGCACCCATGCCCTGCTACCCTTCTTGGATAGTAGCTTCGAGTGGCACCACCCCAGACCACTGCCCTTCTCACAGAAGTTACGAGCTGTGGGATGTTGTTAGGCATGTCCAGGTGCGGCTGGATCCTTCAGTACTGTGCGATCCAGGACAGGCCCCCTTCCGTGTGCGGCCTGAGAGATGCTGATTTGTTAGCACCCACCCGCTTATCTGTTATCCATCCACAGGCCAGCACGTGGCTCTGCACATGCATCCCAAGTCCCGACATCAGGCAGGGCCCCGGTACCTTCTCAGCCCTGCACTCACTCGGCACACGAACCTCCAGGCAGCAAATGAATACATTCACATGACTGGGGGCCCCACGCCAGTGTCGGAAGTACCCTCGCAGGCTTTTTCATCTATGACAAGAGATGCAGGTTAGAAAGGCAACTCGGAAAGGAAAGCTATCCACTTCTGTTCTTTTAAAGTATTGGGTCAATTCTAAGGGAGCATTCTTGAGATAGCAAGATAGATTTTATTTTTTATTTATCATGTTTTTAAAACAAAAGCTTTAAAATAAAAAAACAGCTAATGGTTGCAAATGCTAACAGCTTTTGCATTTAGCATTTGCAACCATTTCACTATTTTTTTTCTTGAAATTCACAGTCAAAATAAAATATAGAAACCAGTTGCTGAGGTGGGTAAAAGGTCGCCCATAGACACCCATTTCAAATTTCCAATTTTTGCACTTTGATTTCAAAATTTTGCCTTCATCAAAACAGCCTCTTTGGTTATTTTGTTTCTTACTCTTTTTTTACATAAGTCAGAATGGGATCGGGATGCTCCAGAATAAACAAATCTCAATGGCTCAATACCACAAAGGTACACTTCTACCTTATAAAAAGACCACTGCAGGTCTGGTGACCCCCTCCCTGCTCCCAGGGCAGGTCCCTACACGGTGACCCAGTGTGATGCTTCCATAAAGACCAATGTTTTCCCAGTCACTGCAGCCAGCCAAGAGAGAGATGGCGACACAGCACCAGTTAAATGCACCCACCGGGAAGTAACCCACCTTGCCACAGCCAAAGTTTCACTGGCTACAGCAAGCCACATGGGCACACCAAATGGCCAGAGGACAGAGTGTGTCTCTCCATTAGGAACAGCAGTAATGTCTGCACCCCTTTCATTGAGTTTTTTTCCCCCGAATTGACCGTCTGTTTCTTTGTTTGTTTTTCAAGTAATCCATTTTAATTATGAAATAGAGCACATTGTGTGAGCTGTGGTCAACAGGTATCCAAAATGTAAATCATGTGATTTCCAATATGCAAATCATAACGCCAGGGGCAAGACTTTTCAAAACATCGCTCCCTCCCACGGAGTTGCATTTGCATTTTAAAGCACGAAAATAAATTTCTGAATGATTCGGTCATCACCTCCAGCGAGGAAAAGCATAACCAAGAAAAACCTTAGCCAGAAATATCTTTTGACTTTTTATTTGCTGAGGTACAAAAGAGGGTGTTGGAATGAGTAGGCTGTGGAATCCGTTTATTCAGTGTAATCCACAGATCCGAAAACTGAGATAGGAGTTTAGAAGGAAATGATTTTTGAATAATACTGGGGGAAATGATGAGAAGAGCGTGTTTTCTTCACTCTAATACAGATATGCACTCTCTCTTTGATTCTATGACACCATTAAAGAGAAGCTGTGTCATCAGTTTAGTAGCTGGTTCTCCCAGTTGACTTTTTTTTTTGAGACAGACTCTTGCTCTGTCACCCAGGCTTGAGTGCAGTGGCACATCTCGGCTCACTGCAACCTCTGCCTCCCGGGTTTAAGCGATTCTCCTGACTCAGCCTCCCAAGTAGCTGGGACTACATGCATGCGCCACCACACCTGGCTAATTTTTGTATTTTTGGTAGAGACGAGGTTTCACCATGTTGCCCAGTCTGGTCTCAAACTTCTGACCTCAAATTATCCGCCTGCTTCGGCCTCCCAAAGTGCTGAGATCACAGGCATGAGCCATCATCCGGCCCCAAATGACTTTTAATGGTGGGCGTGTACATACACATATGGCACACACACACGCACACACTATGAAACACATTTAAATAAAACTTTACAGTATAACAGAGGGCTGTGGCCACACACATCACACATTGCTTTGTATGAGATAAGATCTGGTTTAAAAATAATGTTTGCAAAGACTAGAGGTTGCCTACGAACCCTGTCATAAGAGTCAGTGAATCAACTTGGATTGCTAGAAATAAAACCAGAATTGGACCTGATACTGCTGAGCTCCGTTTGGGGGGTCAGACATTCCTGCAGTATTCAGCTCTGTGGTCCACCCTCGAGGCCAAACTGTTTAGAGAACTCTCTACCAAGTTTAAACACATCTTTTAGGAATCCTGCCTCATTTATTTTGGGTGGAAAAACATGTCAAGTGCTGGTGCTGGAGCAGAAAACATCCTTCCTGCCACTTCTCGCTCATAGTCTGAGTTAACCTCTGACTCTGTGGACGCTTACTGAGCCTGTGCTGTGTGCATGGTGTACTGCCAGGCACTGTGGTTTGAGGCTAGAGCAGGGAATTCAGCCAGCCTTGGGTCTCCCCTTGTGGGATTTGCCTCTCCAGCCCACTCTGGTGTCCTTGTCCTTAGGGTTAATAGACTGAGGTTACTGGTGGACTAAACAAGAATGTATACAGTAGGCACTGAAAAATGGCGGCTCCCCCTCCCCTAGGCCCTTTCACACACTCAGTTCCACATGACGCCCCCTTTAACCTATGTAGTCAATGTTATCATTCCATTTTATAGACGAGCAAATGGAGATTTAGAGAAATGGAGTGGCTTGCCCAAGGTCACACAGGGAGTAACTGAGACAGATGGGACTGAGACAGGTGCGCTGTCCCCAACCTGGGGTCACCCACCTCAGGAGGGTCAGAAAAGTGGCACTCTTTTCCAAAGAAGGGAGCTGGGTGTGGCGGTGGCTTGGGGGAAGGGCCTTTATCAGGACCCAAGCCCAGCAATCCCCTCTGAACTTTTCGGGAGGAGGGAGAGGTCTCAGGGGGCACCTATGTTTGGAGCCTGGATGGAGGCTTGGCCCTGAGCCCAGCTATGTGGCGGAAGCACTAGCTTCAGGCAAGCCCTTTGCCTCTGGGGAGGTTTCCACAGGATGGGGTGGGGGCGGATGTGCAGCATGAAGAGAAACAGGAGTCTTCCTTGTAGCAGAAGCCGAGGACTCAGGAGGTGCCGCCTAAGCCCCAGCATCTCTCTGGAGTGGTTTCCTGCTCGCCCGGGGACAACAGCCAAAGCCTGGTGCCCCGGCTCTACCCCATGGGCAGAGCTGGCTCAGTCGCACCCCACGCCCTGGGCCCCCTCCACGCAGCCCAGGGCCTCACACCATCCCCATTCTGCTGCTGGTGGATGCTTCTGTCAACTTCATGCCTAAGAAGGCTGGCTGAGGCTGGCATAGAGCCTTGTCCTGTGTCCCCACCCCTCGAGCAGGGCTCCTCCCACCCAGGGCTCCCAGTTCTTCCTGGGGAGAGAAGCCCAAGTGGCCGGGTGCTCTGGTTTGTTGAGCATCTGCCGCGCCCTGCCCTGGGCGGCTCCTCCGCACTCCTGTTTGCTATCCTGTGCTTGCCTCCGCTCTATCGGGCGCTGTGCCCCATCTCACAAGGCCAGATACCCAGGATAAGCATGACTAAGGAGGTAGAAAAACAACCACCACCCGGGCACCTGTAGTCCCAGCTACTCAGAAGGCTGAGGGAGGAGAATGGCGTGAACCCAGGAGGTGGAGCTTGCAGTGAGCCGAGATAGCGCCACTGCACTCCAGCCTTGGTGGCAGAGCTAGACCCCGTCTCAAAAAAAAAAAAAAAAAAAGGAAGAAAAGAAAAACAGTCACCACCTCTGGAAAAAAAATCATGAGCTCCGAACTCCCCTGGAAATGTATAGAAATGGCGAGGAGGGCACTGCGCATTCTTCCAGGCCTGGACCAAGGGACCAGCCTCTGGCCCAGGAGAAAGGCAGGCCCGGGGTGGCACAGATCGGCTCCAGATGTACAGGGCACATTTGGGGAATGGCAGCTGTCTGGCCTGATGGGGGGCAGGGGTCTGAGGGGGAAGGAGAAACTCTATCCTAAAGTGGGTTTGGGGCCACCTCGGTTGCCCAGTTGGGGGGTGGCATGTTGGGTAGACAGTGGAGAAGGGTGGATGTCCTATGGGTGAGGGGCTGTCAGAGACCCAAGGAACATCCTTTCTGTGTCTATTCATGTCTCATTCACCAAACCCAGGTCTGCACTGCACCAGGGCTGGGCTGCGCCTTAGGAATTCATGGGGCGAGCAGGGTGAGCTTCAGGGTCAGGCTTGGGCCCGCTTCTTATCTACTCTCTGCAGGGGCTCGGAGTAAGGACACCTGCCAGTCACTGGGAGGCCTGAGTGGAAGCCACCAAGCCCACCCCTGGCCACACGGGGACTTGGTGCTGCCCCAGGGGTCCCGCTGCAGGGTCAGCAATGCACGGGAAGGGGCCTCATCTCACCTTAGACACTTGGAAAGCCACCCCCTCCTGGACTTTCTTCCTTTTCTTTCCATCTTGAAACACTGAGCTGGTTGAGAGAGGGTAAAGACTTGGCAATGACCGAAAACCAGGGATGAGGTGCCCTAAAGAGGTTCCCTTAGGGCCGACAGCTGTGACATCCATGAGATCATGCGTGCCTGGGTGCCTGGGAGGAGCCCCACTCACTGCCAAGGCGGAATTCGCCCGGGATGCCCGGGCAGGAGGTGTGGCTGCAGCCAGGATTCCCGGGGCCCTGCAGGGTCTGTCAGGTGACCCTAGCTAAGAGCCTGTCACAGGGATGGCATCGCTGCTCTGGGAAAGCCCCTGCCCGCAGCCCCAGGACAGCCCCTGCCCGCAGCCCCAGGCCTGCCCACTCAGAGCATGTGGGGTCCTGGGATCCGGAGCTTGCCCCGAGGCTGCGGGAATATGTGGGGTGAGTGGTACTCACGTTTCTCCCCGGTTTCTGGGAGGAAAAGGGAGGGGCCAGCGATGCTCAAGGCTGCAGCTTTATAGAAAGTGTCCTGGGTTCCAATCCTGGCTTTGTTATCTTTTTTTTTTTGTCTCAGTGACACCTTTGTTGAGATGTATTATATAATTCACACATTTAGACCCAGCGCAGTGACTCACACCTGCAATCCCAGCACTTTGGGAGGCCAAGGCAGGAGGATCCCTTGAGTCCAGGAGTTCAAGACCAGCCTGTGCAACAAGTTCAAGGCTGTAGTGAGTCATGATCGCTCCACTGCACTCCAGCCTGGGCAACAGAGCGAGACCCTGTCTCAAAAAAAAGAAAGAAACTAAAAATAAATAAATCACACATTTAAAAGTATATATCCAGTGGTTGTTAGTATATTCAGAGTTGTGCAACCATCACCACAATCAAATTTAGAACACTTCCGTCGTCCACGGAAAAATCCAATACCCATTAGTAGCGACCCCTTCTAGCTTCCTCCCCACAGCCCTTGGCAAACACTCGTCCACTTTGTTTCTGTAGATTTGCGTATTCTGCATTTTTCATATGAGTGGAATCCTGTAACACGTGGCCTTTTGTGCCTGGATTCTCTCGCTTAGGAAACATTTTTGGGTTCATTCGTGTTGGAGCCTGTATCCATCTTCATTCATTCCTATTGCCGATTAATACCCCAGCATATGGATATACCATGTTTCACTCGTCTGTTCACCAGTGGACGGGCATTTGGGTTATTTCCACGCTTTGGCCATGATGAGTAACGCTGCTATGAACACTCGTGTACCAGTTTCTGTGTGAACATCTGTTTTCATTTCCCCTGGGTGCACACCGGGAAGCGGGATCGCCGGATCATACGGTGACTCTATGTTGAGCATTTTGAGGAACCGCCAGGCTGTTTCCAGCGGTGGCTGCGCCATTTTCCCTTCCCACCTGCGGGGCATGCTGGCTCTGACTCCTCACATCTTCACCGGCACCTGTTACTGTCTTCTCGCCCCCCCAGCCATCCTAGTGGTGTGAAGTGGTATCTCACTGAGGTTTTCATTTGCATTTCCCTAGTGTCCAATGGTGCTGAGCATTTTTTCACGTGCTTATTGGGCACCACCTCTTGGCTTTGCCACCTTAAGTCTCGGTTTTCATATCTGTAAAATGGGGACAATGACAGCACCTGCCTCACAGACTGTGATGAGGGCTCAGTGAGATAATGTCAGGGTCCTGGGACATTTGCTGCTTGAAGCTGCAGGCTGGGGTTAGGGTCCTTCCTCTGAAAGCTGGTATGAGGGAGGGACATGGAGAAAGCTGGAAGCCTGGAGGTTTCTGTGAGCCCCAAACCCATGTAGACAGGGACAAACATCAGTAGCGAGGGAGCTGACTTACCAGCCCAGCCCTGGGTGATTTCTGCTGGAGCTCTGATGCTCTGCTGTTCTGCGGCAGGCCGAGTGACCCCGACATGTCTACACAGCCCCAGTGAAATGCAGATGGCACACGTTCAATGCAGACAGGCTCAGCCCATCACATGGGCTTCTAATTTTTCTCATGGGGAATTATTGGGCCTCTGCCCCTTGGCTGCTCCCCGATGGGGTGACATCGTGCTCCTTGGACTTGCTGTGACCGGCTTTGCCAAGCTTGTGTCTGTCAGTGGAGAGCTCTGGAAGGCAGCCAGGAGTGTCCTCCCGCGAGGTTGGCTCTTTCTGCCCCTTATCAGGGAACTTCTGGTGGAGGTGCCGATGGTCAGGCCGATTGTGTGGCCGTCACCTGAGCCTGGAGCCAGGCGGGAGGTAAGGGAGTACCACCAGCCTGTCACGGGTGGAAAACAAATCCATCTCTAACAGCAGGCTCACTAGGTTGCCCCGGAGGGAACAATTCACGTTCCATGCTGGAATCCCGTGGGAGAAGAGCGGAGAGGCTCCCCTGGTGGCCCCCGGATGTTCAGTTGAGTCTGCAGTCTGGGAAAAGCAGGTCAGATGCGATGAGGACTCCAGGCTCCAGGGAGAGGTGCTGGCAGCACATGGGGGCAGGTGGGGGTCCCAGGCTGTTTCTGGGCCCTGCTGCTATGTCCTCACCCAGCTGGGGCCACAGTAGAAAGTCAGGGAGGGGAGCATGACTGAGGAATCAGACAGATTGCTTTGGCATTCAAGCTCGCCACCAAGTGCTGTGTGATCTTTGCAAGTCAGATAACCTCTCTGGGCCTTTGTATCCTTGTGTGCAAAACAAAGCTGATGACACCTTATAGGGTGCTTGCTACACATGAACTATCACCCGTATTCAAGGGCACAGTGGGGGGATCAGGGTGGGCTTTCATTTTAGGTCGAGTCCCCTGAAAAGCAGAGCTTCTATTCCATGGATGTGGCCTCCTAAGACAGTCACTCAGGAGAAAGCTGTGAAGGAGGGAGGAAGGCAGGATGGGTTCTAGGTGGAGTCCAGCTTGATTTTGTTCATAGTCACCTCCACCACCCCGAGTCTAACCCGATCGCCCCTCAGTTCAGGGCTTCGACCTCTGCCCTTGAAGGAAGCATCCATGGAAGGCTGGGGTGGCCTGGGGGAGAGGTCTCCCTGCTCAGAAGCCAGAGCCTGGCTCAGAGACGATGCTCCACAGGCATTAGCTCCCTCGCCTTCCACCTCCAGGCCTCGGTTTCCCCCCCTGTGAAATGAACTGGCTGGAGCAAATGTTTTTAAAGACCTTCCAGTGTAGTAATAGCCTCTTTTCTTAAAAAAGAAAATTAAAAGAAACTACCCAAGCAATCATTCCCTTAGCCACCCATCACATCCCAAGCACCTACTGCTAGCCAGGCCACTGCTGGGTCCTGGGGTACAGAGGACAGTCTGCCCCTCACCTGCCTCCAGGAGCTCACAGCAGATGGACAAGCAGACGGACAATGAGAGCCCCGTGTGCCATGTACTGTGACCTGAGAACCACAGGGGGGTGGGCAGGGCAGCCTTCCTGGAGGAGTAGCCCTGAGTCAGGTCTTGAGGCACAAGTGGGAGGTAACAAGGGGCCACTGCATGGAGGGTCCTGGGTGACCCAGCACGGAAGCAGAGGCAGCAGCAGCTGCTGAATGGTCAATCAGCCATTCGACTAACATTTACTGATCAGCTGCAGACAAAGATGACAGTATGATTCCCGTCCTTGGGGGCAGACTCTTGGAGCAGGGGAGGTGTCATGCAGAAAACGGACAAGATAAATACAAAGCCCATAGTGTGTGTGATGGTAAGGAGGGTGCTAAGGATGGGGTATCGTGAATCAGGGACGGGGTGTCAGAACAGGGCTATGGAGAGAGGCCTGGATACTCGAGAAGGACCTCAGGGATGTGAAAGACCGGGCCATGGAGCTTCTGAGAAAAGGGTGTTCCTGGCAGAAGAGGCAGCTGGTGCAAAGGCCCTGAGTTGAGAGTGTCTGGTCTTTTCAAGGAAGAGCAGCAAGGTCAGTTTGGGCAGAGTGAACCCCAGAACCGGGGCGGAAGACGAGCTTAGACAGGAGGGGTTGGGAAGACCCACAGGGGTCTATCTGCAGTCTGAAAAGGATATTGGTATTGACCCTGGGTGAGAAGGGAGCCAGGGAGGGTTTTGGGCAGAGGAGTGACAGGACCTCACATCCGTTTTACGGGCACGTGGCAGCAGGAGGGAATGTTCATTCTCAGCGAGTCTGAGCATCAGAAGATAAGAGGAGGCAAACCCAAGGCCGTTTTGCCAGCCCTTGCTGGAGGCATCCATCACAGCGCCCCAGATGCCGTTACTCCAGAGACACCGTTAATCGCCCCACCGCGCAGGGCTGATGTTTAATATGCCATCAGCTGGCTTTCTTGGTTCAAACACACTGAGAGCTCCCAGTTCTTTGCCTCGAGACAGCACCAGCAGCATAGCCCCCAGAGAAGCATTTCCCTTCTTATGTACCCAGGAGGACACTCGAAATTCCAAGTCCTTGTCCCTAGATTCCCCCAAGGCAAGGTCTGGAAATGATGACACACACCCACAGTCCTACACACATAAACACACTCTCAGACACACTCATCACCAACGCCAGGGTCGCCGGGCGGAATGCAGGACGTCCAGCTGAATTTGAATTTCAGATAAACAACAACTGTTTTGTGGAAGTGGAAGCATGTCCCAAATATTGCTCCTTCTTGGCAGCTAAGGAATCTCCCCTGAATTGCCCCTACACCCCAGCACCTCCAGGCCAGCAGAAAGTGTCCTGGTCCCCTGGGTGCAGGAAGGCTGTGCCCAAGGAGCCAGCTGCCTGCTGAGGTGCCCCCTGGGGAGAGGGTGCTGTCCCAGGGAAGCAGTGCCTGCCTTGGGGCTTGGGACTCAGCTGCCGCCACGGGGCCTCCAGACCCTGACCCTTGGTAGCTGGTAAACCACAGCTTTCAGGGGCCAATGGTCTTCCTGTGTGGCTTCCCAGCCCCCTTTAAGGAAGTGATTTATGGCTCTGAGAAAACAGGGTCAGTCGGGAGGAAGCACAGGGGGCCTGGTTTCCTTTAGAAAATACACATTAAAAAATACACAGTTTTAAACAGCAGGTTTTTTTTTAATGATGAAACCTGAATAAGGAAACAAACGCTACACTGTATGAATCAGGAAAGAACTATCCCAGGAAGCTGGAAGGCAGGGCGTGCAATGAAAGAACGAGGCCTCTGACTTGAGGCAGCCCTGGCTTTTATTCCCCGCCCTGGCATCTATGGGCAAGTGGCTGCACCTGGCCCAGCCTCAGTTTCCCTCAGGATAGCCATAAGAGGGAAGCAGCGAAGCCGGCACAGTGGGCAGGACACATGTGGAGGGGTCTTGCAAAGACACCTGAGGTTGATGCCTCATCCCGCAGGGAAGCAGCCGCAGCCCCCACCCCCCTACCCGCACCCCCCGCCCCCCCGCCGCCCCCCCACCCCCCACTGCCCCCGCACCTGCTTTCCGAGGGGCATTTCATCTCCACCCAGTGGCCATGGTTGGCGCTTCAGCTAACAAGACACTTCAGGGGGAAGTCCTCATTGCAATTAAGTCCGAACCTCCTGGCCTGGTAATGCTGGCCCTCCCTGGGGGGTCAAGCGGATCCCTGTGGGCCCCTCCGGCCTCCCTGCCCAGGACCCGCCCTCACCTCCACAGCCCAGGCAGATGGATTCTCCACACACTGCTCAGTGTTTCTCACCTGGTGCCTGTCAGCACCCATCTCCCTTCCTGGAACACCTTGTGGTCCCCAGCAAAGCCCTCCTTCACTCCCTCTACTCCCTCCCTGGCAGGGAGGGGCCTCCTCTGTATGGTGACAGCCAGTAAGTAGCCTCCATCGCTCGTGAGGTCCGTGTCTGCGTCTGCCTGATAGACGGTGAGCGTCTGAGGGCAGGGTCGGTGTCTGAGTCATCTCTACCCCAGCCCTGGCACATAGTAGGTGCTCAGTGGGGGTCTTGCTATTTCTCTGTTGCTGCTTGTTGCCATTCTTCCTTTAGAAAGTGCTTAGGGAAAATTGCTGTCTGCAAGGCTGCTTACAAAAACCATCCTGTTTTCTCTTCCCCACAACCGCATCAGCTAGGTGGTATTATCATCCCCAGTGTACGGACCAGGAGATGGAGGCTCAGAGTGGATCATCACACAGCTACTCCATGGAGGCAGAGGCTCCACTGCTAGGCTGCCAGGTGGCAAAGCCAGAGGGCTTTCCAACAAGGGCCCCCCACCCCAGGTCTGTGTCTAAGACCCTCATTGGCTCTGCTGCTGCATCACTGGCAGCTCCTGGATAAATCCTTCCCCTCTCTGGGACTCAGTTTCCTGATCTGTGAAATGGGGGAAGCTGCAGTTGCTGATCTCTAAAGTGGCTCAACCCTGGGTTGCGAGGACACAGACGTTGCTGGCCTTTGTTGGACCCCTGGCATCCCTGGAGTGCCAGCCTTCTGAAGATGTTTATCTGTCCCAGCACTAAGCTGCTTCTTGTGACATCATCTTAATCCTGTCTCAGGCGGTGACATCACCAGCTTGGCGGGGTCGGCCAGGGCAAGGAGGGGGCCCCATCTCCCAGCCTGGCATGCCACCTCCCCTGCCCCCTGCCTCCCCCCACGGTGGCACGCATGGCGTTTGAAGCTATGGGAGTCCTCTGGGGGTGCAAAGGGCTCCACCAGACCTCTGGGTGGGGCCGTGACTCCCAGACCAGCCTGCCTGGCTCCCTGTGTGGGAGGAGTAGGTTACAGACGGACCTCCCAGGACCCACTTTGGTGGTCTTGAATTTTGGTTCTCTGCTTTCAACTTCTGTTTGACTCAACTGTACAGCTGGAGATAGAGGCGTGGGCAGGCAGGGTTTGCATGCATCAACTCACTTCTTCCGAGTTTTGTTTTGAGGACAAATGAGTCAGCTTGGCACCCCGGCACAGGGCAGAGAGCACTGGCAAAGCCCTCTACCAGCTGCGTTATCTCAGCACGTCTCTCAGCCTCGCCAAGCCTCAGTTTCCTCACCTATAACGTGGGATGAGGACTATGGAGCCCACGCAGTGCTGGAGAAACTTCTCCAGGTCATGCCTGTGAAGCTTGGCCTGAGAGAGGGGCTCAGAGGAGCTGTTGCCTCCCCCGCCCCATGATCCGGAGACAGCAGGCACCTGCCTCTCGTGTCCATGCAGCATTACAGGAGGGGACAGGTGGCCGTGAGGAAAAGCTGTAAACCTAACCAGCTGTAATCCCGCTAATGGTTTATCTTCTTTTCATGAGAAGGAGGCCCAGCATCCTACACGGGGCAGGGAACAACAGGCCTTTGTGTTCTTTTGGGAAATGGGATGGAGCTCAGAAGAAAAGTCAGGCGTTGGTGCCTTATCTTTCCTGGCAAAGCTGGGGCCTCTGGGCCCAATCCCTGCTGGCAACCAAAGGGTGGCATGAATAATGGAAAGGCTGGCATGCAGCTTCCAGGCACCCAGCCGGTGACAGGAGCTGAAGGAGATGGACCGTGGAGGACAGGCAGCCTCCAGCAGCCTTGGGGGCCTGGAGGCCCCGGGGAGCCTGGGGCTGCCGGAGGGGCCTGAGAGGCGCTATGCTGATGCTGCCAGAGAGTCAGGGGTCTCTGTGTCAGCGTCACTTTGAAGCTTATATCTCAGGTCCCACACGCTGTGTGTCCTTGGGCAAGTCACTTGATCTCTCTCAGCCCTCCTCTTCTTGCTGTGACATCCTCATCTGGTGGTTGTGGCGGCTCCAGAAGAGAGGCTTCCAAGTGCCTAGTGCACAGTGGGTGCTTAGTGGTGCCAGCTGTGGAGGGGAGAGCTGGGGGCAAAGGAGCAGCTAAAGATGTTGGTTCCTGTCCCGGCTGTGGACTGGCTGTGTGGCGCTGGACCAGCCTCTTTCCCATTCCGTGGTCACTTGCCCTCCTGGGGAACAGGGTGCCTCTCTGGATCCCCAAGTCTGCAGAACCCCAATTCTAATTCACACAGATGCTGACTGCTGGCTCCATGCCAACCCCCGCAAGGGGCAGGGTGGGGAAACTGTGTTGTGTGCATGGTAGGTGTGCGGGGACCAAGCGGGAGCTGCAAGAGGAAGTGTGGCCTGAGGAGGCAGGGGGCAGGAGCCTGGCCCTGGACCCACCCTGGAGCAGGTCCCTGGCCCAGGGTAGCACAGGGCTACTTCACAGGCGAGGAACCCGAGGCTTAGATAAGCTCAAGGAACCCGCCCAGGGTCCCCTGCCGGCAAGTGGCAGAGTGTAGCTCCCATGGCCACACGTGTGGCCCACAGCCCCTCGCCTAGCCAGGATGGCTCCGCAAGAGGACAACATCTCACCCCAGGATGGCTTTCAGGGAAATGCAGCCAAGAAGGGGAGTTGTGCTGGGTGGGGTCACCAGGGTGCCCAGAAGCCAGCTCTCCAAGGTCAGCAAGTGCTGGGCCCCAGAGAAGGACCCCAGGAGGCGACTGCAGGTGGCACATCTGATGGCATCAGGGTTGGGGGCACTGACCAATGCCAGTCCCTTCCGACTTAAGGGGGTTTGGTGGTGGGGGCAGGGTCAGGCAGCATGACCCATACTGGTCATCGGGTGGCAGCCCTGGCTCTGCCCTGCTGATGTAGCAAGGCGGGAGGCAGAGGCTGACCAGCAAGGCCACTCCGGCCTATTGCTGTGAGTCACCGCCTGGCTCAAGGCCCAGGCAAAGGCCGCGGGAGGCCTCTGTCTGGGGTTCCCACAGTGAATGGCTCATCGGTTCCTTGGTGTTCCTGGTGGGCTTTGGGGAAACCTTTACTTCAGATAACAGAGTGAGTAGGTAGATGGTTTGGAGCCATATGACAGTCTAAGCCTATACCTAAAGAATGGTGGGGTCATCGACCCAATTTCTAGCACCTAAAACCTTTGGCCCAGTGGTTCTCAAACGCTGGTGGGCACTGCAGTCGCCTGGAGGTGGGGAGGTGTTTGTTAAAAAATTACACCTTCCCGAGCCCCCACACCTGTGGAATCTGAATCTTGGGGCTCTGGTGTGATTCCCGTGCCCCCAGCGTTTGAAGTTCAGTGTGTCAGGCACCCTCAGACACATTCACAAAGACTCTCAACCCCCCTCTCACGTCCCCTTTCCTGTGTTCCCAGCCTCACACATCCGCACGCGGCCCGCACTCTCACAGGGCGCGTATACACTCATCTGCATGGACTCACATCCACAAGGATGCGCGTGCTCCTGTGCCCACAATGACACGCAGTTCTACACACACATCCCCAGGACCGGCGGCACAATTTGCAGGGCCAAGTGCAAAACGAACATATGGAGCTGCTGTTTAACAATCATTAAGGCTGGGCATGGCGGCTCACGCCTGTCATCCAAGCACTTTGCGAGGCCGAGGCGGGAGGATCACCTAAGGTCGGCAGTTCGAGTCCAGCCTGACCAATGTGGAGAAACCGCATCTCTACTAAAAATACAAAATTAGCTGGGTGTGGTGGTGCATGCCTGTCGTCGCAGCTACTCGGGAGGCTGAGACAGGAGAATCACTTGAACCCGGGAGGTGGAGGTTGCAGTGAGCGAAGATCGCGCCATTGCACTCCAGCCTGGGCGACAGAGCACGACTCCATTTCAAAAAAAAAAAAAAAAGAATTGTTAAAAATTTCAAGACTGTGGCAGCAGAGCCCCCAGTGACAGCACAGGTTGTGTGGCAACAAAACTGGCCTTGCATACAGTCGCGCATACCGCTTGTGCACATCTAGGAGCCTCGTGGATAAACATGCCACACGGCACAGACACCCACGCATGTACACTCATGTGCACACACAGCAAGGCTTCAACCTAACTTTTTATTGGGATGAGGAAGCGTGCTGGTTAGCGTTTAATAAGCAAAAGCAAAGTTGAGTCATATGTGTGTTGCTTGAAAGCAAGAAACGCCAGATGGAGCATTAAATGAATCACTGTCTTGGGTTTCATGAGTAACATTTTAATTGGGTTGTGACTAGTTTGGGAAAACTTTTAAGCTCCCCTCCACCTCAAATCCAAATTAAATCAGCAATTATTTAATGCTCCCAATGCCATGAAGCTCCCTGAATAAAATGTGAGCTTTAAAAAACAGGTTTCAAGAATACGCTTCTCTGCCAAACAAATTACAATGCACGAGGCAGCTCTTTCTTCCTAGAAACAAGGAGGGGAGGAAACTTGCATTTATTGAGCACCTACTATGAGCCAGCCCCTGTGTTCAGGGATGAGCACACATAATCTATGCACTAAGATTCCTAAATGCTGAGCATGGTGCCTGGCATATGGCAGGTGTTTGGTAAACAGTAGCTTATTACTGTATTTCATCCGAACCCAGGGTCTCACTGACTGTAAGACATACATTATTTTCTGGACCATAGAGAAAGAAAAGAACACTGACACTGAAATCCTGATGCCAGCCAAGACACGCTGGGAAAACATGCTGTCTCAGAGGTGCTTACACATGAACACTGTGTTCGAGAGTCAACGGAAGCCAGATCATAAAAGAAATTACCTCCCCAGTTCACAGACAGGAAAGACTGAGGGCCAGGAGGACAACCTGCCAGGGGGCTCTTTGGCTCTTGAGATGATGTCATCAGAGGCTGAGGAGGGCTTTTTCTGGAGTTCTGCCAACATGAAGCATACAGAGTTCCACCCACCATGTATGGGGATTGCTTTGTGGGGGAGGAGACCTGCCTCAGTACCCCGGGAAATGTTGCTGATGCACCCTGATTTGTGCAGCCTGGGGGTTCAGGGCAGAGGTTTCAGTCTTTGGATCTCCCCACATTTGACCAAAGGCAGGCACAGTTGGGATCATTCTCTTCAAAGCAAGTTTTAGAGATTAGTAGTCATTTTGAGAGCCCCAGGCCTGCCCAGAGTCAGTCCTCGCCCTAGTCACGCCCTCATGCAGTGATTCATTAGGCGAAGAAACTGGCCTTGGAAGGCAATGAGCTCATGAATATGCACAGCGGGTCCTCATAAATTATGCATTCCATACGGAGGCTTCTGGGGAGAGGCTGAGGAGCACCGAGTCGCTCAGCCCTGCAACAGAAGGCTTGCTCACAAGGACTTTCTGTAAAGTGCATATTCCTGCCCTCCTGCCCTGTCCATCACAATGAACTTGTGGGCAGCACTCTAGTTCTGATAAAACATCGGACTCTGGGTTTGCAAAGAAATTGGAGTTTACTTAGCTGTGACTTTGCTGATGGCCATGCTGGCAGGTCTAGAGGGGCTGTCAGGGTCAGAGTGGGCCTGCACATGACTTGCTTCACGCCCATAGATGTGCAAAGCCGTCTGACCTTACGGAGGCCCCAGCAGTTGAAAAGCTGCTGCCCAGATGAGTGATTTACATGTTCCTCCAAATCAGAGGGTGCTGAGGTGTAGTGGCCTGAGAGTCATGGAGCAAACACTGGGCTGGTAGTCAGGGTGGGACCTGGTTTTAGCAAGAAGGAGAGGGAGGGGGCTCTGCAGGTGTCTGCATTCCCTACCACAGATGTCTGGGGTGAGCACAGCAGTCAGCCCTCAGCCCCTCCACTCCCTTCCACAAGGCCAGGCTGGGCACACAGTAGGCATGCTGCAGTCAGGCAGGGGCTCAAGGTGAGTTCTGCATGGCCCGCTTGGCTTAAAGCTGCTTCTCCCTCATGGGGCCTTCCTTCTTGTCCAGCTGCACTCACCATCTCTGATGGTTCTCTGACCACTCAGCCACCCCTCAGCCAGCCTGGAGGGCAGCCCCGGGCCGGGAGGTCCCCTTCTCTTAGTTTCTCCTTAGTTTCTGCTGACAGTGACTGTCAGCACCTTTCCTGCTATCAACAGCCATATGTGTGAGCACTTCAGACACTTCCTGTCCTTTCATCCTCCTGACAGCCTGGGAAGGAATCGGGTGCACCGTCCTACAGTCCAGGCCTTGGCCAGAGAGGAAAGGGCTTGTCCTGGCAGCTCCGAGGTGGCATTGCTGGGTTTGCGCTGTGTCCAGCCAAGCTCAGTTCCTGTCTCCAGCCTGTGCTGCGCAGGCTGAGCTGAGCCTTAACCACCCTCAGCAGCAGCAGGGCCTGGGGAAGCACCTGGAAAACGCTCTTTGCGTTCATGCATCAAGAGCTGTGAGACTAGGCCTGGCATGGTGGCTCACGCCTGTAATCCCAGCCCTTTGGGAGGCCGAGGTGGGTGGGTCACCTGAGGTCAGAGACAAGCCTGACCAACATGATGAAACCCCGTCTCTACTATAAATACAGAAATTAGCCGGGCGTGGTGGCGGGTGCCTGTAATCCCAGCTACTCAGGAGGCTGAGGCAGGAGAATCGCTTGAACCCGGGAGGCGGATGTTGCACCCCAGCCTGGGCAACAAGAGCTAGACTCCCTCTCAAAAAAAAAAAAAAAAAAAAAAAAAAAAAAGAGCTATGAGACCAGGCTTAAATCACTCCATTTGGAAACACCCCCCAAACTTACAAATGTGCAACAGAAACAAAACCTCTACAGAAAATGGACTAAATGGAGAAAAAGAAAATGAAATCAGCTGTCGTCCCTTCTCCCGGAAACTCAGCCCTGTCAGCCACATGGGTTTCCTTTCTCTCCCTTCTCTTTCTTTCTGTGCAAAGTTGCCCTATCAAGTCATTGGTAAAATGGTGCCTCCAGTTTCCTCCCCCCACCCTTATGTCACAAGCATTTCCCACATTGCTGCATGATCTCCGTAATGACCATTTTAACAACTGCGGAACATGGAGTGAAATGTACTGGCTTTCGGCATGGAACCATTCTCTGATGTTGGGATTACTGTGCAGGGTGTTTAGAACGCACCGTTCAAAGGAAACGACTTTTAGACTTTCATGAATTTAATTCTTATGTCACATTCCTAATGGGGGATCAGCCTGTCCCTCCTCCATACAGCATGCAAAGTATGTAAGCCTCCTTACAGCATGCAAAGTGCTGATTTTCCCTTTCTCCCTGAAAGGGCTTTGCAGACAGACTGGGAGCCTGCTCAACGCCCAAACACCAATATTAATCTCAGTCTCGTCAAGTAAGCCCCAACTTGAGCCAGACGGTCCCTCAGTGTGTGGCACCACTGGTCCCATCTTATAATGGAGCAAACAGTATCTTGCCCAATACCTGCATTCAACCAGTACACGCAAAGCTGGGATTTGAACACAGCTCTGTCTCATTCAAGGGACTCTGGTGTGCATTTTGCTCTCTGCTACCCATGGACCACAGAGACAACCAAGGCCTGAGCCACAGGCAAGCGGGGAGAAAGAAAAACAGAACCACAGACAAATGCCAGAGCCCTCTCAGACCAACCATGCCAACCAAGGCTCGTAAAGTGTTTTCTCTGTGCCAGACACTGTTCAAAGAGCTTTACAAATGTTACCTCACTCAGTCCTCACTGTACCCTGGGAGGCACGATTTTTATTCCCACCTTACCGATGAGAAAACTGAGGCTCAGGGAAGCTGAGTGACTTGGGCAGAGTCACACAGCTTGAGAGTGGCAGAGTCAGGATTGGAACTCAGGCTGACTCTGGAGACTGTAATCATCACCTCCCCACCCCTGTCAGCTCCAAGTTTAGTTCAGCTTCATCCCCCTCTGGTTGCCAGCACAGGGCCTTCCCATTGTAGGGACCCTATTAATATTTGTGGAGTGGCTGTTTGACAGATATGATGTTTTGGAGACTGCAGAAGAAGGAAGGCTGGCAGAGCGGTGTGCTGGGTGTCAGACACAGACCAGGGTTGCTCACTGGGTGTCTTACTGGGAGGCGCCTGGCTGCCCTTCCCAAGGAGAGCAAAGTTGCCCAGGATTGGGGCGTACATGTGGGAGGCATGCTTACCAAATTTGTGGGTGACACCGAGCCTGGGGTGAGCAGATGGTGTGGGAGAATGCAGAATGGGCATTCAAAATGATCTCCCCTGGGCTTTTAGGACTGGGGGCAAAATGAGGCTGGGCACAGTGGCTCACACCTGTAATCCCAGCACTTTGGGAGGCCGAGGTGGGAGGATCACTTGAGGTCAGGAGTTCAAGACCAGCCTGGCCAACATGGCGAAACCCTGTCTCTAATAAAAATATAAAAGTTAGCCAGATGTGGTGGCAGGCGCCTGTAATCCCAGCTAATCGGGAGGCTGAGGAATGAGAATCTCTTGAACCTGGGAGGCGGAGGTTGCAGTGAGCTGAGATCACGCCACTGCACTCCAGCCTGGGTGACAGAGTGAGACTCTGTCTCAAAAAAAAAAAAAAAAATCGAGAACTGGGGGCAAAATGACATGAAATTTGAAGGTGACAAAATCTAGCACTTGGATCAGCCGGAAGGGTAACCTGATTGGAAACCAATGACAATTAGGGAAATATGTGGAGGTGGGGCTGATGGGCTCAGTGGCTGAACAGACGTGGGCACGGACAGGAAAGGGGCTTTACATAAATTAATTTGCACAATGAGCCCTGTTCCAGGGAGTGACCTTGACCTTCAGTGTCTTCCTCTGTATCACAGGGACAATAATAGCACCTGTGCCACTGAATTGCTTTTAAATCTAGTGTTTTTTTCATAAACTTCAAAAAAAATTGAAATGCAACATGCTTACAGAAAAGTGCATCCATTTTACGTACACAGCTTGAGGAATATCCACAGTAAACCTATCTGTATAACCAGCCCCCTGAACAAGAAACAGAACTTACACCACCAGAAGCCCCTCGCACCCTCCTCCAGCCATTAACCCCTCAGGTAAACACTGTTTGGGCTTCTAATACTGGATTAGCTTTTGCTTGCTTGTTTTTAACCTTTCTGTAAGTGGAAATACCAAATGTTGATAAAGATATCGACTGGGTGCAGTGACTCATGCCTATAATCCCAGCACTTTGGGAGGCCAAGGCAGGAGGATTACTTGAGCCCAAGAGTTCAAAACCAGCCTGGGCAACATGATGAGACCCTTTCCGTACAAAAAATTTTTTAAAGTAGTCAGGTGTGGTGTCACATGCCTGTAGTCCCAACTACACGAGAGGCTGAGGTGGGAGGTTCACTTGAGCCTGAGAGGTTGAGACTGCAGTAAGCCATATTTCCAGTCACTGCACTTCGCCCTAGGTGACAGAGTGAAACACTGTCTAAAAGTAAATTAAGATAAATAAAAACTAGAGACATGGAGAAACTGGAACTCACACATGTTACTGGTAGAAGATAAGTTGTTAAAGCCATTCTAGGAAACTGATATTATCTACTAAAGCTGAATAACACCCCTACGTATGTGTGTGATATGCTTTGGCTGTGTCCCCACCCAAATCTCATCTTGAATTCCCACGTGTTGTGG
Source organism: Homo sapiens (assembly GCF_000001405.40). Lineage (NCBI taxonomy): Eukaryota > Metazoa > Chordata > Mammalia > Primates > Hominidae > Homo > Homo sapiens. The sequence goes on from NC_000014.9 coordinate 99,763,000, forward strand.
GAGGGACTCAGTGGGAGGCAATTGAATCATGGGGCAGGTCTTTCCCATGCTGTTCTCATCATAGTAAGTATCACGAGATCTGACAGTTTTATAAGGGAGAGTTTCCCTGCACAAACTCTCTCTTTGCCTGCCGCCATCTATGTAAGATGTGACTTGCTCCTCCTTGCCTTCTGCCATGATTGTGAGGCCTCCCCAGCCACATGGAACTGTAAGTCCATTAAACCACTTTCTTTTGTAAATTGCCCAGTCTCAGGTATGTCTTTATCAGCAGTGCAACTAATACAGTGTGTCTGATGTATGTTCATGTATGTATGTGGTGTGTGCATCTATAAATATACTCACCGCTTCTCCAGATACTCCTGGAGCTGTATGAGTAGACATGGACACACCTACTATATACGTGGATTTATTGCAAGACAACCCTCTTCATAGCAGCACACTCAGGCACCTTCACAAGGTATTTGGTACCTTCACAAGGTGGGGCACTACTCCCGGTGATAAGGTGGGGAGAGGCTAAAAGACAGGCTGAAGCTCACAGGCAGGACCAGCCAGGCCCCACCAGCCCTCAGAGAGGCTCCCTGAAATTATTTGTAGGAATCACTGCGGAAGCATGAGGAGCACTTAGACTCATGCCCAATGAGCTTGTGGTCTTCGTGTTATTGTCCTCATCACTGCAATGACCTCTCTAGATCCTCGGCTATGCTGCACGATGTTTCGATTGATTTCACCTTTTACATCCCTCACCTCTCTGACCTCAGCACAGTTGTGTAATAAACACAAGCATGGATAATGATGTGGGCTGGCTCTCAGGGCAGCAGGGAGCACCGGGAGGACCCTAATCCAAATCACCAAACCCACCTCTGCCATGCAAGGTGGAGGACAGCCCTGGAGGAGCCGGGGCCTGCAGGAAATTTGTGTTCTGAGAGGTTCATGACCTGTGCAGGCTTCTTTGGAAGGCAGCTGGGGGTGTGTTGGGGCCGCCCTTTTCTTCTTGCTAACACCGCCAGGCAGCCGAGGTCCCCAAGTGTTTCTGGAGGAGGAGACAGTTGGCTGCAGGCTGAGGAGCCCTGGTACCAGTGAGTGGGGGCAGTGGAGATGCCCGCTAGTCTCAGGCCACCGCTGACTTGCTGTGTGACCTTCCTCCTTTCACTGCCCTCTCTGTGTGGCTCACTCTTCCATGAGGACGTTGGGCTGGGTGGCTCCAGAGCTGTTCTCCTCCTGCCTCCTCCCCCAGCTCACAGAGGTCTCACAGCAGCTCTTCACCCAGGTTGTTCTCCTTCCTTCTCGCAGCAGCCCTGCAATTTTACAGATGAGGGAAGTGCGGCTCAGAGAGGCTAAGCGATTTGCCCAAGGTCACGCAGATAGTGCCAGGTGGGGCTGGAATTCAGCTGCCCTGTTCAGCCTCCACTCCACTTCCCTGGCCACCGTCCTGGCCGAGGCAGAGCCCTGGGTTGGTCTTCCCCACTGAAGTCTCCCTGGGTGATGTGCATTTCTGACAAGCTCCCAGGTTTAGCGGATGCTGCTGGTCTCAAGAGCAGGCTTTCAGCAGCGAGCTCTGTACATTCACAGTCTAGTGGAGCATGCAGGTTGGCGAACAGATGAAGGCCAAGGAGCGTCAGGGCAGGCTTCCTGGAAGTGCCGCTGCAAGGAGAGAAGGAGGTGGCTGAGAAGGAAAGGGGAGACAAGTCCCAAATTCCAGCCCAGGCACAGAAGCAGCAGGGTGGGCTCCACATGGCCACTGAACCACAGGAGCTTGGAGCAGGATGTGATACAGTTTCTTGATAGACTTTTGGCATGGCCAGGACTGGATCCAAGTCAGTGTATAGGGACACCCAAACCGCTGTCCTGCCCGTTCCTCAGTCAGTGTTGTTTTTTTTACTATAGCAAAATATATAACAAAATTTACTATCTTAATCGTTTTTGTTGTTGTTGGTGTTGTTGTTGTTGTCGTTTTTAGAGACAGGGTCTTACTCTGTTGCCCAAGCTGGAGCGCAGTGGAACAATCATGGCTCACTGCAGCCTCAACCTCCTGGGCTCAAATGATCCTCCCACCTCAGCCTCCCGAGTAGCCAGGACCACAGGCGAATGCCACCATGCACAGCTAATTTTTTTTCTTTAATTTGTAGAGGTGGGGTCTTCTTATGTTGCCCAGGCTGGTGTCGAATTCCTGGGCTCAAGTAATCCTCCAGTCTCGGCCTCCCAAAGTGCTGGGATTACAGGCGTGTAAGATAGGCATGCCCAGCCCGTCTTAACCATTTTAAGTGTACAGTTGAGTGGCATTAGTCCATTCACATAGTTGTACAATCCTCACTCCCATCCATCTCCACAGCCCATTTCATCTTGCCAAGCGGAAACTCTGTGCCCACTGAACAATAACCTCCCCCCACCACGCCAGGCCCCTGGCTACCACCAATCTACTTTCTGTCTCTATGAATTTGACTGCTCTAGGTACATCATGTGAGTGTAATCATATAGTATTTGTCCTTTTATTTCCGGTTTATTTCATTTATATATCCTCAAGTCAAGGTTCCTCCGTGTTGTAACGTGTCAAAATTTTCTTCCTTTAAAGTTAAAAATATTACATTGTATAGATTTACCGCACTATATATATATATATTTTTTGAGACAGAGTCTGGCTCTTTCGCCCAGGCTGGAGTTGCAGTGATGCAATGTGGGCTCACTGCAACCTCTGCCTCCTAGGCGCAGGTGATTCTCATGCCTCAGCCTCTCGAGTAGCTGGGATTACAGGCGTGCACCACCACGCCTGGCTAATTTTTGTATTTTTAGTAGAGACATGGTTTCCACATGTTTATCAGGCTGCTCTTGAACCCCCTGCCTCAAGTATCTGCTTGTCTTGGCCTCCCAAAGTGCTGGAATTACAGGCATGAGCCACCGTGGCTGGCCTGGATTAATGGTTAATAATTAAAGGTTAATAAAATGGTTACCACATTTTATTTACTACTTACACATTCATGGCTAACGATTAATGGTTAATAAAATGATTACTACATTTTATTTACTACTTACCCATTCATCCATCAATGAACACTTAGGCTGTTTCCACCTTTTGTCGATTGTGAATGATGCTACTAGGAAAATGGGTGTGCAAACACCTATCTGAGTCTCTGCTTTCTATTCTTTTGGGGGTAGACTCAGAAGTGCAATTGTTGGATCACATGGAAATTAAACTTTTACTTTTTTTTTTTTTTTTTTGAGACAGAGTCTCACTCTGTTGCCCAGGCTGGAGTGCAGTGGTGTGATCTTGGCTCACTGCAACCTCTGCCTTGTGGGTTCAAGCAATTCTCCTGCCTCAGCCTCCTGAGTAGCTGGGATTACAGGTGCCCACCACCATGCCAGCTAATTTTTGTATTTTTAGTAGAGACAGGGTTTCACTATGTTGGCCAGGCTGGTCTCGAACTCCTGATCTTAGGGGATCCACCCACCTCTGCCTCCCAAATTGCTGGGATTACAGGCGTGAGCCACCATGTCCGGCCTAATTTTTAATGTTTTTGAAGACCTCAGTTGGTATGTTTCTATCACACATAGACCAACTAGCAATTTTAGGGGGGCTTCCCAACAGCAGCTGAGGAAGACTATTGTATTCCAGCATTAGTTAATGTCAAATGAACAGCTCCACCATTCTAGTCTTAAAAACCAGGTTTGAACTCTTCACCATTGAATTTCTCTTGGAAAATGTTAAATGTCCGCCCAAATCAACATCAATAATTTGTTTCACTTGGCAAGGATAAATGTTTAAAATTTAACGAAGCCAGCTGATTTCCACAATCCCAGGTTGCCAAGCAGCAATCATGGTAATAAATGACCAATGCTTTTCTTGTAAGAAAAATGTTTGCATGGAGAGAGAGGGTCGGCCGCTAATGGAGAGAGGCTGGCCACCGGGCTTCTATAGGAAGCAAAGTGCAATCCATCATCCTGGAGTGTTGGCTTTGAAAATGCAGCGTGTCCACTGGGAGTCACCGTTTTCCAAAGGTCCTCTTGCTGGCCCTGCTGAATCACAGTCCCATAATTCCCCCACCGCATAATATTTTTCCATCGCCATGGTGACTGTGTGAGAAGAAGGCACGGTGAGAAACTTCAGGGATTACTTCTTATTTCACGGAAACGAGATTTGACTTCTGCTAAAAAGTGGGCTACAAATTTCTATTTTAAGGAGAAGAGCTGGGTTCCATGAACCAGAGCTTACTATAGCCGAGAGGGAGCATGGGTCAGGTCTGGTCCTGGTTCCAGCACTTGCTAGTCATTGACTTTGGGCAAGACTATTTCTCTCCAAGCCTCAGTTCTTTTCTCTGTAAAACGGCATTGGCCGGGCACGGTGGCTCACGCCTGTAATCCCAACACTTTGGGAGGCCAAGGCGGGCAGATCATAAGGTCAGGATATGGCGACCATCCTGGCCAACATGGTGAAGCCCCAACTCTACTAAAAATACAAAAATTAGCTGGGTGTGGTGGCACGCACCTGTAGGCCCTGCTACTCGGGAGTCTGAGGCAGGAGAATCGCTTGAACCCAGGAAGCGGAGAGGCGGAGGTTGCAGCGAGCTGAGATCACGCCACTGCACTCCATCCTGGTGACAGAGTGAGACTCCATCTCAAGAAAAAAAAGAGGGGGATGGAGAATGGGAATTAGGGTTCTCTGTGGGATCCTTTGAAAAAAATGCAAGACATTTACAAATTGTGAGACCCTTTTCAAAAAACAAAAGCCAAATACAAGCCCCCCCTTATTTCAGGCCAAGGTGCTGTTGCAGGTGGCTTTGTCTTGCATTACTGTTGGCTGCTTTCCTCAAGGCCTCCCCCAAGTCCCCTCATTCACATACACATCTGTCACCTTCAACAAGACAGGGATTTCGCCATGAGCTTCAAGGAGACAGAGACTTTGTCTTATATTTATTCTGAACACCCCCCACACTACTTTGCTGAGCACACAACTATACTCAGAGCTGGCCTCAAGAAATCCTTGAATTCAAATTCAGATCCAGTAAATGCTTGCCAGGTCCCATCTGCCTTGGGCTGGTGGGCACAGGGTAAATCAGGTGGAAGAGGCCAAGTCACCCTGATTTGAAGTCACTCCTTCGACTTCCCAGTGGCTTCTCCCAGAGATGGGGCACGGAGAAGTGATCCCACACGAAGGGTGCACATTGAATGTAAGATTCATCCCAATTCCAGAAAGCTTCGAAAGCATAAAGGTGTGTCTTAGAGCGGAGGAAATCCAGCCATTACAATGCCACGTGCTAAGTGAAATTCTCAAGGGTGTGCTATTCTTAGACGTGACCCAGGGGAGGGAGGAACTCATTCTTCATGGTGGAGTGGTGAGATGGGGTCTCTGAGGGTCTCACGGAGCCGCTGTCTGAGCTGGGGTGGTGACGTCTGTGGCAGGAAGGATTGTGGGGTTGATGGAGCTGCCTCGGAGGAAGAGGGTCCAAAATGGCCAAAGGAACTCGGGCACAGGCGCAGAGACACAGAGCAGCATGATATGGCTCACGGAACTATCAGTCACTCCACATGGCTGGAATATAGCAAAGGGAGGAGGTGGGGGTAAGGCAGACAGGCCCAGGGCCAGGAGTGGCCATCTCTGTGACAGCACGGGATTACTGGGCACAAAGATGGGCGGAGCTTCAACTGTGTGACTCTTGCACCAGAACAGCTGGGGAAAGGGGAAGGTAGAGATGCATTCCAACAATCCCCAGGGCTGCTTCTGTGGTCTTTTTTTTTTTTTTTTTCTCAGATGGAGTCTCCCTTTGTCATCAGGCTGGAGGGCAGTGGCACAATCTTGGCTCACTGCAACCTCTGCCTCCCAGGTTCAAGTGATTGTCCTGCCTCAGCCTCCTGAGTAGCTGGGATTACAGGCACCCGCCACCATGCCTGTCTAATTTTTGTATTTTTAGTAGAGTTGGTGTTTTACCATGTTGGCCATGCTGGTCTCAAACTCCTGACCTCAGATGATCTGCCTGCCTTGGCCTCCCAAAGTGCTGGGATTACAGGCGTAAGCCACCACGCCTGGCCTGCTTGTATATTATTTTTGACAGCAGTTTGGGGATCCAGGGTGACCCAAACTGGTATTGGTTGGTGGTTTCGATGTGGGTTTGAGGTTACCAAGAACTACAGACCCCTCTACCTAGTAGGGGAACCAACTGGAAGGCTCCCTGTCTGGTCCTCCTTTCTCAGCCAGCCTCTGAGCCCCACATTTGCTAGTGACTCTGAGCAGCGTGGCCATCTCCTCGGTCAAGTCAGCCCACCAGCGGTTTTGCAGCAGGTGCTGAGCACTCGGGGAGCTGGGGTGTCAGCACACAGACAGGGAGCACTGTTCCAAGGATCATTTTCTCCCATCACAGGGCCCTCACCGTGGGCACCAGCAGGAGGTGGCCCTTTGGAAGTGGAAGCACACAGCCCTTCAAGGCTTGTCCTCAGTAGGCAGTGCTGGCCCCAGCCCTGAGTAACCTTGGCCTCCCCCACAGTGGGCAGGGACGCAAGCTCCTCTCCATTTCCAGGGATCCCATTCTCCCCAGGGCCATGCATTTAGAGCAGACAGGTCAGTTTCAATGGTTTGTCAATCTGATATCACTTCTTTCTGAGACCTGACAACTAGTTCAGGGTGATGGTCACTATCAAGTCTCTGCAGTACCTGCCCCTACACTTGAGAAATCAGTCACATGAGTTTCAGCATCAGGACAAATGTCATGATGGCTTCCAGATGTACCTGCCTTTAATGCTCAGGTTTTCTCAGGACACCACTTAAATGTAGGGACAATTCCTCCGAGGCTACATTCCCATGAGGAGCTGGCTGAGAAGTGGGCAGCAATCAGCACCAGCAGATCCTCCTTATCTTGTTCTTGCTCCTCTTTCCTCCTTTTCTTGGGAATAGAAATGGGTTCTGCTGAGCTTGGTCTGGCCCAGTTCACCCCTCCAACCACATTCCCTACCAGTCCCTTCTGTCCCCTGCAAGTTCCAGCCACCTGATGGCCCATACATGCCAGCACAAACGTTCCCGCCTCTTTACTTTGCTCACTTTGCTTTTCTCTCCTTGTCCACCGGGTTTTGATGACACTTAACCTTTGTACCATTCCCCCCCATTTCCCCTAAGATAGTGGAATGACCCTCCTCTGTCCTCCTATGATCATCAGAGCTGTGTTTGTCAGTTTGGGCTACTATAAAAGAATATCATAGACTTGGTGGATAAAACAAGAGACATTTATTGCTCACAGTTCTGGAGGCTGGGAAGTCCAAGATCAAAGTGCTGGCAGATCTGGTGTCTGGGGAGGGCTGTCTTCCTGGTTCACAGACAATTGTCTTCTTCTTGTATTCTCACATGGTGGAAAGCAAAGAAAGACGAAGCAAGCTCTCGTGTCTTTTTAAAAAATTTCTTTCTATCTATCTATCTATCTATCTATCTATCTTTTTTATTTTGACCTGCATGAAGAGAGATCATGTCTTTTTTTAAGGAAATAAATTCATTCATGTGGGTTCCACTCTTATGATCTAATCACCTCCCAAAGGCTCACCTCGAAATTCCACCATTTCATTAGCATTTCAACACATGAATTTTGGGAGGACACAAATGTTCAGTCCATAGTATCAGCTCAGTTACTTTACCTCCCTGGGCCTCATTTTCTCCATTTGTAAAACAGGGATGTTCCTATCACCTGGCGAAGTAACAAGAATTATTGAACTGTGACATATGCTGAACACAGGGCCTTGAACATAGTAGGTGCTCAAGAAACATTAATTTCTTCCCTTTCTTACTCTTCCTTACAGCAGTTTCCGCTGATTTTTTTTTTTTTTTTTTTTTTTGAGACGGAGTCTCGCTCTGTTGTCCAGGCTGGAGTGCAGTGGCGCGATCTCGGCTCAGTGCAAGCTCCGCCTCCCGGGTTCACGCCATTCGCCTGCCTCAGCCTCCCGAGTAGCTGGGACTACAGGCGCCCGCCACTACGCCCAGCTAATTTTTTGTATTTTTAGTAGAGATGGGGTTTCACCACGTTAGCCAGGATGGTCTTGATCTCCTGACCTCGTGATCCGTCCGCCTCAGCCTCCCAAAGTGCTGGGATTACAGGCGTGAGCCACCGCGCCCGGCCTCCCACTGATATTATAATGATCAGTATCTGTCTCACCCACTAGATGCTGACTTTTGCAGAGTCAATGGCTGAGATGTCTTACCTTTTTATTTATTAGAGTATATTTTTTGTCACCCTGAAAAAAGACCCCATACCCATTAGCAATTGGTCCTCATCTTCCCTTCCCCTCAGTCTCTGGGCAACCATTAATCTACTTCCTGTCTCTATGGTTTTGCCTATTCTGGACGTTTACTATAAATGGGATTATGGTCTCTTGCATGTGGCTTCTTTCACTTAACATAACGTTTTCAAGGTTCATCCATGTTGAAGCCTGTATGAGTACTTCACTCCTTTTATGACCGAGTAACAGTTCATCGCGTGGATAAACCACATTTGCCTAATCATTCATCAGCTGAGAGACATGTGGATTGTTTCCATTTTTTTGGCTATTACAAATACTTCTGCCAGGCTGGGCGCCATGGCTCACGCCTATATTCCTAGCACTTTGGGAGTCTGAGGCAGGTGGGTCACTTGAGCCCAGGAGTTTGAGACCAGCCTGGGCAACATGGTGAAACCCCATCTCCACAAAAGATACAAAAATTAGCCAGGCATGGTGGTGTGTGCCTGCAGTCCCAGCTACCTGGGAGGCTGAGGTGGGAGGATCACTTGAGTCCAGGGGATTGAGGCTACAGTGAACCATGATCATGCCACCATACTTCGGCCTGGGTGACAGAGTGAAACCCTGTCTCAAAACTAACAAATAAAAACCAAAACAAACAAACAACAAAACAAAAAATAATGCTGCCAGTTGGTTCCTTTTCATATTTTCTGTTTCTTGCCTATGTCATACCTTTTATTACAACACAGTTTTCATTACTTCATTGAATATTGTTATAACAGCTGCTTTAAAGTTCTTGTCTAACATTTTCAATATCTGGGTTATCTCAGGATTGGTATGTGTCGATTGACCGTTTTCTTGAGAAGAGGTTGCATTTTTCTGGCTCTTTGTGAGTGGAGTGATTTCGGATTGTATCCTGGATGTTGTGATTGTTCTGTGTTGTACACTCTTGATTGTGTCATATTGCTTAATAGTGTTGATGTTTTTGTTTCAGCAGACAATTAACTTGTTAGACTCACACCTCAAACTTTGTGACACTTGTAGAGGGCAGGGGCTCAGCTCTCAGTTTAGACTGCTTTTAATATGCCTTGCAAACTGTGTGTTTGGGCGCCAGCCAGAGAGCAGGGCAGAGTTTACATGCTAAATTTGGGGTTCTCCTTCTCTGGCTACCTCTTTTCTTGGGTTTCTCCCCATTCTCTAATAACCGTGGTTGTCCAGGGCTGCTTCTCTTGCTTCCTCTGTCCAGACAACAGACTTTCTACTGGAACACGGTCACCTCGTGCCACCACCACAAAGAGGGCTGCCCTGAAGACAGAGCTGTGAAAATGTGAAACTCACCCCCTGGGGGTTGATTCCTCTCCCTAGGTTTGGACATTGCTCCAAAACCTGCCTGCTTTTGTCAACTCTCCAAAGCCCTCCAGGCATTGTTTTTATTATTTTGTATAGCGTTTGTGTTGTCTGCAGGAGGTTTTTAGGACTTTTATTGCTTCATACCAGAAGTGGAGCAAAAGGTTCATGAATCAATACTTGCTCTATTTCATATCTACATATAGTATTAATATAATTCTCATATTTTCTGCTATATTTCACAACATTTCATTTGAACAATGCTCATCTCAGTCCCTGCTAAATTGATTTTATGACACATTAGTGGGTCACAACCCACTGTTTGACCCATGGTGCTCTGATGCTTGACAGACAAGGAGCAGGTGCTGTGACTGTAAGAGCCCCTTGAATGAATAAAATACAAGAATTTCTCCCTTCCCTGTCCATGGCTTAGAAGGCTTTGCATCTTGAACATCCTGGATGCAGAGCGGTCACAGGCCATCCCCACAGATAGGTTCCTACAGATGGGGTGTGTGACCATGTTCTCTCCTCCTCCACACCCCTCTGGGGCTTACAGCTACCAAAGCCCAAAATCCTTCAGGGCTCAGGCCTCAGGGCTAAACAGTGATTCACAGACTTTCACACTTCCCCACACACCCCCGCGCATGCCAACTTTTTGTTTCGGTAAATAAAGACATTCAAAAGTAATGACCATCTACTCTGGCCCTCATTTCATAAAAGCAAGGCTACTTTATCACCAATGTCAGATGAACAATCTCAGAATAAGGCTAAGTTCTAAAATTAAAATACATTTTATTTCATGACAAACTCCCTCTACATTTTCCTCACTATTCTGTAGACAGGCACTGGGGAGCCTCCCACACAGCTAGGGCCCCTGGAGCACAGGCTGCAAAGACCCCAGGAGGTCCCAGAATCTACCTGCCTTAGGCCCAGAGAGGGGTGGACGTTGCCCAGGACCATGCCGCTGGAACAGGAAAAAGGTTTTCCAGTTTTACCCCAGGCAATTCTCCATCAAAATGCCATCTGACTACAAAGAGGCAGGCACTTGCTTCCGGATCCCCTCTCTGCTCTGCAGAACTCCCAGGCCACGGAGCTGATTTCACTAACTGCAGCCGTCCCCCTGGGGCGCCCCGTCTGCCCTACTTGCCATCACCCAGATGCGCAGGATCTTGTGGCAGAAAGCAGGAGCCTGGATGGGAAGAGGAGCAGCCAGGCCGAGGTGGGCGCCGCTCCCCCTCCCCGGCCCTGCCCAGGTCCTCAGAGAGCTGGGACCTGAGACTCATTAGTGCCTGCATAATGGATGCCTCCTTCTCTCTTCTTGGAAATCCCCAGCCCATCTTGCTTAATGGCCACGAGGGAAGTGGGATACCGGCGCTCTGCTCGTAAAGCCGGCCTCTGCCCCCCGCATCTCCCCTTGGAGGAGGGGCGGCTGGGCGGCTTACACAGGGGAGGCCTGGTCTCTTGTCTTCTGCTTCACGACGGCTGGGTGAGCATCTTCCCCCACTCCCTCCTTCAGTCTGTCCTTCTGAGGGGCTGGGGTACTGGGACAAGGGCGGGGGGCCTCTGAACCACACTTGGGGTGGGCAGAAAGAGCCTGGGCCAGGAGAAGAGCCCTTGGCAGGACTCCAGGGGAGACAGGGAGGGAGGGAGGATGACAGAGAGCTCCAAGCAAAGAGCAGAGGGGTTGGAGATGAGAAGCAGGATTCTAGGCATGGGGGGACTTTCCCAGGCTCTAGAATGACTCTGGTCACAGTGACAGCGTGGCCTTGTGACCTCCACCCTAACCCGCATCCACGCTCCTCACCACATTGTTCTTAGGCAGCTCTGGGGCCTGGCAGGGCCCAGAGTCACCTGGTTTGGCCATGGCGATTGTTAAAAGATGCAAATGCTTCTGTAATGCCCAGTATTTTTGTAATGTTGCCCTATCCTCCATGCCTCCCGAGTGTACCCTTTTTCCTTCCCTCACCCTCCTCCTCTGGGACTCCTCAGACCTCCCCATATCCACCCACTCAAGGGTTCATGCTTGGCACGGGAGCAGCCCTCCAAGCCCCTGCTCTAGCCCTGGCCACATAGGATGCTGCATAATTTCAATAGCTCCACTGGGATAGTCTGGGTGCTCAGCAGCATGGCTGAGTGACGTTTGCACCCTTGGGCGGATGCCCTGCCTGCTGGTGAGGGCCATGCTTGTAGTGCCCTGCAGTTCTAGGGGTAAGGGGCCATCTTCCCATGTCTGTGTGAAGCCTTGAGTAGGGGAGAAGCTGAAGGAAGGAAGGGCAGAAGGAGGGGGTGGCTTGCCAGCATCCTCTTGAATGAGAATGAAAGTTGAGAGTGGAAATTTTAATTGCAAAACCCACTGACAGCTTGACTTTAAGGGAAAAGATGAGCTAAATTTAACCTAGCCAGTTAAAGAGCCAAAAATGCAATTTACTAATTAGCTTAAAATGGAAAGTAGTCCAGTGATCAGAAAAAAAGCTTTTCTGTTTAAAAAAAAATACAAAATAGAGTTGATTCCTCTTTTCATACTGACATGCATTTGAATACTGTTATGTAATTAGGAATGCGGTTTGCTGGCGCACTGCCCAGGACACAGAGGCAGAGCATCACAGCATCACAGCCTTCTTGAAAAGTTACAGGAGCCTTGAAATAGGCATGAGCCTATGTCTTCAAGTCAAATCTGTTTCCTAATTACAGAGCATCCAGGAGGGATCCGATCTCTGTTCTCAGGGAGTGCAGAGCTCAGTGGGTGAACTAGGCAAGGCCACAGAGGACTGTCACAGACCTGGACAGGTACTAGGCACTGAGGCATTCAGAGGAGGGAGAAAGGGCATATGACAGGGAGGGAAGAGCCGGCTCCCGGAACAGTGGCATTTGAGATGAACTTGAGACGTGGTGGCTGGGGAAATGTGGAGCAGTGGGAAGGGACAGTCAAGATGTGAGATGGAAAGAGTGAGGCAGACCCAGAGTACAGCAAGTGCTTCACTTCACAGGCAAGTAGGCTGAGGCATGGATGGACGTGACAGATCCCACGCCAGCAAGGTTGATCTGGCACCATGATGGCAGGCCCATGGGCTGGGTTTACTCTTCATGACGGGCAGCAGGGAGCCCAGGGGCTTTTGATCTGGAGAGTGATTGCATTGGAGTTGCGTTTTAGTGAGTGGCCCAGCCGCCATGTGGAAGCTACGTTTTCATGACTGTGGTATGTATTTTACTTCACATGATTTTTGCACCAATTTGAAAGGCGTGCCTAAGATATGCATATAACTTATTAGCCTCTCCGCTCCTTTGTGTAATGGCAGTATTGGGATAGCAATTCAAGGTCATTTCAAGGACCTTGAATAAAACATTTTGTAGATTCATCCAGGACCCATTATAAGAACATTAATAGTTTTGACACGAAAATAATATTTGAGAGGAATTTTACAGCACAATTTCATGATACAGTTTATGTTTATATTCTTCCAGCTAAAACATGATTTTTCAAAACTATGGCTGTCTTTTAAGAATATTTTCCTGCTGCTTTCAAATGGTGCAACAAAATGTCCTACAAGCAAAAATGAAATCTTAGCAGGTAACACAGCCATTCCTAGATTAAATATATAGAAGAGATTCTCCTCAGAGCCCTTACAGATGAAGCTGAAAGGAAGCAATTATGTTTGTTATAAATGGAGGAAATATAAAAACCTGTGAAATTGACCAGGTGCGGTGGCTCATGCCTGTAATCCCAGAACTTGGGGAGGCCAAATCAGGTGGATCACCTGAGGGGTCGGGAGCTCGAGACCAGCCTGGCCAATATGGTGAAACCCCGTCTCAACTAAAAATACAAACAATTAGCAGGGTGTGGTGGTGGGCACCAGCAATCCCAGCTACTTGGGAGACTGAGGTGGGAGAATCGCTTGAACCTGGGAGGTAGAGGTTGCAGTGAGCTGAGATCGCACCACTGCACTCTAGCCTGGGTGACAGAGCGAGACTCCATCTCAAAAAAAAAAAAACAAAACCTGTGAAATTAATTAGTGCAGAATCCCTATGATGTACAGCCGAACATTTTACTATCAGGTTTATTGGATATAACTAGCTTTTACTACAGGACGTCAGTAAAAGTGCACAAAATAATGTAATTAAGGGGCACAGCTCAGTATATGCTACATAAGTGAATTCTAATTTGTCATCACGAGTAATATTGGCCGTAAGTGAATTCCCCTCTTCTCAAATGGTGATATGTTTCCTGAAAGTTTGTTCTTCAGCTACCTTTCCTACAGCCACGTCGATTTCTCAACAGAGTGGCCAGTATAAGAAGACATAGATTACATATTCATATATTGTGCAGGATTTTTTTCCTGATGGATTTATCATAGGAAAACTTTAAATCATGAGCTTCAACCACTGTTGTCCCAAGACCTCAACTGATTTCAAATGTAGAATTGAGAGTTCTTCAGAAAATCAGCTACCACGCAAAATAAAGTAAAAGGCACATACAGCTTTAACCTCCTTGAAGTTTTTCTTATTAAAAGGAAAGGTCCTCTCTGAGCAGGAATTGAGATTTCCTCTTCAGCTGTCCCAGCAGCCAACCCACAGAAGAAGACTCACAGCAAATGTTTGTAGACTGAATGAATCAATGAACAAACTGAGAACAAATAAATAAATGGGAGCTCAAGAAGAAAGATTAAAATGTACATGATTTTAAGCTTAATTTAAATTTATCAGTTACAGACTGCACGTACTTAAAAAAAAAAATCAAGCAGTTCTACAAGGCTTAAGACAAAGAAGTTGCAGTTCCCTCCCCTCATTTCCCACGCCATCCCTAGCGTTCTTCCTACCTCCCGGAAGCAGTTACCACTTCCAAATATGTTACCCTTGCCTTTTGGTATGTCTTTACCTTTCTTTCTTTTTTTGTTTCTTTTTGTTTGTTTGTTTGAGAGGAGTCTTGCGCTGTCGCCCAGGCTGCAGTGCAGTGGCATGATCCTGGCTCACTGCAACCTCTGCATCCCAGGTTCAAGTGATTCTCCTGCCTCAGCCTCCCCAGTAGCTGGGATTACAGCCACCTGCCACCAAGCCCAGCTGATTTTTGTATTTTTAGTAGAGACGGGGTTTCACCACGTTGGCCAGGCTTGTCTCAAACTCCTGACCTCAAGCAATCCGCCCGCCTCAGCCTCCAAAAGTGCTGGGATTAGAAGCGTGAGCCACCACGCCCGCTGCCTTTACCTTTCTTGAAATAACATGCATATACTGCTACTTCCTGACTGTCCAAGTCCAAGCATTTTTGTGGGGCAGTTTGTTTTGTTTTGTTTTTTTGTTTTGAAACAGGTTCATGCTCTGTTGCCCAGGTTAGGCTTACTGCAGTCTCAACCTCCTGTGGCTCAAGTGATCCTCTCCCTTCAGCCTCCTGAGCAGCTGAGACTACAGGCACACACCACCATGCCTGGCTAATTTTTGCCATTTTATTTTATTTTATAGAGACAGGGGCTCACTATGTTGCCAAGGCTGGTCTCGAACTCCTGGACTCAACTGCCTCAGCTTCGTGAAGTGTTGGGATTACAGGCATGAGTCACCAATTTGCAAGGCACCAATTTGAAAAGGTCTGGGCCAGGCATTTTTTAATCTGTTAATGTCCTGCCAGGAAGATGAAGATTTAGTTCTCACTCACATTGCTTACTCCATACTCACATGTGGATACATACCCTTCCTCTTCCTAATATAGTCATGTCAGAATTTTAAAATTTGGCCTGTGTGTTTATATTACTATGACTATCAAACACTACTCAAAGTTAAGCCATATTGTATGATTGAATTTCCTTTCTTAGACAATTTTTTGTTTTTCCTGTAGTAAATTACTGTCTTCTATTTTCCATGTATCATTCACTAAGTCATCCCCAACTATTCTGCCTTATATGTAAATCTTTTTCTGACAGCTTCTAATTTCAGCTTCTTGGTGGCATTTCTCCGGAGCCTCTGTTATCCCACTGTAGTCTGGACTGGTTGCCTGTTAGCATGATTGTTACTGTCCATCCACTTCCTGCAGATTCCTTTTATTTCTCTCCTGTGTTGATTCCTTGTTTTCTGAATCCCATGTAATCTTTCTTGGCAACTCCCTCGTTTTGGTGAAGCACATCCTGCAGTAGCTTCCTGAGAAAGGAGGCACAGAAGAGCTAAGTTTTTGAGATCTTGTGTGACTAGAAATGTCTTTATTCCACTTGCACACATGATTTGATGGTGTGTCTGGGTCTTTAATTACAGGTTAAAATAATTTTTTCCCTCAAAAATGTATTCTTTGCATTTATCTGTTGTTTTCTAGCTCCTATCATTACTGTTTAGAAATCCAATGCCATTCTAATTCTTAATTCTTTGTCTGAGACTGTTGTTTCTCTCTAGAAGCTTTTTGAATGTTTTCCTATCCCCAGTGTTCTAAAACATCTGGTGCATATAACAGCTGATGGACGTAACATTTGGTGGGTATAAATAACATTTGGTGGTGGTGTTTTGTTTTGTTTTTCCTCCAATGTGCTGGGCACTCAGTAGGCTCTTTCAATCTAGAAATTCATGTGTCATGTTTCTTTGTTTTGGAAACTTTTCTTGAATTATTTCTTTGATGATTTCCCTTCCTCTATTTTCTTCATTTTCTCTTCCTGAAACTTGTTATTCAGATGCTGAACTTCCCAATATGATATCCCATTTTTTTCCTCCTATATTCTGTGTAGCTTTGTCTTTTTTGTTCTATTTTTCTGGGAGATTTCTTCAACTCTATCAGTAGACATTGCTGTGGGGATTGTATTTCTACGGCCATATTTTTAATTTTCAAAGATGTTTTATCATCTAATTTTATAAATAGCATTCTTATTTTGTGGATGCAATAACTTTGACCTATGAGGATATAAATAATAGTTTTATTTCCTTCTGCTGTCTGTGTTGTCTGTTTCCTCATATCCCCTCACTCTACCTTTTTTTGTTACTTTTATATGTTCTCAAATGTTCAGATTCTTGGCTCTCCATTCAAGTCTTAGAGGGGGGACATTCAAACAGTACCTGCAAGTCCTGAGACTACAGATGACACTTGTCAACAGGCGAACTTCACTTTATTTCCCAACCTGCCCAACCTCTAGGTCTTTCCACAAGACTTCGTCATATTCCCTAAAAAAGGTCCTTCCACACTTTTGCCTGGACAGCAGACCCCTGGCTGCCAATGTTCTGAGAGCTGAGGGTAGGAAGGGGCTGGGGTGAGGTCTGATCATTCAGCATCAGGCTATCATTTATTTGCCATCTTCAGGATGCTTCCCCTCCCCTCTGGTATGCCTTTGTGTAGAGAACCCCTTGGTTCACCTATTTAACAGATTGAAACTCCAATCTTCACAGTGAGAGGAAGGAGACGGGGGAGGAATCTATCTGCTTCTGTCTTAGTCACCTTGGGCTGCCATAGCAAAATACCATACACTGGGTGACTCAAACAACAGAAATTTATTCCTCACTATTCTGGAGGCTTGAAGTCTAGTCAGAGTGCCAGCATGGTTGGTTCCTGGTGAGGGCTCTCTTCCTGGCTTGCAGACTGCCACCTTCTTGCTGTGTCCTCACATGGCAGAGAGAAAGTAAGAGATATATCTCTCTCTCTCCCTTTTTATAAGGTCACTAATCCTAACAGATCAGGGCCTCACCCTTAAGACCTCATTTAACCTTAATTACTTCCTAAAGGACCCATCTCTAAATACAGTCACATTGGGGGTTGGGTTTTCAGTGTATGAGTTTGGAAGGGAGCACAGTTCAGTCCACAGCAGTTTCTTAAGCAGACCCTCTTTTGCCCCCACTGTGACAGGTACCTGGTCCTGCCCATTCCTAAGCCTTTGGGGGTTCTCTGTGGGGAAGTAGGTTGCTGGTTGGCTGCCCACCCTTGCTAGCTTTGAGTTCAGCTTGTCTGGGGCAGATGAGACTGTACCTCCCCTTTTCCTATTTTCCAGTTTGAAGTTGTATGGAGGTTGTTTTTCTTCCATCCTCTCTGTCCTCAGGAGTTTTAGCAGAACATGGAGGCAAACTCAATACTTTCCCTGGAAAGATGCTGATAGAGCTTCCTGCCAACAAGGATGTTTATGTTGCCAACAAGTGCCATCATAAGCATCACGTGCCGCATCATGATGAGTGGGTCAGGGATGGACTGCACGTATGATGATGGTCCCATAAGGTTATGACACTGTATTTTTAATATACCTTTTCTCTGTTTAGAGATGTTTACGTTCACAAATACTTACCATTGTATAATAGTTGCCTACGATATTCAGTACAGTAGCCTGTCATGCAGGTTTGCAGCCTAGGAGCAATGGGCTGTACCATGTAGCCTAAGTGTGTAGTGGGCTGTACCATCTGGGCTTATGTAAGTGCACTCTACGATGCTCGCACAATGATGAAATTGCCTAACAGCATAGTTCTTAGAACGTATCCCATCGTTAAGCAACACCTGTGTTTGTTGAATCAATGGTTGAAGCCTCACATTTCCTATGGCATTTCATCCACCTCATCCTTTAACCTTCCTCTCCCGGGTGATGAAGCATCTCTCCTTCTTTCCAAGGACACGCGCCCCTGCCCCCAGAATACTGGTTGGGTCCAGCTCAGTCCTCTGGACCCCTGTTCCACTGGCCGCCTCCCTTCTCCTTGACTCGTCCCCAGCTTCTAATTCTTTCCTCTAATTCTTTCCTCCTCCCATCAAGTGTGCTTGGCTCTTCCCCTCCTGACACCGCCCCCTCAGGTGGGTTTCCCGGTGCCTTTCTCCTCCCCCACCACCTGTTTCCTGGCCAGCTCTAGCCCTAAGGCCCTGCCCTTGCTCATGGGGTGTGCCTCCCATGCTGTATGGCATCCTCACTGCCAAGGCCATGCCCTCCCCCTGCACTCACTTCCTGATTCCTACACCCCACCACTCCTGCCCTCTAGACCCCAGATCCTCTCTTGGCTTCTTCTGCATCCGCAGTGTGGTCTGGCGGGCCAGTTCCCCACCCCACAGCTGGGAGGATGGCTGCCAGCCCAACCCAGGCTCACACCACCTCACCTGGAACAGGTCCCACTAGTTTGTCTTCATGCTTCGTGTCCCCTGGCCCAGGTATGTGCACTTCCCATCAGTCTTCCTGAAGCACAGTCCTAATTCTGTGGCTTCCAAGGGGCTCCCATTGCCCATAGACTAAGCCCAGCCTGTTAGTATGGGGTCCCAGGTTCACTGCAATGGGGCCAGATGCCTTCAGTCTGAGCTCCCTGTCCCCTCTTTGACATTAACAGAGCTGGATGTCTCATCAGTTTCCAGACATACTGAGTATGCATTTCTAGCCTCTTTCCCGCCTCCTCTCCATACCTCTCATCTCCCAGACTCCTTGAGGCTGGAGGTATGCTCCCCCGCTTTTGACTTCTGGACTCCTCAGTCCGCCTCAGACCCTGGGGTTTCACTAATCCCCATGTGTCTGTCGGTCCCAAACCCAAGCAACAAATACTTTCCAAATATGCCTTGCAGGGCAAGCACGGCTAAACCCGGGTCTGCACCTACAGCAGGAGGCCCGCAGCCCCACCCTATCGTAGGGCACTGTTATCCTACCTGTCCCCAGCCAGGGTGTCAGCTTGCATGCTTGGGTAGAATCTGCCCTTTCCCCTCTCCTTCCTTCCCCAACCCCTCCACCCCCACCACCTCTCTCTTATTCCATCTTCCATTGAAGAGGTGGCTGCTCAAAGTAGAAAAGTGAGGGTTTGGGCCTGACAGGACTGGGTTTAAATCCCAGCTCTACCATTTACCAACGTTGTGACCTCAGGCCAGGCCCCTGAGCCTCTGGTCCTAGGGAGTTTCCTTACATGCAAGGTGCAGGCAGTACCAGCTAGGCTTGCAGCAGAGACTGGAGCCAGCGCCTGATGGTGACTGGGGGCCTGTGTGAGTGTGACCTGCGGCGTGTTTGCTCCCCTCTGAGCTGTGAGACCCTCGGGTGTGGGATGGTGCATTGTTCCCCATTGTGTCTCCTGTTCCTGGCACAACAGGGCACTCAGTGTGGCGAAATGTGTGAGCCCAGGGTCAGTTCTCAGCAATTGTCTGTGATGAAGAACCGGTGACCAAGCCTGTGAGGGAGATAGGGGAGCAACTTCTTATTGAGTTGACTTCCAGAAGGATGCTGAGGACCTTTGCCCTACTCTCTGGTATAGCTGGAGTCCTGGGACCATGGCAAAAATATGAGCAAGAGTTACCGGACCCCCCATTAATTAGGAAGAAGTACAGCATCTCTAGAACACCAGGATGGAAAAGCCTGTGAAGGAGATGATGGGAGGGGAGTAGGCAAGCCTCAGTAGTGAGACTTTTCCTGGACTTTCCTGATACAAATCCAGGTTTCTGGCCATTTCTTTTTATTTCTTGTAACTTCGATATTGTAAGGCAGCTTATGATAGCATTTGAAGCATAACCTGTATCAATCTAGACAATCTTCTTTCAATGCACACTATGGAAAGACTCTAAATCGTTTATATATATATATATTTTTATTATACTTTAAGTTCTAGGGTACATGTGCACAACATGAAGGTTTATTACATATGTATACATGTGCCATGTTGGTGTGCTGCATTCATTAACTCATCATTTACATTAGGTATAGCTCCTAATGCTATCCCTCCCCCCTCCCCCCACCCACAACAGGCCCTGGTGTGTGATGTTCCCCTTCCTGTGTCCAAGTGTTCTCATTGTTCAATTCCCACCTATGAGAGAGAACATGCGGTGTCTGGTTTTTTGTCCTTGCAATAGTTTGCTGAGAATGATGGTTTCCAGCTTCATCCATGTCCCTACAAAGGACATGAACTCATCATTTTTTATGGCTGCATAGTATTCCATGGTGTATATGTGCCACATTTTCTTAATCCAGTCTATCATTGATGGACATTTGGGTTGGTTCTTTCTTTATTAACTAGGATGGCCATACAATTTATCATCCAAACTAGAATACTTTCCAGAGTTAAAGGGGTACTTTTTTTTTTTTTTTTTGAGACAGAGTCTTGCTCTGTCACCCAGGCTGGAGTGCAGTGGTGTGATCTCAGCTCACTGCAACCTCCACCTCCTGGGTTCAAGCAATTCTCCTGCCTCAGCCTCCTGAGTAGCTGGGACAACAGGTGTGGGCCTCCATGCCCGGCTAATTTTTGCATTTTTAGTAAAGAAGGGGTTTCACCACATTGGCCAGGATGGTCTCGATCTCCTGACCTCGTGATCTGCCCTCCTCGGCCTCCCAAAGTGCTGGGATTATAGGCGTGAGCCACCACGTCTGGCCCCAAAGGGGTACTATTAATGAGCACCCAGGACAAAGGCCTAAACCTGGCTGTCCCAGGCCTTCTGGGATGAGTGGTTGCCCTAATATTAGCTTATTTGCTCTGTGGTTAGTCTGTGGCATGCCAGGAACGGCCATAAAACCTTACAGGCAACGCGATGGAGTGAATGAACAAAATGCCCTGGAAATCCTGTTGATTGGTGGAGATGCTACGGTTGGAAATTCATTTGCAATCTACTGCGGTGCCCGCACTATTGCATGAATTAGAGACAATCACAACATCAAGTTTCCTAAATGTAAGGACTTTTTCTTGTCTTCTTTTTTTTTTTGAGATAGGATCTTGCTCTGTCGCCCAGGCTGGAGTGCAGTGGCACGATCACGGCTCACTGTAGCCTTGACCACCCAGGCTCAAGCAATCTTCCCACCTTTCAGTCCCCTGAGTAGCTGGGACCACAGGCACATGCTACCACGCTTGGCTAATTTTTGTGTTTTGTATAGAAACAAGGTTTCACCATGTTGCCCAGGCTGGTCTCAAACTCCTGGACTCAAGGGATCTGCCCACCTTGGCCTCCTCAAGTGCTGGGATAACAGGTGTAAGCCACTGTGCCTGGCCTGCAAGGACATTTTAAAAAGAATTAGCCAAGCAAATATTGCTTTTAATTTCCCACTTCAGATACTTCAAAATATGTAAATTCTTTTGATGGAGTCCAATCATTAGGAATACTTTTGGGTAAATAGCCTACTGGGTTTCTTAGATAATAGAGTTGTCATATCCATTTGGACTATCAACAGATTATCTGTGGAAGGGTCTGAAGTTCATGATTCTGCAGTGTTGACATTGTGTAATAGGATAATGAAGCTGGAGAGGCCCTTGATAAGGCCGTCTTTATCACACAGTGTTGTTTCTCGGCCAGTGCCTCTCCCCCATTCCAGCCCATCCAGGCCGGATGACACACGGGAAAACAAGGAGCTGGCTTCACCAGGCTGACAAGGTCTCACCTTCATAAGATAAGCTGTAGAACTGCATCCCTGTGTGAGGCTCCCAGCCAGGGGCATGGCCAAGGAGCTCACAGACTGAGTGGAAAGACATTTCCAACAGCAGGAATCTCACAACCAAAGCCCCAGGGGCAGACTATTGTGGGGTGTTTGGGAAATGGAAAAGCAGAGGGATTGACAGGGGCCAAAGAACTGGAAGAACTAGAGGAGCCATGAAGGACCCTGAAAGCCAGTCTGCATGGTTAGGACTTCGCTATGTAGGCTTCTTTTTTTTTTCTTTTTCTTTTCTTTTTTTTCAAATGGAGTTTCACTCTTGTTGCCCCGTCTGGAGTGCAATGGCATGATCTCGGCTCACTGCAACCTCCACCTCCCAGGTTCAAGCAATTCTCCTGCCTCAGTCTCCCCAGTAGCTGGGATTACAGACACACGCCACCATGACTGGCTATTTTTTGTATTTTTAGTAGAGATGGGGTTTCACCATGTTGGCCAGGCTGGTCTCGAACTCCTGACCTCAGGTGATCCACCTGCCTTGGCCTCCCAAAGTGTTGGGATTACAGGCGTTAGCCACCGCGCCCAGCCTCCTTTTTCTCTAATAAGGAGAATAATCTTAACACTGGAAGGGATAGAAGAAACATCCCTGGGGAGAAATTGCCAAGAGCCTAAGAAAGGCAAGAGATGGCAAGAGACTGTTCAGTTACTGTGAATACATTCTCCAGGCCTCAGTAAGCCAGCTCTAATTTTGCCAGATGGGAGTCGCAGAAAACTGGGAAGGGATAAAAGGTCATAAGTTTCCAAAAAGCAGAAAAAGTTGGATTCTGGAAAATACAGATGATACGTTTGATATTAATATCGGTTCTGAGCAAAAATTTTCACAGATCTTTGAAGAGCTAGCATGTAAACACTTGGAAGGAAAAGTGGCGCCTAAGAGCCAAACCAACCTCGTTCCCTGTTTTTCTGTGTTACCAGACCGAATTTACAAAGCAACGGAGAGGCTCCTTCACAAAATCCTGTGGACAATGAAGAAGAAAATAGGCTGGGTGAACGAACGGTTGGGGTGATTTCATTTTTAGTTAGGCAGGTATTTCCAAAGCACTGAGAAACACATCAATAGAGATGTGGCTGGGGAGGCATCCAGTGCCATACAGAGGACTCTGCACCCCTCCCGCAGCGCTAACCTGATGATCAATTACAAGGACGAAGGAGACATTGAAGGGTGCATTATGGCACATTCACGGCTAGTTCACGGAAGTTCAACATGGAGCCTACAGTCCACACCCTGGCTGCTCAAAAAAAAAAAAAAAAAAAAAATCAACACACGCTTCAGTTGCATCAATAGAATCATAATATTCAGGTTACTAAAGGGAGATGCCACCCAGGTGAAAGTGCTCTGAGGTTACTGTATGCAGTTCTGAGTACCTGAATCTTCAGGATTCAGGATAAAAGGATCTGGTTGGGTGGAATGGACATCTCTCCAGACAAGGGGTCTAGCAACAATGTCACATGATGGGCAGGGAGGAAATGGAGAATGTTACCCTGGAGAAGATGTGTGTTCTCTTCCAGGCATTTGAAAACCTATCATGTGTAATGGGCAACCACTTTTGTCCAGAGTTCATTCATTCACTCAGCATTTACTCACTGCCAACTACGTTCAACCTTGTGTCAAGCATGATGGGCATTAGGGGTATATCATCTCCCAGGAGAGACAGACTTGTACACAAGTTCCCACAAGGCAAAGCAGACTGGCACAAGGGCAGATGTGCTCATGACTGCAGAGGCCCTGTTGATGGGGCAGCTCCTACCCTGGCGGGCAGGGGAGGCGGACACTGAGGACTAGGGCACAGCACTGGCCAAAGTTCAAAGCCTTCAAGTGCACGGCACGTCTGAGAGTCGCGAAGAGGAGCTTTCGGATAGCACAGTGGGGCAGGGGTGTGTTGAATGCCAAAGATGGCATTTGCAGCAGGAGTGCAGACTGACTTGAAGTTCGTGCCAAGATGTTTGCACTTAATATGGTAGGCAGCAGAGAATGAAAGGACATCAGTTAGCACCTCTTTGGGTAAGTTAACCCTGGAGTAATGAAGCAGGGCTGGGTAAACCAGGACACAGGCTACTGTTGCAATGTTCCAGAGGAGACAGAAGCCAGAACCAGGACAGAGGGAGATGAAATTGACCAGACAAAAGTAGGATTGGTGAAGAATGCTTTGGCAAGGGCAATTTAGGATAAAAATAAACAACAATCTTTTTAATAATTGGAGTGCTTCAGATCTGAAAGGGGCAGAGTGACCATTTGTCAGGGATGTTGTAGAAGGGACAGCTGCATCAGCAAGTGGGTTGGAGGCCGCAGAGTTGAATGTTCCCTTATGGTTGTTAGACTCAGTGATTACCTCTTATTTTGTAGAGTAACAATTTTATCATGAGAAGCTATATTTTATATTTTAATATGAGTAGTGAATGGTGCTGCATCTGTGGAATAGTCAATTCTTGACTCTGAGATTCTTTTTTTTTTTTTTTTTTTTTGAGACAGAGTCTCACTCTTGTTGTCCAGGCTGGATTGCGGTGGGCACGATCTTGGCTCGGCTCACTGCAACCTCTGCCTCCCCAGTTCAAGCGATTCTCCTGCCTCAGCCTCCCTAGTAACTGGGATTATATCCACCTGCCACCATGCCTGTCTAATTTTTGTATTTTTAGTAGAGATGAGGTTTCACCATGTTGGCCAGGCTGGTCTCGAACCCCTGACCTCAGGTGATCTGCCTGGCTTGGCCTCCCAAAGTGCTGGTATTCCAGGCGTGAGCCACCACACCCAGATTGACTCTGAGATTCTATACTAACTGTATTGATCTGCTCGGACTCCCTTAAGAATGTGCCACCAACTGGAGGCCTGAAACAACAGGAATTAATTTTCTCATAGTTCTGGAGGTCAGAAGTCCAAAACCCAGGTGTGGGCAGGGCTGGATCCTTCTGTGGCCCCTCTCCTTGGCTTGCAGGTGGCCATCTCCTCCCTGTGTCTTCACTTTATCTTCCCTCTGTGTGCATCTGTGTCCAAATTTCCCCTTCTTATAAGGACACCAGTCATATTGGATTCGGGCCCAGCCTAATGCCCTCATTTTAACTTGATTACATCTGTAAAGGCCCCATCTTCAAGTAAGGTCACATTCTGAGGTCCTGGGCATTAGGACTTCAACAGATGAATTTTTGCAGGGACACAGTTAAGCCCATGACATTAACTGAAGGTCAACTTTTCTCTGCTCTTAGAGTAAAATCAGAAGCCCCTGACAGGCTGTCCAAGGCCCGCTGCAAGCAGGGCCTCCCCATCTCCTACCCTAGCTTGCCTGATGTGGCTGCCCCTTGCTCTACCCACGGCTGTTCTGGTAGCTTCTTTTCCTCCTTATTCCAGTCCAGACCCTCAGAAATAATCTGAAATCCTTCCACCTAGCTTTGTTCCTTGGCGCTTATCATTTGTATTTATACAACTATCTGTACAATTATTATATGTCCAAATGTCTCTTAGATTGTGACCGTGACCCACAACAAGAAATGCCTTGTATTATACATCGCAACTCAGCACATGTAGGTACATTGTAAGTAAATACCAATGTTTCCAGCACAAATACTCGTTCTTACTATGCTCAGTGCAGTCCAAAATTGTCTATTCCATTTCATGTTAAAAACTGTGTTAGAATATACACAACAGCCAGGCATGGTGGTGTGTGTCTGTAGTTTCAGCTGCTTGGGAGGCTGAGGAGGGAGGATCGTTTGAGCCCAGGAGTTGGAGGCTCTAGTGTGCTCTGATTGCACTTGTGAATAGCCACTGCACTCCAACCTGGGCAACACATGGAGACTGTAAAATATCTCCCTAATATGTGTGTGTGTGTGTGTGTATGTGTACACACACGACATAAAAGTTACCATTGTAACCATCTTTAAGTGCCCAGTTATAAAGCATGAGGAGATTCACATTGTTCTGCTACCCACACCACCATTCATCTGCAGAACTTTCTCATCATTCCAAAGGGAAACTTTGCGCCCATTAAGCACTCACTTACTATTCCTTCCTCTCCCCAGCCCTTGGCAACCACCATTCCACTCTCTGTCTCTATGAATTTGACAACCCTAGGCACTTCGTGTAAGTGGAGTCATAGACTATTTGCGCTTTTGGGGACTGGTTTATTTCACGCTGCATAATGTCTTGATACATGCTGATAGCATGTATCAGAATTCCCTTCCTTTTTAGGATGAAATAAGATTCCACCCTATGGATGGACCACATTTTGTTTAACCATTCATCCATCGGTAGATACTCAGGTTGCTCCCACCCCTCGGCTATTGTGAATAATGCTGCTATGAACATGGGTGTATGAATATCTGTCCAAGTCCCTGCTTTCAACAATTTTGAGTACCCAGAAGTGGAATTTTCTATTTCTTTCTTTCTTTTTATTCATTTATTTATTTTTTTTGAGACAGCATCTTGCTCCATTGTCCAGGATAGAGTGCAGTGGCACGATCTCGGCTCATTGCAACCTCCACCTCCTGGGTTCAAGTGACTCTCATGCCTCAGCCTCCTGAGTAGCTGGGACTACAAGTGCTCACCTCTACGCCCAGCTAATTTTTGTATTTTTAGTAGAGATGGGGTTTCACCATGTTGGCCAGGCTGGTTTCGAACTCCTGACCTCAGGTGATCCACCCACCTCGGCTTCCCAAAGTGCTGGGATTACAGGCGTAAGCCACCATGCCTGGCCTCTATTTCATTTTAAACCTTGCCAATGATGACTCTTTAATTGACTTCACGGCTACCTGCAGTTCGGAAAGCACTGTGTTCTATGTGCTACATTCCCAGCCCCAAGCATAGGGCCTGGCACTGTGTAACTATTTTTGGTAGAGTGTTGGATTAAACAATAGATGCACAAGGCTGCACATTTCTGGGTGATTTTTAAAAATTGCCTTTCTATGAATAAAGGCTACAGAGCTTTCACTTTCCTTTCTCTTTTTCACACGTTGTACAAATGCTGCTATTAATTCCACTGAACACTGTGGTTATATTGTCCTACAGAGTACACATCATTTATTACAATGACAACATTTTTGGTGCTCAGGATATAAATTAACTCACAATGGCGTGGAATATCAGTCTGTTAAAATGTTTAGCAAAAACATCACACATTATTAATTTTCAGAGATTTTTCTTGAACTTTCCCCAAAGATCTTTTTTAATGCTGTGTAGATTATACCTAAGTGACTTAACATGCATATCATTGTAATTATTCTAAATTTAGCTTTTTTTTAGAGTAAGATTTTACCACTGTGGGAAAAACATAGCTGTTTAATACTCTAGGTTAAGAGAGCAATGATCTTCTTTATCATCTCAAAAGAAAGTGGACTGAGTTCTTAATTGTCTTATTTGTAACTTTAGTGGAAATAATATCTTCTAAGAAAATCTCCAGCTCAATTTGGCAGCTGAAGTTTTAAATATATGTCTCCTTTCCCATGTCTAAATTGTGGCCACCAAATATCATAACATTAAACATAAGGAATGCTAACATTCTTTTTTTCTTTTTAAGATCGGGTCTCACTCTGTTGCCCAGGCTGGAGTTGAGCATTGCCCCAGCTGCACTGTATGGAATGCAGTGGTGCAATCATAGCTCACTGCAGCCTCAACCTCCTGGGCCCAAGTCGTCCTCGCACCTCAGCCTCCCAAATAACTAGGACTACAGGCACACACCACCACACCCGGCTTTAAAGAAAACCATCTTCTAATTATTCATGATTATTACTTCCTTTTCAAGTTCAGAAATACCACACCTCAGCTTTTTATGCCAATCATCCAACATATCCTGAAGTATAAAACTGCAAAGTGGAATAGAGAGAGCATGAACACTGGAATAGACAGATGGGAAATGAGGAAGATGAAATGTGCATCTGGGTGTTAAGTCTCACCCTTTGAAAGCCGCTTCTCCATAGCACCTGCCTGCTGCCTTAGAGAGGCAGAGAACCCACCTGTGCCAGGCGGGCGCAAGAGGACACTTTACCTGGCCCTCTGCCAACTTTGGCCCCTCCCCCCATTTCCTTTCCCTGCCAAAGTTTTCTTTTTTTCTTTTCCTTTTTTTTTGTGACAGGGTCTTACTCTGTCATCTAGGCTGGAGTGCAGTGGTGTGATCTTGGCTCACTGCAACCTCTACCTCCTGGGCTCAGGTGATTCTCCCACCTCAGCTTCCCAAATAGCTAGGACTATAGGTGCACACCACCATGTCTGGCTAATTTTTTGTATTTTTTTTGGTAGAGACGGGGTTTCCCATGTTGCCCAGGCTGGTCTTGAACTCCTGAATTCAGGCAATCTGCCCACCTCGGCCTCCCAAAATGCTAGAATTACAGGCATAAGCCCCGCCCTCGGCCTCCCTGCCAAAGTGTTCTAACGTGCATGTACCTGCCCTCTCCCTTTGATATCCAGCAACCTATTGCATCACCAGGGTGCTCCAGGTCACCTGGGAGCCCTCTGCCACCAGACAGAAGAGCCTCACCCCAGCCTCATCCTCCTTGACTCTTCCTGCAGAGAACTCTACGCAAATGCCCACTGGAAGCTTTCTGTGCTCTTAGCTTAGAGAGACAATGTCCTCTGCTGATTCTCCTGCCTCTCTGACCATTCCTTCGGAATGTCCTTCTCTCTCCTTTGTCAAGGCTGTACCCCAGCCCCTGTCCGATTTTCTATTCTCTTCTTTAGAGACTTCATCTACAACCCCTTTGCTGACAACTCCCAAATCTCAATTCTTTCTCTCCAGTTGCTACAGGGCACTTCTAATTGGAGGTTGTGCTGTCCCCGCTTGACCTTCCTGTCTTTCCAGCTGTATGGTCCTATAGCAACTTCCCTCTGGCCGGCCCTTGGTGCCTCATTTCTGGAGCACTGCAGACATCCTGGGCTGTTCCAGCAACAGGCCGCGGCCCCTGCAGCCCAGTCGGCAGGCAGACCCAGCTCCCTAACACAGCTCTCAACAGTGGCCTGCCTGCGTGAACCCTCCAAGCGTTCCTCCATCTCCCCCCAAGTCTGGTTCAGGCTCCTCTGCAGCTCTTGGGGCCTCTCTTACCTGGCCCCTTGCCCTCAGTCCAGTCTTATTTCCCACTTGTCTGCACAATGTCTGCAGGCACCGTTCCTTCTTTCCTCACTAGCAGTGTCCTGCCCACTGTCCTCCATCCACCAAGTCACAGTCAAACCCGCAGCACCTGTGGCCCTTCAGCCTTCACTCACAATGTATCTTCCCAATTAACAATCCTGCTAGGACAGGAATAAGCTCTTAAACTTCTCCCTCTGCCCACAGCATATAGCACCAGTCCTTACTAACCCATGCACTAACCGTGCCGCACGCAGAGTGACAGAGCCCTGTCCCTCACCTGCCATCTACTGATGTCCAAGCTGGGCTTCTGGAAGGACAGGCCTCTGAGCCCAAGCGAGACCTACGAGTTTTCCTAATTTTAACTTACTCAGTTCTTATTTCACCTACTCTATTCAACCTGCACAAGTTAGTACCTACCATTTCAGATTTTGGCATGGAACTGAATTATGACTGATGCAACAGGAAGTGTAAACGTTCTGCAGTCTCTTTGGGACCAAGCTCATTCTTGGGTTAGATGATCCATTTTATATATTCTAATTTATTGCTTCCCACTCGTTATTTGGCGCATCTTTACTTACTTTACTCCATGGGTATAAAATGCGAACCATTAACAGCATTTATACGTGTATGGCCTGGAAAAGTTACAAACTCATAGATCTATGTGTTTCTCCGACTGCGCTATTTTCTCCTAACTCTTGGTGTCTTTCTGATGTAGAATAAATACTGATTTCCTTAGTCCTGTAGCAAGTTAACAAGCCTGTAACGTGACAGATCTGTATCCCAGGGGCTGATCATAGAGAAACCACAAAGCGATGTTTTAGCTGCGTCGAGTCCTCAACACGGGGGACTTCCAGCCTGGTACCAGGATAGCCTCTCTGGCCCAGTGTGAGCGAAGGTTCGAGCTGACTTGCCAGTCCCGTGCTAAGTCTCACTGAGGCAGGGCCTTGCTGCCGCGGAAAAACGTGTGGACAGAGGAACGCGCCGGTCGGATGTGGGCCACAGTGAGCCGCGGCGTGGAAACGGCCGAAATGTGCGGGCGCGTTGTCCATGTTTGGTCGTGGAGCTGCCCGCGGGCGCGGGAACAGCGCGTCGGGGGCGGGTGGGCTTGGGTGTCCGTGGCGGAGGTTACCCCGGGCCCCACGCGCCCGCTCTCTCCCGGCCTTGGTCTTTGTCCCCGCGCCCCCGCAAGGGCCGCCCGCCGCGCCCCGCAGCCCCTGAGCCCCCGTGCGCGGAGGCGGGGCCTGGCCAAGGGGACAGCGGGCGGCAGACGCGCCCCTGCGGCTCCCAGGCCGCCCGGGCCGCGCTCCCCGCGGGGAAAGAGGCCGCAGGCGCGGGGAGGCTCGGCCCCGCCCCGCCACGTCCCCCTCCCGGCCCGGGCCCCGCGGCCGCCGAGGCCGCCCCCTCGCGGGCGGAGCGGGCGCTGGGCTCGCGCGGCTGCGGCGGCGGCGGCGGGCCCGGGGTTGCCATGGTAACCGGCAGCAGCAGCCGCCACAGCAGGGCCGGCCCCAGCGCCAGCGCCGGTCGCGGTCGGGCTCAGCTCAGTGTGTGGTGAGCGGCGGCGGCGCGGCCGGGCCGGGGAGCGGGCGCGGCCCGGCGGCCTCAGCATGGAGGACGGCTTCTCCAGCTACAGCAGCCTGTACGACACGTCCTCGCTGCTCCAGTTCTGCAACGGTGAGGGGCGGCCGCGCGGGGCCGGGGCGGCGAGCGGCTGGTGGCGGGCGGCGGCGACGGCGACGGCGGGGACCAAGCCGAGGGGCCGAGGCCCGGCGGCCGCGGGCGAGGCCGCGCAAAGTTGTTGCGGAGGGGCGCGCGGTCCCCGTTCCCGCCGCCGGCGCATTGTGTTGGAGCCGCGGGGCCGCGCCTCGCTCCGGGCCGCCCCGGGCTCCCCGCCGCCACCCCGGCTCCCGGCACTGGCGCGCGGACCCCGCCGGCTCCAGCACCCGCGGAGCGCGCCCGGGCGGAGGCGCGTGGGGCACAGGGCGGCGGGGAGGCCCGGGCAGCCTCCGCGTTCCGGGGAACGTGTTGCTTTTTTGCTTCCCGACCCACATCTGTTTGGAAATGACTGGATGAAGAACTCGGGAAACAAATCCTTTAATAACAAAACCCTCCTGCGAGGATGCACGCAGTGTTTGGACCCCCAGAACCCATTCAGGTCTACTTTAATGAAATCATCACAATTTAATACAATCTAGAGCTTTTTAAATGGAAAGCCAAAGTGGACCTGGCCTCAGTGTTGCTTCTTATTTTGTTTATGGGATAATGGATTCTTTTTTCTTTTTTTGTTTTTGCAATTTTACAGGAAGGAAACATTCATATCCACCAATATGGCATCTTTTTAAAAATATGAAATCCTACATGCTTGAAAGATTTCAGTCTCATTGGCAGGGTTGAAAAAGATTTTCATAGCACACTGAATATTTTATCAGAACATGATGTGTGATAATTCACGCACAAAAGTTAACCACACTTTTTTTTTTTTTTACATGTTGGATTTATTGCTCCATCAAAGGGCCCCAAAAGTTTGTTAATGGGAAAAAAAAATGTGTATTTGATAGAATTTGCTTAAGTGCAGTCGGAATAATTTTGAATTCTAGACCCTTTGACAACTGGAGCAATTTATTTTGCTATTGTATTGTGATTTAGGGAAAGTTTTCTTGTTATTCGACACCTGTTTGTCACTGTAGCAGTAAAGAGTAATGAGTGTGTTGATTCATCCTCTGTAGTGGTATTTTTTATCTCTGGTGAAATTTATCATCTTGTTCATGGTAGAATGTATACTCTGATAGCTTTTGCAGCTTATACTTTACATCTGAACCATTTGTGGGCCTTCATGAATTTAGTAATTCCCTCTTCAGTGGAATTAAAGAAAGTTTCTGCTTTTTCTCTGAATTTAACGCCAGTTTCCAAGAGCAGAACACCTGTGTTTTTGAGCCTCAGAAGGTGTTGAGGGCAGGTAGAATGTATTTGGTATGCTGGTGGTCCCTGGAATACTTTATAGTATAGAGTCATGGGAACGGTTTTGCTCTCCAGTAGGTTAAATAGATTCCTCAATTAACATTTTGAATAGGTTCCTTAATTGACTTATAATCAATCATATTTGAATTATTGTTTTTGATCTAAAAAGTAGTTATATGCTTATGGTAGAATTCTCCCTATGCTTAGTTGGAAAGATATGTGGCTGAAATTTGTATTAAATGACTTTGAGGCATCAGGTCTTACAAATTTAATCTGTGGGCGTATTATTGACAGCTTGATTTGCGATATGAAAATGAGCCTAGATATTTTTATTGGAGCAGTTGTTTGGGGCCTGGTCATACTGTTCCTAAATAGCAGTTTAGTCATGAAGTTGACCTACACGTCTGTTCATGAATGTTTTCGTTTTCTGCATTTTCCTTTTAATTGCCAGCCTAGAGATATTGGCATGGTATTTTACTGGTGGTGATGTCCAGAAGAAAGTAAAAACCAACTCTTATATTTTGTAGAAGTATTGGTTTAAAGAAAAACCACCTTAACTAGAATCAAACAATAAGATCACTTTATAACTATTGAATTACTTTTCTCAAAAAGTTCTCAGCTCTGTATTTGTTATTTTTTTTTTAGGTTGTCTAATGAATAAAGTTTAAAGCAAGAGTGGCCTATGGGGCAGAAGTCAATGTTAACTGGTGATGTCTTAGGCAACAGATGTTTTGATGTGAAACATTTTAAGAGGCTTTCATTAAGTGAAGATATAAATGAATACAAGTCAGTTAATTACTATGATGATTCAATTAAAGCAGTGGATCACAGAAATGCCATTTCACTAGGAACTAAATTAAACATTTGGATATTTCATTAGCTACATTGGCAAACAATTTTTTCTTTTTAAATGAGAGACTTACATTACAATGGCAAGACAGCAGCATAATACATGAACTCATACATTTTCATATGTTCAGTATGCGTCATGCTGTTAATAGTGACAGAAACTAAAAAATCATGGTTACAGCTTTAGAAAATATAATTCACACATATTATTTGGATGACTGTCATAGTTAATTTCCTTCTGGTCAAATAAAGACAAGATCAAGATATGCGAAGTTGAGGCGGGAGGATTACTTGCAGCCAAGAGTTTGAGAGCAGCCTGGGCAACATAGCAAGACCCCCCTCTACAAAAAATTTTTAAAAGTTGGCTGGGCATGGTGGCTTGAACCTGTAATCCTAGCTACTCAGGAGGCTGAGATGGGAGGATTGATTGAGCCCAGAAGTTTGAAGCTGCAGTGAGCTATGACTGTGCCACTGTACTACAGCCTGGGTGACAAAGTGAGACCCTGTCTCAGAGAGAGAGAGAGAGAGAGAGAGAGAGAGAGAGAGAGAGAGAGAAGATAATGTGTAAATGAGAAGGGAGAAAGAGAAAAGTTTGTTCTAATGAATGAAATTTCTGTCTTCTCTTATACTTCTTTCTTGGTGTCTCTCCTCATAATTTGTAGTGGACATTAAATGCAAAGTTAGGCAGTATCTAGCCTCCTGAAAAGGCTCATCCTCATCTTTCAGGAACTGTCTTTCTCATTTAAGCAGAAAATGTGTGCATTGTTTTCTTCAGAGTATTTGAAATCTGTAAAGTGAGCTAGAAATCACAAGCTTTTTTTTTTTTTTTTCTTTGAGCCACACCTTGCTCTGTGACCCAGGTTGGAGTGCAGTGGCATGATCACAGCTCACTGCAGACTCAAACTCCTGGGGCTCAAGCAGTCCTACCTCAGTCTCTCAAGTAGCTGGGACTACAGGTGCGTGCTATCATGCCCAGCTCACAAACTTCTTTTAATGCTGGGAAAAAAAAAAAACCTGAAGTGTTTTAAAAAGTGAACAGTAGCTATCCTTTATAAGACAATTTATGATTTGGGAAATAACTCCATATTTTCTTCGAGGCCTCATTTTGAAGTAGGTGGTGTTACCATCCTTCCTTTGTGCCTGAGAAAACGGAGGCTCGAAGAGATTTGGCAACTTTATCAGGCCACAGAACTAGGAAGGGCTTGGATACCAGTCTAAATCTTTGTGTGTGTATGTGTGTGTGTGTGTGTGTGTGTGTGTGAGAGAGTAATAGCTTTATTGAAATATTTACATACCATAAAAATGTGTTTTTAAAGTGTACCATTAAGTGCGTGTAGTATATTCACAGAATTGTCCAGTTGTTACCACTCTCTGATTTTAGAACCTTTGCATTACTCCAGAAGAAACCCTAGTACCTACTAGCAGTCACTCCATGTTCCCCCATCGCCCTCACCCCTGGCAACCATTAATCTACTTTCTGTCTTTATAGATTCTGGGCATTTTATTTAAATGGAATTATAGAATGTTTGGTATTTTGTTCCTGGCTTCTTTCACTTAGCATATGTTTTAAGGTTCATCCATGTTGTAGCCTGTGTCATCATGCCATTCCTTTTTATGGCCAAATTATATTCCCTTGTGGAGAGATACCACACTGTTTAAATCTGTTACTTGTTGATGGGTTATTTGGGTTATTTCCACTTTTTGACTCTTATCAATAATGCTACTATGGGCACTCACATGCACATTTTTGTGTGGACCTATGTTTTCATTTCTCTTGGGCAGATATCTAGGAGCAGAATTGCTAGGTCATATGGTAACTCTGGGCTTAACATTTTTAGGAACCAGTCTTAACTTTTTGAAACCTAAATATTAAGCTTGTTTTATTATACATTTTTGATAAAAGAATAAGTAATTAAGGAAATGGATGAAAGAGGGAAAGAAGTGGGAGCAAGTAACAAAATGTTGCTCATGCATTTCCATGAGTCCTTTGGATCCTTTGATCAATCACAGCTCACCAAAACGAGTCAGTGCACAACTGCACGTGGTTGCCACAGGTTATAAGAATCTCAGTGCCTGAACGGACCTGGCAAGTAATCTCATCTCATGGTTTACTTTCTTAAGCCTTTGAGCTGTTTCTTCAAAGTAAAGGTTACCCAGGAACCCAATGGTAAAGCAGATAGATACAGAGCTGGCATAGCTGACAGGGAGTGGGGAGAGGATGGTGCTTTGGCCCTCCTCTCCTTCCCCCACCCCTCCAGCTTGAAATCTCTGCCCTGTGGGGGAAGCTGGAAAGGCTGTTCAAAGCTAGAAAGGCTGTTCAACCTGTGCATGAGCATTTTCAAGAGACTGGAAAGTAACTACCTCTCCAGGCAATCCATTTTTTCTCCAGACAGTTCAGACTGTCAGTTCCTACAAGCAGTGAAAAATCAGCCGAAGTTGTGTTCCTTGGGTCCGTAGAGAATAGGTTTAATATCTTATCCATATATTAGGTCATCACATGTTTGAAGACAATGATTATAGTTCTTTCTCACATCTTCTAGCTCTTAAGACGTAATTTTAGACCCTTAATCATCCTGGTTGCTTCATCTACACCTGTTTCCTTTTGTCTGTATTTCTTTCTTAACTTGATACAACTGAATGTGGTATTCCAGGCATGTTTTCTACACAAAGAAGATTAGAATTGGATATGTCACCTCCCTTATTCCAAAGTCTATACTTTTTTTTTTTTTTTTTCGAGACAGAGTCTCACTCTGTCGCCCAGGCTGGAGTGCAGTGGTGCAATCTTGCCTCACTAAAACCTCCGCCCCCTAGGTTCAAGCAGTTCTCCTGCCTCAGCCTCCAGAGTAGCTGGAATTACAGGCGTGTGCCACCAGCCTGGCTAATTTTTGTATTTTTAGTAGAAATGGGGTTTCACCATGTTGGCCAGGCTGGTCTCGAAGTCATGACCTCAGGTGATCTACCCTTCTCAGCCTCCCAAAGTGCTAGGATTATAGGCATGAGCCACTGTACCTGGCCTATACTTCTAATAATGCAGCCTAAGGTTATATAGACTCCATTTCTTGTCACATCACATTATTACCTTTTACTGATTTTCAAGTAAAATTCTTGTGTACTTTACATGTACTATGGCTAAATCTTTTCTTAAATTTAATTACCTTTTTTTTTTGAGGGTAAGTTTCCTCGAACAGGCAGAGCCCTATCAGATTACAACACCATTATAATCTGTGTTGTAATGCTATAAATAATCCCAGCACTTACTAAGATATTTCAGCATTATAGTAACATTGAAATTGACCATTGCCTTACAGGGTTGTGATTGTGGTTAATAGCCTTTTTTCTTCTTGCCTTGGAAGGTGTCATGAGAGAATTATCAGATGCCCTCTAAGGCCTGACTGGAGCGTATCTGCCATGTCCCAGATCTGGCCTGGCTTCTTCTCCTGCAGGTGCTACTTGTTAGTAACTACAGCGGGTCGAGTCCATGGGACCTGCCCAGTCAAATTTTGAAATCACTATAATAATCCTTTGAGCGACTGAAGTTTATTTTTTCTAGTTTTGCAATGGAATGTTGTTTTAATTTCTAAACATTTATATTTTGGAAATTAACAATAATTTATTTAATAATCTTAAACATCTTTTGACATCTCTAATACTGATGACATTCTCTTAACTATGATTACAGCAGGATTTTCAAGTTGACACCTCGATGGTTATAAACAAGTAGTTGGATTTAAAAGGAACACCTGTAAGGAAATTATCCAAACTCAACGCTCCGAAGTATTTTCAGGCCTCTTTTGCATTCTCATGCAGTGACAGAAGACTGACTGAGGCATTCTGTGATAGCAAAATCGGAGGAAAACGCTTTCATGGAAAAGTGCAAAGCAAAAGCACCCACGCTAAGCGAGAATTTCTAATTAGTATACTTGGTGCTCCAGCCAGGAAGGAACTTATAGCCAAACCACAACCATTTATCACATTATAAACAAACCCACGCATTTTGGTGGAAAAAAATCACAAAACTGTGCTTAAAAAGTAACCATTAATTGGTTATTGTCCATTTCTGGGATAGTGTAAACCTTTTCACATATTCTCTTAAAAAACATTTTAGTTGAGTGGAGGTTGGATAAGAGAGGAGAAATAACATCTTTGTTTCTAGTGTTACAGCTTGTTCATGCTATAAAACTAGTAGCGTGAAAACCTTCATCATGGATAACATTGAAAACGGAACATGAAAGCATTGCTCTCTCTAGTAAGACAGTCTCTCCAAGGACTTAAAATCAGTGGCATTTTGTACTCCTTACAAAAATTTCTTTCAGGAACAACTATTCATCCTTAAAATTTTATCAAGCTCATTAATAGAGGGTTTCTAGTATTAGCAAAATTTTTAAACACCTTCAGAAGCATTACTAATTACAAACAAAAAGTGTGCTGTAAACTCTAAAAGCTGTATAATTATTATTGATACCACCCGTCACCCCCAGCTTCATGTTTTTCTCACTAGACGTTTGGCACATAGATTTCATTTCTGCTGAAGGCTGCACATTCATTTTAATCTGGCCCAGGACTGGGGGTGTGCGAAGGTGTCAGCAGGAGCAAGTGCATACTCTCTTTGGTTTACTTTTTAAGAAATACCTCTTCAGAAGAGTTTTTCTTTCTTTAAAGGACTTGTTTTTTTTTTAAGTTTAATTAATTATTTATTTTTTATTTAGAGTCAGGGTCTCACTCTGTTGCCCAGGTTGGAGTGCAGTGGTGTGATCATGGCTCACTGACCTCGAACCCTTGGACTCTAGCAATCCTCACACCTCAGCCTCCCGAGTAGCTGGGACTATAGGCATGCGCCACCACACCTGGCTAAATTTTAAAAAAATTTTTTAGAGATGCAGTCTTTCTTTGTTGCTCAGGCTGGTCTTGAACTCTCCTCAAGAGATCCTCCTGCCTTGGCTTCTCAAAATGCTGAGATTAAGCATGAGCCCCTGCACCCAGCTAATTTTTAAGATTCAGTTTAGTTAGATACATTTCCATTTTTGTTTACTCTAAGGTTCTACCTTTACTGGCAAATACTGTTGGCGGGGAAAACCATTTTTTGCAGAGTACTCTCAGTTGTGTGTTAAAATGCAGTCATTTATTTATTCTGCCAGCTTTCTGGAAAATATTTAAACTCTCTATCTTTAATAAACCATCCCCACAGTGTAGGGGCAGGTTCGACCTATAGACTTGGGTGATGCCTGAGGGCACTTACTCCAAGCCCAGGGCCTGCCCGAGGTAGGGAGTCTTACAGGAGACCTTCCCACCTGCCGAGGCCCTGCTGTCAGAGGGAGGGGAAGCAGAGGTGACTGGCCCCCTGAGGCCAGCGGCCAGATCCATGCATTTATCATGGTGTGGTCCAGGACTGGTGGTACCCTTCACTCTGCAAAGCCCCTGTAAGGGAGACCCACCGTCCTGGACTGCAGATTCTTCCCACAAATAACCTTTGAAGGACAATGGGCAGCCCACAGTTAAAGATAACAAGGATAGAAATGGTTAGGCGAATATTCATGGAGAGACTTGAGTCCGTTTGGCAAATCGGGCTGATTTCCAGTGAATACCTACAGTGGGCGTAGGACAATTAAACATGTCAAAAATGTAGTCTCCCCTGTAAACATTAGATTCTCCTAGTAATTGGCCGGGCACGGTGGCTCATGCCTGTAATCCCAGCACTTTGGGAGGCCGAGGTGGGCGGATCATGAGGTCAGGAGATCGAGACCATCCTGGCTAACACGGTGAAACCCCGTCTCTACTAAAAATACCAAAAATTAGCCGGGCGTGGTGGCGGGCGCCTGTAGTCCCAGCTACTCGGGAGGCTGAGGCAGGAGAATGGCGTGAACCCGGGAGGCAGAGCTTGCAGTGAGCCAAGATCGTGCCACTGCACTCCAGCCTGGGCCACAGAGCGAGACTCCGTCTCAAAAAAAAAAAAAAGAAATTCTCCTAGTAATCATTTTAGACTCTTCTACCCACTGCCCCATATCTCAGTTGGCTCAGTGGATTCTGCACCCCAAACGTCTCATCATCCATCCCTTCCTCCCTGGCTCGGGCCCTCATCAGTTCTCATCTAGGCTAGGGTTGGGTTTGGTTTTGGCAGCAGACCTAAAGCAGTCTTCCTAACTCTAGTCTTCCATCCGTTCCTTTAAACAAGCACTCAAGTACTCACAGCGTCCATTATTACACTGTTTTAGGGGTTCCAGCGAAATGCGAGGATGACATGGTCCTTAGCCTTAGGAAGCCTAATTTGTTTCTCAGGAGCTAAACATCCAGTGTTATTTTCACACTCACTTCATGACAACAGTGATAGGTTGTTCTAAGAAGTGTAAGGAACAATGGTAGGGTATTGCAGCACTGGGGGGCATGTATCAGGGCGGGCTTCCTAAGAGAGGCATCCGTGAGAGCGTCTTTCTAGTCTGCTCACTGCAGGCGGGTAGGTGGGAGTGGGGAGAGCCATTCGGGCCAGGGAAGCGTCTAAGAAGCCCTGGGTGGGAAAGAACCTTTAGAGAACTGAAAGAAGGTTGCCTGTGGTGAAAGGGAAAGGAGTAGCGTGGCTTGCAGTAGGACTGGGAGCGTGTTTTGGGGACATGGTAAGGAGTTTGGTCTTCTTCCTAGGAGCAGTGGGAATACAGGGGAGAATTTTGAGGCAAGGGAGCGACTTGTTCACATTTTTTGTTTTAAAAGATCACTCTGCTTCCAGGGGGAGGGCAGGTGGGAAGGGCAGTCCAGGGTGGAGGTAGGAGGGTAGAGGTGGGGGGCCATGGCAGTAACCCAGGGAGAGGCAATGGTGATTCACCCTGGGCGGGGTGTTGGGAGCAAGACGCAGGAGATACTTAGTGGGTAACATCCTGTATTTACATTAAGAGTGGGGAGAGGGCAGAATCAAGGCTGACGCCCAGGTCTCTGATGCCTGCAACTGGAGATGGCAGGACAGGCCAGGGGGCCTGTGCAGAGATGGCAGTCCAGGCCACGGGGGAGGTGGTTTGGGCTTGTGGGGTAGGAGGACATATGGGATACAAGCTGAGGTGCTGAGCAGGCTGTCGGTGAAGGTCTGGAGCCCGGGAGATGGCTGGGCTGGACATAACATTTGCGAGCCATCAGCATCCAGATAGTAATGGGATCCATGGGCACCGATGAGCTCACCCAGGGGAAATTAGACATTTCGAATGTGCCTCCTGCAAGACAGATCCAGGCAAAATGGCCTCCTGTTTAAAAGCTGACAGCAGCCCTCCCTCCCACTTTAGCACCCAGGGCCCCACTTATCTTCATCCCTGAGTGCCCCCAGGTGCCCTTCCTTCGTCGGTGGCTATGTGGTATTTAGTATAAACCTCTGTCATCATGATTATCCCAGAGGCCTGTCACGGAGGTTTATTTTCAGTCTCCCATTAGATATAAGCTCCTCTGGGCAGACTTTCCTGGGATCGTCTCTGTGTCTTTTGCACCTCAGCAGTGCCTGGCACGTGGTGAGTTTCCTGGTGAAAGGTGGTTGAATAGATTCAGGGTCCATCTTATTTATCTTATAGCACCTCCTCAAACACACGCACCAGGCGCCACCAGGCACCATGCCACACATGTGACAGGTGCATGCCAAATAAAGCACGCCCACCGCTTCCCTGTGTGCTTGAAACAACGTGTATCAATGTGTATAGTATATACCACATGTGCATATAACTGTATGTATACCTGCGTATCTACGTGCATTATACACACATGCACACATGTGACATTGAACTCTACCCTTCAGCAAAGAACTGGTAGACTTAGACATTCAGAAGAGAAGGCTTTCCAGACGAGGGACCTTATTGGTAGAACCCAGAAACATATGAATGCAGGCCCAGGAGACTGGCTTAGTACAGAGACAAAACTTGCCACCACAGTTGCTGCTGAATGCCTCTCGCTAGACACCGCTTCACTGGAATCAATAAGTAGAGACGTTTGCAAAAAGCATTTGGTGGTTTCACTGGCTTAAAACAAATTATTTTCAGCCAAAGTAATTGACACAATGAAGTGGTTTTTGGCAACTCCAGCATTTTTAACAGTAAAAAGGATTTGACTTAAATCGCCCCCCAAAAAGTTATGTAACATGAATTTTACCATTCTTAGAAAAATATGTTCCAGTTGAGAAACGATTGAATGGAATTAGGACTCTCTTATACTGCAGCATTACTGTGCACTTTAGCCCCAGCTGTCTTCATCACAAACACTTGAAAATCCTTAGGAATAGAACTTAGTGATGATGCTTTATCTACTATTGAGTCGCTTATGCTTACCAATCCTGTATGCAAAATGTGGCAGCCGCTCCCAGGGGACTGTATGGAGCTATAATAAAGATAATGATCTGTTAGCTCGGCTTCACCGAATTAGTCCTTTAGAAAGTAATTAAGCAGGATTGCCCACACTCCACTGCTCCCAAAGACTGAAATCTGGCTTGGTGTGTCATTTCTTTGCCTTCCTTGAAAATGGCCTTTTATTGAGTTGATATAATTTAATTATATAAAAATACGTGTTCAGATTGCATCTTGTACTTAATTATATCTTACGCCACGGAGTTATTTCCCAGCCAGAGCTTGTGCTGTTAGAAGGTGGGGTCCATGTCTCATTCATGCGTGTATGTGTGTGTTTAGGTGCAGGAGAGGAGGGGAGAGAAATGCTGGCTTTAAAGAGTGCTCACCAAGCATCAGGTGTTGGGCTGAGCATTTTTAATGTATTCTTTTGTTTAATTCTCACAACACCCTTTTGAAGTGGGTCCTATTATTGTCTCCATTTTGACCGACAAG
The DNA here is from genome assembly GCF_000001405.40 of Homo sapiens. Taxonomy (NCBI): domain Eukaryota; kingdom Metazoa; phylum Chordata; class Mammalia; order Primates; family Hominidae; genus Homo; species Homo sapiens. The sequence continues at coordinate 99,804,469 of NC_000014.9, forward strand.
GAAACAGAGGCCCAAAACTTTGAGTAACTTGTTCAAGATTGCCTGGCCAGTGTGTTTCAGAGCTGGGGTTTGAAGCCAAGCATTCTGGCTCCACTGTCCATGGTATACTAAGTACTCAGTTATGCTCGATGAGTGAATGATGGGAAAAAAGATGGGACAGCTATAGACCTGAAAGGGACTTAGGAGATTGTTCTGGTCTGCCCTTGCCTGTAGGAGAGGCCACACATGGTTTACAAGTGCAGAGCAAAGGCCTTTCCCTTGGATTATTGGAGGAGTCTCTGAACAGATTTCCTTGTCTTCACCTGTTTTTCTTCAAATCCTACTTCTTCAGCACTTTTAAAAATGGAAACCTCATTTATCTCTGAATTGCCCAGCATCCCCCGGAAGTTCCCCATGACTCTTGGGGTTCAGGGCCGATTCTGGGAACCACTTGCCACCTGCTTCCCTGACCCTTTCCTCCCAGGGCCCTGGATGCAGCCACCCTGGACTTCTGGTAGCTTCTGAAGGTGCCAGGCTGTTGTGTACAGGATTCCACATGCTGAGCGCCCTTGCCTTCCCTGCAGCGTCCCTTCCTACCCCTTCTTCACGGAGCCGCTCCCTTGTCCTTCAGAACCCTGCTCCCATGCCACGGGAAACCTCAGGGCAGGTAGATGTAGGCGCAGCTCACTGGGTGCCCCTTAGGCCCCAGGCCACGTGTCTCAGGGCATAGCCAGCTCCACTTAACCGACCAGACCAGGAGGACCTGTAGGATGTCATTCTGGCTCATGTGACTCAGTGGGCTCTCAGTACTAGTTTGTTGAACAAAAGAGTTCAGAGTGGAAATATTAAATGGTACTTTGAGTCGTGCCTACTTAGGACATTTTAACTTTTCTCTGTTAGCAGCCCGCACCAACTGCTGTGACTTAGTGTTTGTGAAACTCTTCCGTCTTTCTGTTAACAGTTGTAGTTCTTTCAGTGTTTCATCAGCAGCCATATTCTATTTACTTATTCTCTTTCTTTTCTTCTTCTTCTTTTTTAAATCTTTTGAGGTAGGGCTCAGTCTGTTGCCCAGGCTGGAGCGCAGTGATATGAGCTGGGCTCACTGCAGCCTCGACCTCCCCAGCCCAAGCAGTCCTCTAGCATCAGCCTCCTAAGTAGCTGGGACTATAGGCACATGCCACCGTGCCCAGCTAATTTTTTTATTTTTTTGTGGAAATGGGGTCTCGATTTGTTCCTCAAGCTGGTTTTGAACTCCTGGGCTGAAGTGATCCTCCTGCCTCAACTTCCCAAAGTGTTGGGATTACAGCCATGAGCCACTACACCCAGCCCTAGAACCCTTTTTTTTTCAAAAAAAAATTTAATCATGGTAAAATACATATAAAATTTAGCATCTTACACATTTTTAAGTGTACAGTTCATGGCGCTAAGTACATTCACATTGTTGTGCAGCCATCACTGCCATCCATCTGCAGAACTTTTCATCTTCCCAAACTGAAATCTGTCCCCATTACATAATTCCCCACTCTCCCCCGCCAGCTCCTGGTCCAGCATTCGACTTTCTTGTCTCTGTGCATTTGACTACTTTAGATATCTCATGTAAGTGGAATCACACAATATTTGTCTTTTTAGGAGTGGCTTACTTCAGTTTCAGAATGTTTTTTTGAAAACAATAGTTTCATGAAGTTACAGAATCCTAAACTGAATGTTTAACTAAAAGGTTCAAAGCCCTGGGCAAGAAGTGGGATAATTACCTGCACATTTGAGGCTGTCAGAACGCCTGAAGATGTGTCACCGGATCACACCCACGTGCATTACAAGCAGCCCTGCTCAGCCTCCTGTGTAAAGTTTTGGTATCCGATCTCCAGAATCTTTTTTTTTTTTTTTTTTTTTTTTGAGACATTCTTGTTGCCCAGGCTGGAGTGCAGTGGCGTTAATCTCGGCTCACCGCAACCTCTGCCTCCCGGGTTCAAGCGATTCTCCTACTTCAGCCTCCCGAGTAGCTGGGATTACAGGCATGCTCCACCACACCCAGCTAATTTTGTATTTTTAGTAGAGATGAGGTTTCTCCATGTTGGTCAGGCTGGTCTCGAACTCCCAACCTCAGGTGATCTGCCCACCTTGGCCTCCCAAAATGCTGGGATTATAGGCATGAGCCACTGCGCCTGGCCAGTCTCTGGAATCTCTAATGGAAAGTGTGCTCCTTCCCCCAAGCAAGAGCCAGTACAAGACCACTCTCAAGAAGGGTAGTGCCAAGTATGAGGAGACAGGGCATGGATTCAGAGCTGCCCTTCACACCCAAGCACAGCAACACTGGCTGCTCTGACAAGCCAAGAAGGGTGACAAGTGTCTAAGCTCTTTTAGGAATGGAGAGCTGGGAAAAAATTTAGAGCTGTTTAGAAAAATGATGAGGGGCATATGTTTGCTAAAGAAATTTCATGACATATGCCTTCTGATCGCCAATAACATGCATTCTCTCCCAATTAGCTAAGAATCTAAGAAGAGAAACAGCAGATGCAGGACCCGGGATCTAGGAAGGATCTGGACTGGAGTCTTGGAATATCTCTGAGTTTTTGTTTTTTTTTAAGGATTGCTTTTGTACGTTTGGCACCGTTTGATGCCGTGAACGCCTGATTGGAGCATCTCATTTGCAGGACTGTTTAAAGAGACAAGCAGGCACAGGCTGCACACGTGCAGACGAATAATGAACTCTTGAGAATTAGCACAAAAGATTACGTGCATTCTTTCGTGATCCTCTGTAATCTACCACCAAATTACTTTCCCAGAGTTGGAGTGCATAGGCTTTGGAGACAGACACATCTGGGTTGCAGCCTTGATTCTGCTGTTCAATGAAATGACTGTGTGAACTTGGATAATTACTTATTCTTTCCTGGCCTCAGTTTCCTCAGCTCTAACAAGGAGAGCTGGCTGCAAGGCGATTCTAGAGAGTCCTGGCAGGAAGCAATGGTGCCCTCAATGGCCAATTTAAGGCGATTGTGACAAAGTCACTGTTGTGAAGGTTGGTGCAAGGTATAGGGAGACCACAAGGGCTGGGGTAGTGGCCAGGACTGGTACAGCAGGCACAGTCCCACCCTAGGCCTGAAGGGGCAGAGGGGCAGTTACCAGACCTGGGTTCAGAGAGGGCTGGGTGGACAGAGCCGCCAGACAGGAGCTGTGACAGCAACCCTACCCCAGGAAGAAACCCTGACCTCACTCCCCTCCCTCCTTCCCCTCCACTGCTCCTACCCAAGGGGAAGCCTGTTGATGCAGCCCACGCAGGGGAGAGAGGGTGGAGACGGGGTCTGCAGGGCAGGCTTGAGAGCTCCAGCACAGCGTTGTCTAGAATCAAGATGCTAGGACTTAGTAGTAAGTGTCACCTTAGTGTTGTCTTGATGGTTACAGCTGGGTTGACTTATCCTCATTCCTGATGCCTAGTAGGTATCTCATAAATGTTAGATTTGTGGTCTTACCACACCCCTCTGCTTACTGTGTGCCAAGAGTTTCCAGGACTCTGTGGTCATGCTTTATCAGTCACGAGCCCCTCCTTTTTCCGTATTTAAATACTGTTCATGCCTTAAGACCCGGCCTACAGACTATCCCTGGGGTGAAGTCTTCCCTCATCTGTCCCGGATTACTTGGTCTTTCCTCTGCGTTTCTGAATTATGATACATACCCCTCTGATCACTGCTGGTTTCCCTCTGCCCTGCACCGTGGTCAGCTGTGAGGGCCTTTGTTGCCACCATCAGCTAGTGAGTTCCTTGAGGGCAGGGGCGCTGTGTTGTCTTTTTCTTTCGTTTGCTTCTTTCCCCTGCTCTGCACAGTGCCTCGCAGGGAGTTTGTCTCCAGTACATTCTTGTTGAATGAAAAATCAGATGCTGAAATTATGCAAAGAGCTGTGTTATCTTTAAATTATTATAAGAGACAAGGAGAGAACTTCTGGATCCTGAGAAGCTTTTCAGTAATACCAGAAACATTTCTTCATTGTGTACGGTAATAAAATAACACACAGTCATAGGTGGCAAAGCCTCCTAATTACTGTAGGTTGGAGTCAGAGTGTAAGAACTTCCAGCATTCATGGATCACATATATTATATACGTATTTAGTGAAAAACAATATATATTATTTAATTTTGTTTATTTTTCTATTTTTGTTCAAAATGGTCTCTAAATGCAGGCCAACCACGGTGTGTATTTAACTCCCCAAACAGGAATCTATTCCAGTCTTGGAGGGATTTGCTGAGAGATGATACAGTTTACACAAAACCACGTATGCTCCACACTGTGGACTATCTGGGGAATTTTTCAAGAGTAATTTCAACACACTCTATTTTCCATCCAATTCACTGCCCTTAGAACATAACCCCAATATAAAATGATCTCCTTTCTAATATTTTACAGTTTTTAAAGCACCTTCAGATCTGTTTCTCACTTAATTCTCACAACCAAACTCTAAGGTAAGTAAAATACTACTTTATCATATTTATCTTACATGTAATCAGGGAAGCTGATGGGTGCTGAGTAACTTAGCCAAGGCCAAATAGTTCAGTGAGGACCACATCTCGATCCTAGGTCTCCCGAAAAAAACCCCAGGTTTCTTTGAACTATACCAAGTGGCTTTCTATTTGTTGTCTTCATGTTAGCATCCGTGTTGACCTGGTAATCTATACCTTTATAAAAAGAGAAAATACGCTATAGATAATTGAATTTTTGCAAATTTTGTTATTTTTTTCCCTGCACCTTGAAAATTGTTATGCCCTGCTTTAAGAAACCCCGACATTCTGTAACATTTTCTGAACATTTTCAATTCCCCTATCTGCTTAAATATCATATTTATCAAACTTTGACCTTGTTCTTCAGGCCACATTGTAGGTAAAGTGGCTTGTTTTTTATTTTATTTATTTATTTATTTAATTCCTCTTCTCCCTCAAAGCACAATCTGCTGTATGTTAAAGGGGCGGGGAAGCTGCTGACTTTGCAGTAGCGCATACTTACTCACGCAATTTTCCATTCTGGCTGAAGTAAGGGATGAGACAGCATGCCCAGAAGCTGTGTCCAGCACTTGGACAGGCGCCCTGGTCGGCACCCTGGGAACCTCGGCCGTGCACTGCCAGCTTTCTGGGTCCATCCCAGCCCTGGGTGTATGGCAGATGCCTTGAGATTTAACAGCCCTTGAGTCAGGCCTGCAACGTCTTATCTGCGATTTCAACATCCAGAAAGCTGTGAAACCCAGATGTTTTTTGGTAACTTGTTTGCTAGTTGGATTTGGCCTGATCTGAAATCATTTGATGGGTGGGGAGAACTCCTCTGAATTGAAACATGTGGCTTTTAATCGTTTGTGTTCATTTCTTTTAGTGTGAAAGTTCTGCTTTTCTGTAGAGGTATTTTTGAATGTGACTATGGGTCTTGTCCTAGGCCCTTCTGGGATATTGGCTAATGTATGGTGTATGCCCTGGACTTCCGTTTTAAAGTCTGAATCTGAGTTCAAAAACATTTCAGGCCCCAGGGATTTGAGGAAGGGTTTCCAGACCAGTATAACCAGACAGCCGAGCCGGCCCTGTACCGCGTCTGGTTCCTGGGTGGTTCCTGCTGCAATGCGGCCCAGTCAGGGCACTGCTGCTGACTTGTATCTGCGGACACTCCCCAGTGTTTGAGTGATGTTTACGTGGAAGCCTGGCGTGTAGGAAGCTGGCGCCCCTGGGGGAACTGCAAGGCCATTTTACAGCATTCACCTGTCACCGTGTCCTTCAGAACCAGCCAGATGCTACAGAGCCAGGCTGTACCAGAGTCCAGGCCCATGAAAACAAAGTTCAGGGAGACTCTGTTGACTTTGCTAAATTCATGGGTTCCTTCCTTCCTTCATTTCTTTGTTCAACAGGAATTTATGTATCTGCCATAAGAAGACCTGTGCTTGGCTTGTGAAAAGTAGCAGTGACACTTCACATGAGTGTAACATCTGCGGTTTATGGTTTTGTTGCAGTGTTTCATTTCGTCCTCGCAACCATTCAGTGGACCAGCTGGTGTTGGCCCTTTTCATAGATGAGGAAACTGAGGGCTAAATAGCTTCTCCACATCTGCAGATTCCAATCCTCGTGGCTTTTCCTGTTCTGCGGCTTTCATAGGCCCTCTGCATTATTTGTTAAGACTCAGCTATTTTCTAACCCCAACCCACTTGAAGCAGTGGCTTTTTCAGATACCCGGGACAAATCACGTGACCTTGTGGCTCAGTTTTCTATGCCATAAAGTGGGATTCCTTCCTAATCCTTGCAACTCTTAAGTGAAATAATCTATGTGACTGCTTTGTGAATTGTGAAACTCAATCTGGTGACTATAGTTAATAATAACATATTACATGTTTCAAAATTGCTAAAGGAGTGGATCTTAAATGTTCTCAGCACAAAAAAATGATACATATGTGATGTGATGGGTATGTTAATTAGCTTGATGTAATCATCCACATACATATACATGTATCAAAGCATTGCATTGTACCCCCTAAATATATACAATTATTGTCAGTTAAAGAAAAAACTCTGATCACATGGTAAAGTATTTCTGATTCTTCTTCCTCTTTTCCTACATCCAGATATGTCTGTCTGGGATCCCATATGGTGGTTCTCCCCGTCTCTTATGATGTTCACCTCATACACGGTTGACCCTTGAACAACGCAGGGGTTAGGGGGTGCTGAGCCCTAGCACAGTTAAAAATTCATGTATAATAGGGGTTTTTTTTTTGTTTTTTTGGGTTTTTGTTTTTTGAAACAGGGTCTCGCTCTATCACCCAGGCTAGAGTGCAGTGGTTGATCACAGCTCACTGCAGCCTTGACTCACTGGGCTCAAGTGATCCACCCACGTCGGCCTCCCAAAGTTCTGGGATTACAGGTTCGAGCCACTGTGCCTTGTGTTGAGTGTAACATTTGACTCCTCAAAGTCTTAACTACTAACAGCTTACTATTGACCGGAACCTTACCAATAATACAAGCAGTCGATTAACACATATTTTGTATGTTATATGTATTGTATACTGTATTCTTACAATACAGTGAGCTAGGGAAAGGAAAATGTTACTAAGAAAATCAAGCCGAGTTGGGTGGCTCATGCCTGTAATCCCAACACTTTGGGTGGCCAAGGCGGGAGGATCACTTGACCCTAGGAGTTTTAGATCAGCCTGGGCAACACGATAAAACCCTGTCTCTACCAAAAAAAAAAAAAAAAAAAAATTAGCCAGGCTTTGTGGCACGAACCTATAGTCCCAGCTACTTAAGAGGCTGGGGTGGAGGATTGCTTGAAACTGGAAGGTTGAGGCTGCAGTGAGCCAAGATCACATCCCTGCACTCCAGACTAGGCAACAGGAATGAGACTATGTCTCAAAAAGAGAGAGAGAGAGAGAAAGGAAGGAAAGAAAGAAAATAAAGAAAAATCATAAGGAAGAGAAAATACATGTACTATTCATAAGTGGCAGTGGATCATCACAAAGGTCTTCAACCTCATTGTCTTCACATTGAATAGGCTGAGGAGGAGGAAGGGTTGGTCTTGCTGTCTCAGAGGTGGCACAGGTGGCAGAAAATTCCTGTGTAAGTGGATCTGCGCAGTTGAAACCCACAGTGTTCAAGAGTCACCCGTACTTATTTCTCTACTCTCCTGTCTGACATCTCAAGAGCTAAGCCCCCTTGGTATTCATTCATCTTTGAGAACTCTGCATTGCCTAGTTTAATAGGTGAACAGTACGTGTGTGTTGGAGTTTGTACAGTGGGGAGATGTATTGCTGGTAATTCAGGGGGTTAGGGTTGCTGATGCAGTCAGGGAGGCCTGACTGTGCATGCCCAGCCCCTTCATCACCAGGCGCCATGTGGGTGCCCAACCAAAGACATTCATGAGGCTGTCTCTCTGTGATAACGAAACAGCTGGACATACACTGAGAAAGGAAGTCAGCCAAATGAATATTTTCTAACCTAACTCTAAAAAGGTAGATGCCAGGCAGCATCCAGGTGACGATGCTTTTTTGAGGCTGACATAGTGGTACACAGCATTGAGGTGCTGTCAGATCTCTTCCCTGCCGTCCACCTCCCAGTGACCATTCCTCGGCTGCACAATGCGCCTCCCCACATGCATTGTCCCACGGCCCTCCCTGTACAATCGGCTCTTCACTTTGCCTGGCTCAGAGGTGTCTTCCATACCAAAGAGGCTCAGAGTGTCAGGATTTAGGGGAGGTTGGAAGCAGGTGGGGTAGGGAGGGGAGTCAGCCTTCCTCCTCTGCAGGGTTGCAGAAAGTTTCAGGGGTCAAGGAAATAATAAACACCTTTGAATAGAGGCTCAGAATTGTTTGTTTGGAGTTCCCAGTGACTAGTATCTCAGCTGCCAACAGCTTTGGTGCAATTTACTTTTCTTTAGCTGAACATTCTTACGTGGTTTTAAAAGCAAGTAAACAGATAAAGTGTTTCTAAGTGTAATAATTCTCTTTCCTGATGCATAGCTAACAAGCAGTGAGCAGGCAGAGGGGCCCTAAACCAAAGGCTCTCTCATTTACTCTGTAAAAAATCTGTTCCACACTGCGTAACCTCCACATCCTTCTCCTAAGGCTGAATAAATTGGGTGCCACCCTTTGAAATGTAGTACTCTGTTTGGCCCAGGAACCGTAGTTAGCCGTCTTTCTTGAGGAAAGCTGATTAATCTTGTTTTGCCAAGCAGAAGGATTATGGGTATGGCTGAACCAGTTTTGTACGCTTTGAAATATCAGCCCTGTCAATTTTGTGTTTCTCAGTGAGGGAGGAACAGGGGACGGTCTCACGCAAGAGAAATCCTGGCTTTTGATTTAAGGAAAAAACCCCCAGCCACTTAGCTTTTTTTCTTTTTAATCATTATCTTCAAGACAAAAATTCAAATACCCTAACATGTACAATTATATAGTGTTTTTGTTGTAGAAAATATCATTTGGTAGATTATCAAGACTGACAAAAATAACTATCTTTACCTATTAAAAACGATTGAGATGGCCAGGTGTGGTGGCTCACGCCTGTAATCCCAGCACTGTGGGAGGCCGAGGCAGAAGGATTGCCTGAGCCCAGGAGTTTGAGACCAGCCTAGGTCGCATAGTGAGACCCGGTCTCTATAAAAATTTAGCCAGTTGTGGTGGCGTGTGCCTGTAGTCCCAGTTACTTGGGAGGCTGAGGTGGGAGGATCGCTTGAGCCTGGGAAGATAGTTGCTGCAGTGAGCTACAATCATGCCACAGCTCTCCAGCCTGGGAGGCAGAGCAAGACTCTGTCTTAAAAAAAAAATTTTTTTTTAACTATAGAGATGGAGGAGGACTGGCTATTTTGCAGATCATTATACCAATCCTAATCAATAGCTAGTTATCAACAATTTCATCAACTCAATTGGAATTGAGACTTGAGTTTAGACAAGCTGAATATTTATTTTTATGCTCCAGAAAACCTGACCCAAGAATCCCTTTTACATCTGCCAGGAGGTTGCTGGTGCCTGGGTCAGCTGCCCGGAGCACACTGTGCCTGCGTGGAGACCTTTCTTAGCAGACGAAGGCCAGCAGCATCAGAGCAGTGCAAATTGCAAGCCCAAGATCTAAAACAGATGATGAAGAGCTATGTATTTGTCACTGTATCCTTCCACGGTGTTTTATGCTATTGTAACTTCAAGAGTTGACACAGTTCTTTCCCCAACACTAAAACATGAAAGGGTCAGGTAGAGCTGTTGCCATTTTCATGGAAACCTAGAGTTGTAAAGGACCTCGGAAGATTCAGGACTAGATTTCATCTTAAAAGAGACATTGAAAACCAGTAACTCAAAAGGAAGGTCAAAGGAACTTATTTTATTTTTATTTAAATTTTTTTAGGGACCAGATCTCGCTTTGTCACTCAGGCTGGAGTGCAGTTTCTTGGCATGATCCTGGCTCACTATAATCTCGAACTCCTGGGCTCAAGCAATCCTCACAAGTAGCTAGACTACAAATGTGCCCCACCAAGTCCAGATAATTTTTTTTCTAAATTTTGTAGTGCTGGGATCTTGCTGTGTTGCCCAGACCAGTCTCAAACTCCTGGTCTCAAGTGCTCTTCCTGCCTTGGCCTGCCGAAGTGCTGAGGTTACAGACATGAGCCACTGTGCCTGGCTGGAAAGTATTTTATTGTAAAGCATTTTAAAATTAATAGGTCATGAAACTATAAAACAAAGAATAGATTGCATAATGGATTGTGTGAAAATACAAGTTAAAGCTATTTTACAGAGCAGTTAGAGGCTTGTCTCATACCTCATCTGAGGCTCCAGTGAATCCCACCCCAAATGGACCAGTTAGCATGCAGCCAATAAGACATCTTCCTGGGCCACAGACAGGTCCTCTTGTGCAGGACAGCTGTCATGCACATGGGGCTCAATGGATGTTATTCTTACAGCGACCTCGTGCCAAGCACTATGCTAGCATATATGCTCTTCATTTATTGCAGTAATCCTTGGAGGGTAGGTTGGATTACCTTGGATTTACAGATAGAACAGCTGAGCTCAGAGAGGGAAATGGAATTACTCAGGGTCACACAGCTAGGGAGGGGCAGAGCCAGTATTCAGCCTGGTTTGTGTGATTCCAGAACCTTCCTGTGGAGCCCATACTCGTGGCTTGAGCATTGCCTAGTCATTTTGATATCTGCGAGCTTGAGTTTCCCCTTATGCTAAAACTGGGATCTGTGAGGCTTGGCTTTTTTTTTTTTTTTTTTTTGAGACAGAGTCTCGCTCTGTCGCCCAGGCTGGAGTGCAGTGGCGCGATCTCGGCTCACTGCAAGCTCCACCTCCCGGGTTCACACTTTTCTCCTGCCTCAGCCTTCCAAGTAGCTGGGACTACAGGCACCTGCCACCACTCCCGGCTAATTTTTTGTATTTTTAATAGAGACGGGGTTTCACTGTGTTAGCCAGGATGGTCTCGATCTCCTGACCTTGTGATCTGCTCGCCTCGGCTTCCCAAAGTGCCAAGATTACAGGTGTGAGCCACTGCGCCCTGCTGAGGCTTGGCTTCTAAGAACTGCACACCTTCTAATAGTATAATGATATGCCCCCTTGTTGTGTCATGACTAACATTGATTTATTTTAGAGAAAATTGTAATTGATCTATTTTTCTTCTGCAAACAATGGTTTCTTTTTGACTTTGTTAAAATGAAGATGAATAGCTTTTTATTTTAGAGAGCCAAATTGTAGCAGCTCTTTGTAAATACTTTCTGCATTCTAGAAAAACAACTTTGATTGGATGGCAGAACTGGAGATTAGTAGAATTAGGAAAATTTCTGAGTTACTCTTTGTTGGGTTTTTGTGAGCTAAGGGGATTTTTAGGGTGTTTGTGATGTTTCTTTATGACTTGAAAGGTAAATTGCGTCGGTGACATCAGCCTTGATTCTGTCGTAGAGATGCTTACGAGATGAGCATCTTGTGTCATGCTCAGAGGTAAAGGGCGGCTCCTGGAAGATAGAAATCTGACAGGGGTAAGAATCTGACAGGGGTAAGAATGTGGAGATTCTTGTGAAGCAAGCACTTCAGTTACGGCAGCTGCTGTTGTTCAGAGCACAGATGTTTGCACATTGTTTTACTTTCTAGTCACTGGCTTTCATCAATGGAATCCTTCCTTTTGGAGGATTATTATTGATGTCAAATGTTGTCAGATGAAACTCAAGGCATGGCCTGGGGTACCTCTGTGGTCAGAGAGATCCGACTAGACGTACTTTCACTCATATTTGACTTTATTATTTTTTTTAGACGGAGTCTCACTCTGTCGCCCAGGCTGCAGTGCAGTGACATGATCTTGGCTCACTGCAACCTCCACCTCCTGGGCTCAAGCGATTCTCCTGGCTCAGCCTCCTGAGTAGCTGGGACTACAAACGCCCACTACCATGTCCGACTAATTTTGTATTTTTAGTAGAGATGGGGTTTCACCATGTTGGTAAGGCTGGTCTTGATCTCCTAACCTCAGGTGATTGGCCTGCCTTGGCCTCCCAAAGTTATGGGATTATAGGCGTGAGCCACCGCACCCAGCCCATGTTTGATTTGATTCCCACAACCACAGTCTGTCTGTAGGCAGATAGGCCTCGTGCTACAGATAAGGACATCAGGAGCTTAGAGGCTGGATGGATGCTTCACTCAGCTCGCCTGGTGACAGTGGGATTCCTGGTCCATAGGTCTTCTTCTGACCCACATTGCTTCTTAGTTTGGTCCAACTTTGAAAGTTGCATGTTTCATTTGAAATGAAGAAGGCCTAAGCCAGAATGGTACAGCTGTCACATCCAAGTGTAAGATCCATTTCTAACTGCCAGAGGCATGGCAGATGCCTCAGAGAAGGGAGGAGTCCATTTGGATGGAGCTGTGTGTGGCTGACATCTTCCTACTCCATGTCCTTCACTTTGGCACGTAGGTTAGCAGTTCTCAAGCTTTTTGGTCTGTCTTGCGTTTAAATGGCTGTTCTCCCAGGCTTGATTTTGTAACACCGTGCTTTGATTCCTTGAGAACATTGATTCTCTGAGTTATGCAGACCTTCCAAATGTGACATATTTCATTATACAATATCAAAAAAGCACATGGGTTAATATCAACCCCCAATGTCATCAAAACAGCATGTAGGTGTTGGGGAGCTGTCAGGCTTACAGAGGCTGGTACAAGTTTTCCAAAGTTCTTTCTTTTTTTTCTGGAAAGCTCAAATTTATCCTTGGCAGCAAATGCTGTTGTTTTTCCTGGAGTGACGGGCTTACTACATTCATTTTTTTGAGAAAATGATTATAGAACACTCAGGTGTGAAGAACCCTGGTTTGTCCATCAGTTGTTCTTTCAAGTGAAAATGATGTTCCCTCAGAAGAAGCTCACAGCTTGACTGCACAGTGCTCAGTTTGGCTGGTGTGCAGCAAAAGTGCTTCATAAAGAGACCTGTACTCAAGGGTTGAGCTTTAATAAAATTAATATTGTTTACAGCGTCATCAAAGGCCTTTGTATATGAACTTGGCATCTTTCTTGTAGGTGGCAGTGAAGAAGAGCACAGCGACGTGGTGCCTGTCCCGGCTGGTGCTGAGGCAGCCCAGGTGCCGCCACCATGGCTCCCGCAGCATTAGTGCAGGTGTCACACAACGACAAAGGAAATTAGAGCTTGGCATTGTTAAGGACGTAATTCTGACCTCAGGGACTTCCTGAAGGGGTCTCAGGGACTCAGGGGTCTGTGGACCACACTTTTAGAACTGCTGCTGTTGAGTATTGGAAAGTTCCCCATTCGGCACATTCCTTGAGGGCCGACTCTGTGCCAGGTGTTGTGCTAGGTGCTGGGGATACTCAGATGAACGGCACAGTCCCTGACTGCAAGGAGCTCACGGTCTAATGGAGAAGGGGGTCAAGTAAACAGATGCTTGCAAAACCTTCTCGTAAGTGCCATGATCACAGTAAGCAGAAGGGATGCTCTGCTAGAGTGTAGGTGGAGCCCCCAGCCCAGCTTGGTATTCTGGTGGTGGTGATAAGGGGTGTTTCCTGGAGGAAGTATCACTGAGCTGAGTTTGGAAGGGTAGAAGTAGAAGTAAAGCCAGTTAAAGAAGATGGGGGAGGTGTTCCATGAAGATAGAGTGGCTCGGGAAAAGGCTTGGAAGCAGGCGAAAGTGTGCAGTGTTCAAGAAACCACAAATAGTTCAGTAGGGCTGCAGTACAAGAGTTGGGGGTGGGGGCTCAGGGATAAGAGGGGGCCAAAGAAGTATCTGGAGGCCAGATCCCAAAGACAATGGAGATCCACTACAGGAGTTTAGCAGGGATGTGAGGTGATCAAATCTGCACTTTGGAAGGATCACTCAGACATAAAGAAGAGGAATGGGATGCGGAGTGATGAGAGTGATGGATAAACCAGTTGAGGTTGTTGCCGGAGTCCAGAAAACACCACTTAGGCCCAAACCAAGGAGGTGACAATGGAGGTGAATGTGTGGATATTTAGAAGATATTTAATGTCCTATATCTGCAGATATTCGAATAGGCAGGATTTGATGATTGATTCAATGTAGAGGGCAAAAAATATGGAATCAGTCAAAGATACACCAAGATTTGTAGATTGATGGCTGCACGGTGGTGCTTTCATAGAGGTGAGGGGTGTGGGAAGAGGATTAGAGGCAAGATGACCATGCGAACTTCATGTATCATATTCACACACACGTGTGCATCACTCTATCTTCAGGCAGAAGTGTCCAGAAGGAGTCAGAGCTGGAGCTTGAGAGGGTTCTGGCCTTGAGGTGTCAGCTGAGGAGTCATCAGTGTAGGTCGTGGTTGAGGGCCCCCTTGTTGATGAGATCACCCAGAAGGAGAGTGTGGACTTGCCGACTATAGTCACAGGGCTCAAGTCAGGAGAGAAGTCAAAGCAAGCCACGGGTTTTAGGAGGAGGGAAACCTGAGGCCTGGATCGTCCTGGTCCTTCACGTCTGCAGAGGAGAGCAGAGAAGAATTTTAAATTATTAACTCCTCAACTAAACTACATATCGTCAGAACATGCTTTTCAAATTAATTTAATTGTTGATTTTATTTAGTTTTTTAGAGACAGGGTCTCGCTCTGTCACCCACGCTTCAGTATAGTGGTGCAATCATAGTTTACTGCAGCCTTGAGAAACTCCTGAGCTCAAGTGATCCTCAGCCTCCTGAGTGGCTGGGACTGTAGGCATGCACCACCCTGCTTGGCTAAGTTTTTTAAAAAGTTGTTTTAGAGACAGGGTCTTGCTATGTTGCCCAGATTGGTCTTTGAACTCTTGGCCTCAAGTCATCCTTTCACCTTGGCCTCCCAAGGTGTGGGGACTACAGGCATGAGCCACTGCGCCTGGCCAGAACATGCTTTTAAATGTAACATACTAAACATGATATTTTATGAGAATACAGCCTATATAATATACGATTTTGTTCCTGAGCTCACACAGACTTTAGGTCTGTAAAGGATGGTAAAAATACCAATTACAGTTTATATTTCCTTTTCCCACCAGAACATTTTTATTTTAAAAGTAGGGTGGTTTTTCCTTCCCATCTATGGTTTCATAGTTCTCGGAAATGTTAACCCTTCTTTCTCTATACGAATAAGGTGTCCTGGTAATTTTGCAAGTGATGATTTCCATTATGGTGGGTGGCCACGACGGAAATGATGTTAGAAGTGCCAGCGTGCACGTGAAGTTTAGACAAGATCTGTTCCTTGGCCCTGCGGTGACGGGAAGAGGGGAGATGGAGGTGTTCACTCTCGTCTTAGAGCTTGGTGTCAGGAAGCTCTGTCTGGAGGTTTCCCTCCGTGGTGGGAGGGGTGAAGCAGACATGGGAGGGGGAAAAGGCGGGTCTGCAACAGGAGCCCAGCCTCTCGCACCGAGCATCCCTCAGTGAAGCGCCCAGGCCCACACCACGCAGCCAGCCTCACTGGGCTGGGGGAGGGCTCACGATTACTTTCTGTTTCTCTGCGTTTGAAAATCTTGTGTAATGTGCTTCTGCACTTTTAAAATCAAGAGGAATAAAATAATAACCAAATAAAATGACTCTTAGCCCTGAGCTTGTGACACACAGGCAATTTGCTTATCACCTAGGCCACCAATTAATAGTACTTCCCTATAACTCAGGGCCTGGGGGGTTCCAATGGAAGAGCTGAGCATGTCTGGAGGATGTTCCTGTCTGATACCAGCCATCCTAACTTCCAGAATATAGGCAACTTGGCAGCAAGAGTTTTAAGGTTATTATCAACCTGGTATGTGGTTGTGGAAGTTGATATATCTTTACATATTTTTACTTAAAGCTTTTTAGCTCTACCTATACATGGGAGCAGGGGCTAACACAGTATTTTGTTTTATTGATATATTTTTCGTTTTGTGGTTACTGAAAGTGAATTGTATGGCACGTTGCTCTCACTTGTAATCAGTGACGGTGTAGCCTAAGAAACCTGGTCACTCAACTGCATTGCTCAGCGGAGAGGAAGCTTCTGTACGTCTTGGACCTTACTATTGGTAGCCCGTGCTCAGCAGCTGGCCTCTTGCAAAGGGAGGACTATTGAGGATGAAGAGAAGAATCTTGACATCTCAACCTCTTCTCACCCTGGTTTCTGCATCATAGTTTTACCATTTGGTTAGAACACCAGTTCAATGCACAGTCAGATATACAGTGCAGGCAAAATACGAAACCAAAGATACAGAGTAATTACTTTTCCATTATCCCAATGTACTTTTTCTGTGAGCAAATGAATTCCTAACCACAGCTTGTATACCGGTGTCTTAACGTCAGGTAAAGGATCCAGGGGCAGGTTCCAAATTGAAGCTATATTTTGCTTTAGTTCACCTCCATTAACACTTAGGTCCAAGTGTCGTCTCTAGTCGGTTGCTGTAAACTGAACTGAAGTGCCTCCACTACAAGGAGATGAGGAAAAGCATGGAAGGAGGAGCCATGTGGTGGGAAGGTGCACGGAGGCCCGGTGGCAGATTTCAGCTGAGATTTTTCAAAAGCCTACACACTTTCTAACAGTGGAACCACTTGCCTTAGAAAGTGCCCGCCCCCAATTGCATTTGAAGGTTCAAGCAGAGGCTGGATGATGCCTAACATGGTTATTGCAGCAGGACTTCTTACATTTACTTTTTTTTTTTTTTTTTTTGGAGACAGTGTCTTGCTCTGCCCAGGCTAGAGTGCAGTGACACGGTCATAGCTCACTGCAGACTCAAGCACCTGGGCTCAAGTGATCCTACTGCCTGAGCCGCCCAAGTGGCTAGGACCGTAGGCATGTGCCACCATGCCTGGCTAATTTTGTTGTTGTTGAGACAGGGTCTCACTTGGTTGCCCAAGCTGGTCTTGAACTTAGTCCTCCTGCCTCAACATCTCAAAGTGTTGCGATTACAGGCTTGAGGCACCACGCCCAGCCTCTTACTTTAACTTTTAAATTTTTCCTGCTTTTATATAGAGCTTTTTAAAATTTGAGCCTCTCCAAGCCGGGCAAAGTGGCTCATGCCTATAATCCCAGCTGTTGAGAGGCTGAGACGGGGGAATCACTTGAGGCCAAAAGTTCAAGACCAGCCCGAGCAACATAGCAAGACCGTCTCTCCCTCCCTTTTGTCTCTTAAAACAAAAATGCCTCCCAGTAGCCTTGCAAAACAAGACCATTATCCATATGATACAGGTGAGGAAATTGGGTCTGGCTGAGTGACTTGTTCAGGATAATTTGACTCCACATCTTTTGACATCCAGGGCTCTTTCCATTTGTCACACCTGCTGCCTTCTGCTCCAGGAGAAGCAGATTGTGCCACTGCACTCCAGCCTGGGCAGAAGGAAGGGGACACCGGCCCTTTTGACTCTAGAGTGTCTGTGCCATGTGACAACACATGATGAAATGGAATAGGAATGGATCTAAAAATCATTGAGATTAGGATCTACAGATACATTTCTACGTGCTAATATGTCGGTTTTATAATGTACTTCTGTGGCTAACCACAGACCACTGGCAGGGAATGTATCTGTGGTTAGATAGCTAGAGTGTTTGTTCACTCCCTATCAGGAGGGCAGTAAATCAAGAAGGCAGGTTGAAGCACAGCTTCAAATGCTGCCACGTGGCTGTGGAAGACTGTGGAATAAGCAGCAGCCAGCCAGCCTGGTGTGTGAGATGAGGGATCCGATCGGTTGCTCGTGTTGGAACAAAGGCATTTTGCAGCCCTCCAGGTGGTTGCAGATGATTGCAAGGGGAAGCTCTGATGTCCTACCAGAGGGCAGGTTGCATGTATCTTCAATATAGTTAGGAGTCCTTAGTATCCTAGGACATATGTTTTTTTTTAGTTCCACCTTTTGAGACCATAGCTCCATCGTTAATGGTGTTTTTGAATACCAAATGCAGGCACTATATATGAGAATACATGTGCATGTGGCTGTGTGTGTATGTGTGTGAGAGAGAGAGGGGAAACCCTGGTAACTGATGAATAATCATTTAACAACACTCAGCTGTTTGAATAACAATAGTAATAATTCTTTGTATTTGTAAGCTCCATTCACAGATATGATTTGAATGGTAATATAACTAGGGTTAAAAATCATTATTGTTCTCACCAGTGCTCTGAGGAAGTTGAGCCCCCAGCTGGAGGATGAGGGCAGGGAAATAAAGATCTTGTACTGCACCTTCTCTGTCTTCCTTTGATTTATCTTTTTCATATTCATTTATATTATTTCTCCACACCCCCTCCATCTCTCTCATTTTCTTTCTTAGCCCCTCTTGTAGGTGATACCTCTTGGACTGGGACTTGCAGAGCCAGTGATTGTGCCAAGAAATGCCGTTTCTTTTTTCTTTATTATCCCCATGCCCCACATGAAAGGCCATTGAACTTAAACTTGCCTGCAGGGGGTGGCAGTAGAGGAAGCCCACTTGGAGGGGCTTTGCCAGCCAAAGCCACACTCCTCCTTTCTTCAGTTGCGTTTCTTATTTCCATTTCTTTGGTTCCCGCTCAGGCTGCTGAAGCGTCTCTCCAGTCTTTTCCTATTTTAGCACGCCTTCTTTTTGGCCTGCTTTGCCCCACCAGACATGCTGTTGTCACCAGTCCAATCCATCTGTGTTTTCTGGATACACACTGGGTGTCAATGCTTTGACAAGTGTGGGTTCCAGCAAGCCTAAGCGCCGGGCCCTACAGAGCCATCTCCTCCGGGAAGAAGACCCAGCCCCCTGTGCCCTTCTGGTTTGAGATGCGTGATCCTGCCGTGCCCTCCGGTTCCAGGGTGGGGTGGGACGGCCAGCTTATGATGTGTAACTAGCTGCTTGTCGTCCAGACTCAGTTGCTTTTAATAAAATTGCCACTTAAGAGACCCTGCTGCTGGCAGAGTAGCTTCTTTTCTTCTGCTTGTGCTAGTTCCCGGCTCACAGCAGCATCTGCCCTGCACGTGGGTGGTGTCGGCCTTGCCCTGGCCGCACTGTGGCTGTGTCCCCACTTAGCCATCAGAACCAGGCATTTCCAGTGGAGTGCAGTGTTGCAGGAGGGTCACCAGGCTTAGTGTGATGAGGCCTGGATTACACTTCGGGTCTGGACGTCCTCTCTGAGCCTGAATTTCTGTGATCTATAAAATTGGATAAAGTATCAAATAATACCGATCCTAACAGTCTTGATCATTGTAGAAACAAATGAACCAATGTCTGGTTAGAGCCTGGACCGTGAAAGTGCTAGAACGTGTTCATTCTTCCTGCGTAGATTGAGTGTCTCCAGGGTGCCAAGCCCAGTTCTAGGCTCTGGGAAAGAGCAGTGAAGACAACAAACCAACAAAACAAGTCCTCACATTCTAGTGGGAGAGGGACAGTGGGCAAGCAAGCAGATAAGTGAACAAGAGAGTTCCCTGGAGGGTTGAGTATGGTGAAGAACTAAAACAGTGACTGAAGGGACAGAGTGTGTAGCCTGGCTGTCACTTGGTATCTCTCTACTTAAACTGGAGTCAGGCGCCATTTCCTCCAGGAAGCTTTCCCTGATTCTTCCAGGCTAAAGTAACCACAGCTGTGGTGCATTGTGTAGCTACTAGGCCCCAAGGACTTTCCCATGCATCATCTCTCTCTCTTTTTTTTAAGATGGAGTCTCGCTCTGTCGCCAGGCTGGAATGGAGTGCCGTGGCGCGATCTCGGTTCACTGCAACCTCTGCCTCCCGGATTGAAGGGATTCTCCTGCCTTAGCCTCCCTAGTAGCTGGGATTACAGGCACCCGCCACCATGCCCAGCTAATTTTTTGTATTTTTTTAGTAGAGATGGGGTTTCACTATGTTGGTCTGGCTGGTCTCAAACTCCTGACCTCAGGCGATCCACCCGCCTCAGCCTCCCAAAGTGCTGGGATTACAGGCGTGAGCCACCACGCCCGGCTCCATGCATCACCTCTAATCCTCATTCTCCTCTATGTGCTAAGCGTTATTCTCACCATGTTTCCTCTGTGTCTTATTTATTTATTTTTTAGATGCATCACGTTTTTATTAGGGAAATGTAAATCAAAATCACAATAATACAGCATGGATCCCTGCATACACATACTATGTACACACATATGTATGTCAGTAATTGGCCTCGGAAATGCAAATCAAAATCACAATAATACAGCATGGATCCCTGCATACACATACTGTGTACACACATATATATGTCAGTAATTGGCCTCAACACAGTAAGTAGCTTTTCAGGTCTTATCAGTGAAAATTTCTTTTTTTTTTCTTCTTGTAAAAATCGCTTTAGGGGTACAGTGCAGGTAGGTTTGTTACATGGACATATTGCATAATGGTGAGGTTTGGGCTTCTGGTGAACCTATCGCTGGAATGGTGAACACTGTACCCTGAACAGTGGACCCCATAGTGAGCACAATAGGCGATTTTCAATCCTCCCCCCTCCTACCCTCCACCCTTTTGGAGCCTCCAGTGTCTATTATTCCACTGTGTGTCCATGTGAACCACTGTTTAGCTCCCACTTATGAGTAAGGACGTGCAGTATAGAATTTTCTGTTTCTGAGTTACTGCACTTAGAATAGTGGATTCCAGTTCCATCCATGTTGCTAAAGAAGACATGATTTCATTCTTTTTTATGGCTGTGTAATATTCCAGGGTCATTTTTATTTTTTTGAGACAGGATCTTGTTCTGTCTCCCAGGCTGGAGTGCAGTGGCACAGTCTCAGCTCACTGCAACCTCTGCCTCCAGGGTTCAAGTGATACTCCCACCTCAGCCTGACAAGTAACTGGGACTACAGGTGTGTGCCACTATGCTCGGCTAGTTTTTGTATTGTTTTGTAGAGATGGGGGTCTTGCTATGTTGCCCAGGCCAGTCTTGAACTCCTGGGCTCAAATGATCCTCCCACCTTGGCCTCCCAAAGTGCTGGGATTACAAGTATGAGCCCTGTGCCTGGCCACCACATTTTGTTTATCCAGTCCTTCATTGATGGACACTTAGATTGATTCCATGACTTTGCTGTTGTGAATAGTGCTGTGATGAACATGTGGGTGCTGATGTCTGTTTGATACAATGATTTCACTTCCTTTGGATAGATACCCGGTAGTGGGATTGTGGGTGGAACGTACCTCAGAGAGATCAAGCTACTGCCCGAGATCACATACTATCAAGGGGCAGAACTGAGTGTCCTAACTCGAGACTCAGCCCTTTCTACCACATCTCCTTGTCTTCTCTGTCCCAGGCCTTATGTTCACCTCTCTTCAACCTCACCACAGTCTGGAAATTTATGTTTCTGTGTTTTTCCTGTCAGCCTCTGAACTCCTGAAGGGCTAGGAACTGTTATTGTCAGCACCTGGAGCCACACTAAGCGCTTACTAGGAGTTTATTGCAAGTTTACTGAGTTCATAACTAGCCCCAGCCCCTTGCCATGTATTTCCACTTAGATGCCACAGATTTCTCCTTCAGAGTGCTTGTAGACTGCAAAGGGAGCAGTCGAGGTGAATATGCTTGGAGAGGACATAAGGGAAGGTTTTTTCATGTAAACGAACTCATTTTAGATGTAAGGCATCACTTTTCAGTGAAGCAGGGACTTTTTACAAAGTCTTGCCTCTGAACTTTACAGTAAGCAAGCCGAGATCCATGCTTACCACTGCAAGAAAACTTTGGTGGGCCGTTGTACAACAGTAGGCAATTGTGTTGGCTTAATGTGAGTTCTTGTGAGGTTGACCTTTGTATGTTTTGAAAGTCTTTAGCATTTAAAGTCTGCTTCTGTGCATTGATTTTTTTTTTTTTTTTTTTTTTTTTGAGATGGAGTCTTGCTCCGTCACCCAGGCTGGAGTGCAGTGGCGTGATCTCGGCTCACTGCAACCTCCTCCTCCCAGGTTCAAGCAATTCTCCTGCCTCAGCCTCTCGAGTAACTGGGATTACAGGCATGTGCCACCACGCCCTGCTAATTTTTGTATTTTTAGTAGACACAGGGTTTTGCCATGTTGGCCAGGCTGGTTTCGAACACCTGACCTCATGTGATCCGCCTCCCTCAGCCTCCCACAGTGCTGGGATTACAGGCGTGAGCCACTGTGCCCAGCCCTATGCATTGATTTTGAGCAAGAAAGGGATAGGACTAAATTATGTGGATGCACTGTACAATTCCCAAGAAGGGTTAGAATTCTAGTCTTGCCAACTCACTCCTCCAAGGGCCCAAGTTTGATCACCGGAGGATTATTCCTTAAGCAGCACGCCACAGCCTTCTGCAGTTCCCCATGGGCCTGGTGAGAATGAGCCCCTGCCCCATTGTGAATGGACACTTCTTTGTTCATTGACTAACGCCACTGCTGTGTAACACCGTGGTAGGGTCCAATTTTAGTATCATCTTGCTTCTTGGGAAAAAAAAACAAAAAAAAACAAAAAAACACCTTAGGTCAGAAAAAGACGAGACTATTGAAGAATTCCATGCATGTTATAAATGTGATTAAGTCCACACTGCTGCCAAGGAGTGGAAACAAATCAGGCACAGAACTCATGGTAGGACTTCATCAGGACTGGAATATTCTACACAACAAAGGACTTCATCTTGACTAGGGACAGAGCAGGATGGAGCTCAGCACATGGAGAAGACTATTTGAGGCAGAGAGTGTCAGTAAACTCATCCATTAATTTTTTTCATTCATTCAGCGCCAGATTTTGTACACGTACTAAGTGCTGAATAAATACAGCAGTGCTGCAGGCAGTCCCAGGGAGCCAGTCACTGACTGTAAATACGCTGGGGGGTATTTACATGTAGAGGGGGATGACCACCTGAAGACATGGGGAGAAGACAGCCAGTGAGAGAGGCCTCAGAAGAAACTAACCCTGGGCCCTAATCCAGTCTGGCTAGTGTCCTTATAAGAAGAGGAGATTAGTCACAGACACGTAGAGGAGGATGACCACCTGAAGACACAGGGAGAAGATGGCCAGCGAGAGAGGCCTCAGAAGAAACTAGCGTAACTGGACCTTGCCGGTTTTGAGTATCGTGAGTACCCTGGCAGCATAGCTGGTATGAGTACTCGAAGTACCCCGGCAGAGTAGCGGCACCTAGTAGCCACAAGTAAGGTGCAAATACCCTTGCAGCGTATCCAGGCCCAGTAGGCACGAGTACTATAAATACCCTCTGTTATGGGCTTACTTGTGTTACCCCAAATTCATGTGTTGAATCTCTAACCCTAGTGCCTCAGAGCATGACTATACTTGGAAATAGAGTCTTTAAAGAGGTGATTAAGTTAAACGTGGCCGTTAGAGTGGGCCCTACTCCAGTCTGACTGGTGTCCTTATAAGAAGAGGAGATAAGACTTAGACACATAGAGGGGGCAACCACCTGAAAGGGAGAAGACGGCCAGCGAGAGAGGCCTCAGAAGAAACGAACCCTGCTGACCTTGATCTCAGGAAGCTAAACTTGATCTCAGATGTCCAGCCTCCAGGATTGTTTAAGCCCCCCAGTCTGTAGTACTTTGTTATGGCAGCCCTAGCAAGCTAACATGCCGCTGTAGAGTGTGCAGACCCGCAGGCATGGGTCCCGTGAGCACCCAGCAGGGTGTCTGGGTGCAGTAGATGCGATGGTTGGTGTATAATATGAACACTGTCTCTGCAGGATTCTTGCCTGTGAATGAAATGGAGGGAATTGAAGATTTCGGTGTGCTTGCAGTCTAGGTCTTGATCTCAGGTCATTTCATAGATGTTTGAGAGTTAGAGTTCTTTCTTGTTATGATTCTAGTCATGTATGTGTTACCCAACAATATTTCATTTTATATTAAAATTACAGATGCTTGTTAGCTCTTTTGTTTTGAATATTTCTGTTCGCTATTCTTATACAGCAGTCTTCCGTTATTCAGTTTTGCTTTCTGCAGTTTCAGTTACCCACAGTCAGCTGCAGTCTGAGGATATTAAATGGAAAATTTCAGAAATAAGCAATTTCTAAGTTTTAAATTGTATGCCATTCTGAGTGGCAGGATGAAACCTTGTGCCGTCTGCTTTCATCCCTTTGTCCCATGCACCCACACTGTAGACGCCCCTACCCATGAGTCACTTAATAGGAGTCTCCGTTATCAAATGACTATCATGGTATCACAGTTCTTGTATTCAAGGAACCCTTATTTTACCAGTAGTGGCCTCAAAGCTCAAGAGTAGTGATGCTGGCATATTGTTATAATTGTTCTATTTTATTATTAGTTATTTATTATTACTTAATCTCTTACAGTGTCTAATTTATGAATTAAACATCATCATAGGTCACCATAGGTATATATATACACTTGACCCTTGAACAATATAGGGGTTACGGGTGCTAATCCCCACACAGTTGAAAATCTACTTTTGATTCCCCAGAAGTTAACTACAAATAGCCTGCTGTTGACCAGAAGCCTTACCAGTAACATAAACAGTTGATAAACACATATTTTGTATGTTATATGTATTATATGCTGTATTCTTCAAATAAGCTGGAGAAAAGAAAATGTTATTAAGGAAATCATAAGGAAGAGAAAATGTATTTACTATTCTGTTAGTGGAAGCGGGTCATCATAACGGTCTTCATCCTCGTCGTCTTCACGTTGAGTAGGCTGAGGAGGAGGAGGAAGAGGAAAGCATTGGTCTTGCTGTCTCAGGAGTGACAAGCAGAAAAAAATCCACATAGAAGTGGATCCACGCAATTCAAACCAGTGTTGTTCAACTGTCTAGGAAAAAACACAGTGTATATAGGGTTCAGTGCTGTCCACAGTTCCAGGAATCCCCTGCGGGTCTTGGAATGTATCTCCTGTGGTTAATGGGGGGGCCACTGTACAGACTGGGCCCTTCTTTGGGCGCCCCTTTTTCTCTGTTTGACCAACTCCTTTTTATTCTTTAAAACCCAGCCACCAGTGTCACCTGGACCAAGAATCCTTTCCTGTGTCATCCAGGGCCCCTCTCAGTGCCTCTGGAGGAGGCTCTGCCTTTTTCTTTGCTGTTGCACTCTCATGAGTGACAGCATCTGTCCCTCACCCCACAAAGTCTCTGGCCCAGAAGGTTCTCTTCATTATTGCTTTTTGAGTGAACACTTGAATGAATATATCACTTTCTTGAAAGCCAGTCTTTCAAAATGGTTGAATTATTTTGTTATTTTTAAATTGTGGTAAAATATATGTAACAAAATTTGTGATTTTAACCATTTTAAATGTATAAATTCAGTGACATTAATTACATTCACAATATTGTGCAACCATCACCACTCTCTACTTCAAAAATTTTCATGACCCCAAACTGAAACTCAGTACTCAATGAAGCAGCACCTCCCCATCCCTCCCGCCTCCCAGCCCGTGGTAACCCACAGTCTGCTTTCTGTCTCTGAATTTGCCTACTCTGTGTATCTCACCTTACTCTGTAGTAGTGACTTAGATGAAATATAATATTTGTCTCATACAATACTAGTCTTTTTGTGACTGGTTTATTTCACTTAGCATAATGTTTTCAAGTTCCATCTGCTTACCAGAACTATATTCCTTTATGGCCAAATAATATTCGATTATATGGATAGGTCCCATTTTGCTTATCCGTTCATCCATCCATGGACATTTGGGTTGTTTCTACCTTCTGGCTATTGTGAATAATGCTGTTTTGAACATAGCTTTGAAATACCTGTTCAAGCCTCTGTTTTCAGTTCTATTGCGTGTCTACCTAGGAGTAGAATTGCCGGATCATATGGTGATCCTACGTTTAACTTTTTGAGGATCTGCCAAAACTGTTTTCCACAATGGCTGTACCATTTTACATTCCTACCAGCAGTGCAAGAGGGTTCTAATTTCTTCGCATTCTTGCCAATGCTTGTTATTTTCATTTTTTTTATGATAGCCATTCTAGTATGTGTGAAGGAGTAGCTCATTATGGCTTTAATTTGCGTTTCTGTAATGACTAGTGATGTTGAGTGTCTTTTCATGTGCTTATTGGCCATTTGTATATCTTCTTAGAGAAACATCTATTTAAGGTCTTTGCCCATTTTGAAATTGGGTTGTTTATCTTTTTGTTATTGAACAAAATGGTTGAAATTTAAAAGAAAAAAGGGTGCTACTTGAAAGGTGGACCCTTCCTAATACCTGGCTTTCCAGGAAGCTTATTCTCTGATGGTGCTAGATTGACAATGTTATTTTAATCATCGTTTCCTCTTCCCTCCTGCTTTCTTGGCTTTTTTTGCACTTTTTGGAGCATTCATGTTTTGCCTTTTTGTTTTTTTTGTTTTTTGAGACAGAGTCTAGCTCTTGTCACCCAGGCTGGAGTGCAGTGGTGCAATCTCGGCTCACTGCAACCTCCACCTCCCGGGTTCAAGCAATTCTCCTGCCTCAGCCTCCCAAGTAGCTGGGATTACAGGCACCCACCACCGCCCCCAGCTAAGTTTTGTATTTTTAGTAGAGACGGGGTTTCACCACGTTGGCCAGGCTGGTCTCGAACTCCTGACCTCAGGTGATCCGCCCGCCTCAGCCTCCTAAAGTGCTGGGATTACAGGTATGAGCCACTGCGCCCATTTTGGATTAAACTTCAAATAGTACTCAAAGAATCAGACTGCCGATAATGTAGGACAACTGTCCAGACCGGGCCCTTTGTCAGATGTCCCTTTTCTCTCTTTGACCAACTCCTTTTGATTCTTTAAAACTCAGCCACCAGTGTCACCTGGATCAAGAATACTGTCCTGTGTCATCTAAGGGCCCTCTCAGTGCCTCTCTAAATTCCAAATTTTCACTCTGGAAAATTCAACAACTCAAATGTATTTTCAAGTGTATTTTAAAAATTAGAGAACTAGATTGTCAATTCACGTTATGTGAATGCTCTTTAAAAAGTGGTAATGTTTTATAAACGTACTCTGAGCAGTGTTTTCCAGTATATTTTGGTGTGGGATTTGGAGCAGGGCTTTGAAGTGGAAAGGCAAATGTTTTCTTGGGTAGATCTGAATATTCCGCAAAATGATTCCATTGATCATCCGGTCGTAGTCTCACTCTCTGAACTATAATGAAAAGAGAGCCAGGGGAGAGTGCAGCTGCTCCAGGGACCCGGGACAGGTACCCTGGAAAGGCATGGGTAGAGGTTCCCCCCATCGTTGGGCCCACTGGCATCACTCCTGTTGCTCCCATCGGCAGCTGTGGGCCAGGGCCTCTCATCCTGTGTGGAATCTGGCATCAGGAATTTTCAGTGGGATTTTGAAAGCTATTCTAAGAGAGTAAAATGGTGGGAGGCATACACTTCTGTGCTGGCTGCTGAAATATGTGGTATACTGGCCTGGAATACAACTATTTTCTCTTTTTTTAAATGAACGAGTTCATTAAGAAAAAAAATCTGCTGCAACCTATAGATCCAAACACAGTTCAATACATCTTTTTTTTCTTTGTCCAAACTGAATATTTTCTTATTTTTAATATCCTGCCTCATTCCATGAAGGATTTATGATATCTTCCAGCAGTTGAGTAGGTTTGCTGAAATCATTAACAAATATACAATTTTTTTCTTTTCATTTTTTACTGAATGATGGGATTTTTTTTTTTTTTGCTGCTTCCTCCCCTTAACAAAAAAGCTTTCTTGAGGTATCAACCTATAATAATCTGAGCATATTTAAATGAACAATTTGATAAGTTTTGACATCTGTATATGTTCATGAGACCATAACCACAATCAAGATAATGAAGATGTTCATTGCCCCTAAAGTTTCTTTTGTGCCCCTTTGTCAGCCCTCCCTGCCCCCCTCCACTCCAACTACTGACCTGTCACTATTGATTAGTTTGCATTTTGTGTAATCTTATGTAACTGGAACCATGCAGAATGTACTCTATTTTCTGGCTGCTTTCACCCAGCACAATTTTGATATTCATCCGTGCTGTTGCTTGTATCAATGTTAATATGTTTTTATCGCTGGGCGCCATTGTATGGACCTACCACAGTTTATTTATCCATTTACTTGTTGATGGACATTTGGGCTGTTTCCCAAATGTCCCAGTAGTTTTTGGCTATTACAAATAAAGCTGCTTTTAACATTTGTGTCCATGTCTTTGTATGGATGGAGGCTTTCATTTCTCTTGGGGAAATACTTGGGCATGGAATGGCCGGACTCAATAGTGGGTGTGTGTTTAGCTGTCTGCCAAAGTGGTTGTACCACCTGACATCCCCACAGCCATGTCAGAGATGCAATTGCTGATTCACATGCTCACCAAAACTTGGTGTGGTCGGTCTTTTTATTTTCAGACCTTCTAACGGGCGTGAGGTGATAACTCATTTCGGTTTTAATTTGCATTTCCCTAATGACTAATGATGTTGAGCACCTTTTGATATGCTTATTTGCCATCTGTATATCTTCCTTGGCCAAGTCTCTGTTAGATCTTTTGCTTCGTTTTAAAATTGGGTTATTCACTTTCTTGTTGAGCTTTGAGAATGCTTCATATATTCTGGATACAAGTTCTTTATCAGATATGTGATTTGTAAATATTTTCTCTTGTTCTGTGGCTTATCTTTTCACTCTCCTAACAGTGTCTTTTGAAAAGCAGAAGTTCTTAAATCTAATTTACCATTTTTTTCTTTTTTAAAAAATAATTTCAACTTTTATTTTAGATTCAAGGGGTACATGTGTCGGTTCTTACATGGGTGTATTTCATGATGCTGAGGTTTGGGGTATGATTGATTCTGACACCCAGGTAGTGAGCATAGTACTCAATAAGTTTTGTTTTGTTTTTATGGATTGGGGTTTTGCTGTCATATCTACAAGATCTTTGCCTAACCAAGGTTATAAAGATTTCCTCCTCAGTTTTCTTCTACAAGTTTTATAGTTTTATTTCTTACTTTTAGGTTTATGATCCATTTTGAATTAATTTTTGCATATGGTGCAATGTATGGATTGAGGTTCTTTTGTGTGTGTGGGTATGGATATGCAATTGTTCCAGCCTAATTTGTTGAAAAGACTGTCTTTTCTCTACTGAATTGCCTTTGTACTTTTGTTAAAAATC
The DNA here is from genome assembly GCF_000001405.40 of Homo sapiens. Classification (NCBI taxonomy): domain Eukaryota; kingdom Metazoa; phylum Chordata; class Mammalia; order Primates; family Hominidae; genus Homo; species Homo sapiens. Next base: position 99,833,309 of record NC_000014.9, read on the forward strand.
AGTTGCCCATAAAGGTATCGGTCTGTTTCTTAACTCTCTATTCTATTCTGTTGATCTGTTTACACCATTACCATGTTGTCTTGATGACTGTCACTTAAGTTGGGCAGTGTAAGTCTTTCAGCTTTGCTCTTTTTCAAAGTTGTGGCTAGTCTAGGTTCTTCACATTTCCATGTGCATTTTGGGATCTGCTATTGAGTTTCTACAAAAATCCTGCTGGGATTTTTATTGATTGCATTGAATCTATACATTAAATTTTTCTGTAGGGAAAATTGTTAGCTTAACAGTAATGAACAGCAATGAGTCTTCCAACCCACAGACACGGTATATCTCTCTGTTTATTTAGGTCTTCTTTGCTTTCTCTCAGCAGTGTTTTCTGAGAGTAAAAGCAGTGTTACTTTTTGGTGTGCAGATGTTGAACATCTTTTGCCATATTTATCCCTAAGCATTTCATATTTTTGATAATGTAAATAGTCCCAATTGTTTGGTGCAAGTATATAGAAATACAATTGATTTTTATGTCTTGATCTTCTATCCTGAAACCTTGATAAACTTACTTATTAGTTCCAGTAACTTCTTTGTGTATTCCTTCGATTTTCTAGTTGGACAGCCATGTCATTTGTGAACAAAGGCAGTTTTACTTATTCCTTTCTAATCTAGAGAGCTTATATTTCTTTTTATTTTTCACTGACTAAAACCTCCAAGATAATATTGAAATGTGTGATATTTGTTGTAGGTGTTCTATAGACACCCTTCATCAGATTGAGGAAGTCCTTTTCTCTTCCTAGTTCACTGAGTGTTTATCAGAAATGGATGTTGGATTTTGTCAAATGCTTTTTCTGCATTTATTGACCTGATTACCTCATTTTTCTTTTTTAGTCTGTAAATACGGATTACATTGATATTTGAATGTTAAACCATTCCTAGAATAAACCTATTAATAGGTCATGATGTATTCTTTTTTATATAAGACTTTCATTTCCTAAAATTTTAAGAATGTTTCCTTTTTTTTTTTGAGACAAAGTCTTGCTCTATCACCCAGGCTGGAGTGCAGTGGTGCAGTCTCGGCTCACTGCAAGCTCCGCCTCCCAGTTCAAGCAATTCTTCTGTCTCAGCCTCCTGAGTAGCTGGGACTACAGGTGCACGCCACCATGCCCAGGTGATTTCTGTATTTTAAGTAGAGATGGGATTTCACCATATTGGTTAGGCTGGTCTCAAACACCTGACCTCAGGTTATGCACCCGTGGCCTCCCAAAGTGCTGGGATTACAAGTGTGAGGTACTGTGCCCGGCCTGCATTTATTTTCATGAGGGATATTGGTCTGTAGTTTTCTTTTGTAATGTGTTTGTCTGATTTTGATATTAGAGTAATGCTGGCCTAATAGATGAGTTGAGAAATATTTCTTCCTTATCAGTTATCTGAAATAGTTTGTGTGAATTAACATTATTTTTTCCTGAAATATTTGGTAGAATTCACCAGTGAGGTTATCAGTGATTTGTGGAAAGATTTTGTTTTTGTTTTTGTTTTGTTTTGAGAAAGGGTGTGACTCTGTCGCCTAGGCTGGAGTGCAGTGGAGTGATCTTGGCTCACTGCAACCTCTATCTCCCGGCTTCAAGCAATCCTCCCACCTCAGCCTCCCTAGTAGCTGGGACTAGAGGTGTGCACCACCATACCCAGCTAATTTTTGTATTTTTTTTGTAGAGATGGGGTTTTCATTTGTTACCCAGGCAAGTCTCAAACTCCTGAGCTCAAGCAATCCACCTGCCTCAGCCTCCCAAAGTGCTGGGATTACAGGCGTGAGCCACCGTGCCCAGACTGTGGAAAGGTTTTTAACTACAAATTCTATTCTTTAATAGGACTCTTTAGATCTATTTCTTCTTGCATGAGCTTTGTTACTTTTTTTTCTTTCAAGAATGTGTATATTTTATCTAAGTTACTGAATTTATTGGCATAAAGTTTTTAAAAATATTTCTTTATCCTTTTGATATCTATCGATCTGTAGTAATGTCAATTCTCTTATTTCTGATATTGATATTTTATGTCCTTTCTCTTTTTTTCCTTGATCAATTTGGCTATAGGTTTGCAAATTTTATTTTCTCAGTGAACTAGCTTTTCATTCCATTGATTTTCTCCAGTGTTTTTCCTGTTTCATTGATTTTTGCTCTAATGTATATTGCTTCGTTTTTTTCTGCATACTTTGGGTTCCTGAAGGTTTGGTTTTCTTAAGTGGATGCTGAGATCATTCCTTCCCCATCCCCTACTTCCTTCTCCTTTCTTCGTTTCTAATGTCGATGTTGGGTGACATAAATTTCTTTCTAAGCGACAGCTCACAAATTTTGATATGCTGTGTTTTTATGTTCATTCAGTTAGAAATACTTTCTAATTTTCCTTTCTGTCTAATTTGAGTTAGTATTTGTGAAAGTTTTGTGTCTAGATGCATTATTTTGCATGTGGACATTCAATATTTCCAACACCATTTGCTGAAAATACTCTTCTTTCTCTGTTTAATTGCCTTTGCTCCTTTGTCAAAGACTAGTTGACTGTATTTGTGTGGGTCTATTTCTGGACTCTCTGTTCCATTGATCTATGTGTCTGTTCTTTCACCAATTACATGACGTCTTAATTACTATAGCTTTATAAGTCTTAAAGTCAGGTAGTGTCAGTTCTCCAGCTTTTTACTCTTCTTCAGTTTTGTGTTGGCTATTCTGGGTCTTTTGCCTTTGCATATAAACTTTAAATTCACTTTGTTGATATTTACAAAATAGCTTGCTGGAATTATGATTGGGAATGCATTGAATCTGTAGATCAAATTGAGAAGAATTGGCATCATAACAGTAATGAGTTTTCTAATCCGTGAACATGGAATATATCTCCGTTTCTTTAGAACTTCTTTAATTTCTTTTATTATGTTTTAGTTTTCTGCATTTAAATCCTGTAAATATTTTGGTAGATGTATATGCACCTATTTCATTTCTGGTACTATTATAAATGCCATTGTGTTTTAAATTTCAAATTCCAATTGTTCATTGCTGGTTCGTAGGAAAGTAGTTGACTTTTTTGTGTTAACCTTGTATCATGTAACAGTGTTACGAGAGGGTTTTTTTGGTCAATTCTTTGGGATTTTCTACATAGACATTTATATCATCTGCAAATAGACAGTTTTGTTTCTTCCTTCCCAGTCTGTATACCTTTTACTTCCTTTTCTTGACTTTTTGCACTAGCTAGGACTTGCAGTATGATGTTGAATGTATATAGTATAGTCATAATAACTATTTAATTGTTCTTGTCTACTAATCCTATTGTCTGTGTTATTTCTGGGTTAGTTTTGCTTGGTTGATTCTTTTATTTATTTTGGGTCATATTTTTGTGCATCTTTGAATGTCCAGTTGTTTTTTCGTGGAGGTCAGACGTTGTGAATTTTGCCTCGTTGGGTGCTGGATATTTTTGAATTCCTATAAATATTTCGAGCTTTGTACTGGGGGTAGTTACTTGGAGACATTTTGATCCTTTTGGGTCTTGCTCTTAAGTTTGTTAGGGGGACCAGAGTAGGATTTAGTCTTGGGCAACATCCTCTGAGTCCTCTCCTTCCATGAGGCTGTGGATTATGAGGTTTTCCACTCTGCCTGATGGTGTCAGGGTATCAAGAACTATTCCCAGCTCTAGGTGAGCTCTGGTAATTGTTCTAATTTTTTTTTTTTTTTGGATGATTTTTTTTTCAGTCTTGGGTAATTTCCTCACATGTAAATGCTGATAAGTACTCACCAGAAGACTTGAGGGCAGGGTGTGGGAGGGTAATCTTTCCAGATCTCTGAAGTTTTTTCTCTTGGCAATGCTCTCTTCCCCATTACCCTCTCTGCGAACCCCAATCGTCTTGGCTGCCCTGGACTTACAGCCGTGTGTCTCAGCAACTTAGGGAGACTCAGGCTTTACCTGGGTTCCCTCCCTGTCTCACATCCTGGAAACTCTCCAGACTATCTGCTGGGCTAGTCCTAGGGTTCACCTCTTTTGTTTACCATCTTTCATTGATCACTCTTCCTCATTGTCTGGTGTCCAGGTGTTTGAAAGCTGATGTTTAATATATTTTGTCTGTTCTTTTAGCTGTTTAAGGTAGGAAGGTAATCTAATCACTGTTACTCCATCTTGGCTGGAAGCAGAAGTTGATGGCACTTTTTAAAAAGTAGCTACAGAATGTCAAAAAGGATTAAAAATTTTTTTACAGTAACAACGAATGTGGATGGGAGGTTAGAACTCAAACTTTCCTTTAGATTCTAACCTTAAACCGTTGTAGCTCCACCTTTTGATAGGAACCTAAAAGACAAGTTCTACCATAAAAACCTAGGTATTTTAGTATCTTCCATAGCCGAACATATCTATTGTTTTGTCCTGAAACAGTACCACCAGCCTGTTTTAGAAAGTTTTTTCTTGGAAAACTAGGTTTCTGGCTTTGGCCCCATTGGTGATTTTAAACCATTTGAACTGTGCTTTTCTTTTTGTTTTGTTGTTTTATTGTTTTTGAGAGAGGCTTACTCTGTCCCCCAGGCTGGAGAGCAGTGGTGCAATCACAGCTCACTGCAGCCTCAACCTTCCCAGCTCAAGCAATCCTCCTGCCTCAGCCTACCAAGTAGCTGGGACTACAGGCATGAACCATCATGCCTGGCTAATTTTTTAAATCTTTTGTAGAGACGGGGTCTCACTATGTTGCCCTGGCTGGTCTTGAACTCCTGGGCTCAACCACTCCCCCCACCTCAACCTTCCAAAGTGCTGGGATTACAGGCATAAGCCACCATGCCCGGCTACACTGTGCTTTTCTAAATTTTTATCTCAATTATTAAAGGACAGGCTCTTATGCAGGGGAATATTGTCTGAAACTAATCAAATTATTAAGTCAGGAAGACAACTAAATTTTTGGATGATGTAACCATATAGTACTTTAAATAGAAAAAAATTGTACTAATAGAAGTTAGTAGAAAAAATTTAGATAATAATAGCTTTTATTTTATTCTTTTTGCTGAAAGACTTTGAAACCATGGTGTAAAATAAAAAATCATTAAAGCTACCTTTTTAGATACTTTTTGTTAAGTCAGTTTATAAAGTGAGGATGTCTATCTGGAATGTGTGACAGATGTAACAAGTGAAAGTTGCAATAGTCTCCATGTAAAATAAAATTTGGACTGACAGTTTTAGATCTTTTTCAAGTTTTACTCTAATGCTCATTATTTTGTCTTCTCTTCCCTTCTCCATCTGCATAATTTTAATCTTTCCTTTCATGGTTAAGATTTGGCAACCTCGTGTGCCTTGCCAGGATCATTGTTAAAAAGCTGTAGTTTTTTTTTTTCTTTCTCCCGTCCAAGCTGTCCCAGAGCCTGGTGAGCCACCCTTGCCCTTGGTGTGGTGTAGCTACTGCGCCTCATAGCAAAAGGCCAGGTTTTAAAGCATAGTGCTTCACACGTTATCAGGAATTTATTTTCTGCTCAGCTGCAGGATCTCTTGTTTGCTTTAAAACTGTAAAGTGGAGTGGGGGAAAGCTATCAACAATCTTCAAGTGCCCAGGTCTTTTAGTTTCTGACAGAAACAAGAGCATTTCTGCAAAGGTTGGGGAGTGCGCGCGCGCGCGTGTGTGTGTGTGCGCGCGCGCGTGCATGTTTGTAGTATTTAGTAAACATTCCAAAGATTTCAAAGTCTCCAGGGCTCCACAGGATGTCTTTGTTGACTTCATAACTGTGGTTAGGCAAAATGAAATGAGAGTCCAGGATAGGTCAAGATAAGGTAATTAGCAAATTCCCTTAAATACTCAACTAGAGAATTTCAATGGCCAGTCTTTTTACAGATGATTGTTCTTATTTTTCCTCTTTTGTTTTCAATTACAATTCATTAATTGAAACGTAGTAACGGGCCTGAAGTTGTGTTCTGTACTCACCTGTGTTTTGATCTTTATCTGTCTAGTCCTCATATTACTTTCTGGCAAGCTTGTGATTCTGGCATATAACAGTTGGGGCAGGGTGGGGGCTATTGATTTGATCCCTCATCTGTGTTCCTACATTTCTGTTATGGTTATTTGTTGGCCAGTCTCTTCTTGCTAGACTGAGTGCCCTTGGATTGGGAAGATCGCATTGCCCGGCACTAGGTCTGCCCCAGAAGGATGCTCAATATCATTGTACAGAATTAAACTGAAAGTTTGTTTCCTTTAAACTCCATGTCATCCAAGGTAAACACAGTCACATGTTGCCTCTTAGGGTGATCTTGAGTATTTTTTCTCATCTCCATCACCACCATTATCCAACCTAAGGCTTGTAAAAGATCTTTATACCATTTCTTTCCAGATTCAAGAGGCTCTGCTGAAGTTCTTTTAATCAATATTCGATGACAAATTTTTATATCAGGCAAAGGTTGTTGTAGAGCTCTTTAAGATTCAATTATGTGAACATTAGTTCTTGAGCTTCATTTGAAACAGGTTTATTTTGAGGTGGGATCGATTCTTGTCATTTTCTATGAAGTGATGAACGTCAGAGCCGGAGCTCTTGTGGCAGGTCCAGCTTGGAGGTGAGCAGGACACAGGGTTCCTAACTGACCCAGATGATCCAAGGAGAACTGGGAGTCTGAGAACAGAAATAAAGCTGGAGCCCAGCCAGGAGTGGTACGCAGGGCTGCGAATCTGACAGCAAGGCCGAAATCCAGGCCCGCAAGTGGCAGAGCAATGACAGTTAATTGCTTCTCTGTACTGATTGCTTGTATGTTTCTTTTGCTATTGGATACTAATAGGATGACTCCGAATATGACAATAGAGTATAACTATTCCGTGAACAACGTATAATATGGAAAGTCTGCTTTATGTGAAATGTTTATCTGCAAATTATTGAGCAAAGGGTTATTATTTGTTACTGCTTAAATGATTGGTTTTAAACTACTAAATCTGGTAAGTTTTTTTTCTAAATAGCATTTGTGTAATATTTTGGAAAAGGCAAAATGATGTAAAAATTCTATGTGTATTTTACTTAGTACCACAGAAATCTCACTGGAATTAATACCTGTCATTTGGATGGAGAACTCATATGGTGAAAAGAGCCTAGGCTCACAGCTCACCCTCGGCTGGCCACATTCTAGCCGTGCAACCTTAGGCAAGGTGGACCAGAAACTCAGGTTCTCCTACTTCATCTGTGGCATGAGGGTGGCACCTCTGTGGGAGGGCGCTGTGTGGCGTGGGGACACTGGGCATGGGGACACTGCACCACAAAGCTTAGGCCCTGACATACAGCGGCTGGTGAATCAAGGGTGGCTATTATTGTTTTGGTGCTATCATTATCTTAAATAATTAAAGAAAATAAGAACATCTCACGATAAAGGGAACAGATTCTAAGTTAACCTTTTAAAATTACTAGGCCACTTTAACCTCCGGGAATAGCACTCAGATAACAATGTCTTAGTATTACTGGAAGATTTACAGAGTCAAGAGCCTGCTCTTATCCCTGGATACTGAGATAATCACATGAATGGAGAAAAAAGCATGCTTCTCTCACCTTTTAATAGAGTGAAACACATCATGTTACCGGAAACCCTTTTGTTCTGTTTTTTACAGTAAGAGAAAAAGTAATTAAACTTCAAAGTCAGATCTGTAAATAGCTACATGAGGACCTATGGTAAAAGCAGAGCTACAAGGTCTTCTTTTTGCTTCTGAAACTGCGGGTGATGTAGGGGCTGCCCAGACCCATGGCATCCCTTGAAACTCAGAAAGAAGCCAGTGCTTGGCTGGGTTCTCATGAGAGTCAAGTTGGAGCTGGAGGCTATGAGAGGTAACACTTGGCCTGTCCTTTTGCCACTGGTCGTGTGCTGCCAAGTGGGAGGGCTCGTGTGGCATCAAACCATGCCTTATCTTAAGGCTAACATCACATTTCCTCAACTTGGCCAGAGGTGCTGCAGAGAGAGACCTGCACAGTATTTGCAGAATTTGTTCAATAATTATTGTTAATCGTTGATTTCACTGAAGATCAATGTTTGCTTTTTGCTCTTATAAACAAAACAGGAATATTCATAACAATGGATTCTAGTAAGGCTCAAGTACCATTTGTGTTGAGTGTCTGTATGCCGTCATAGTATTAGAAGTTTCATACACGCTAACATTCATCTTCACAGGAACGTCAGAAGGCAGGTGGTATTAGGTCACATAGCTAATAGGGGACAGATTAGGAATTGGCTACTGCTCAGTTTGAATCCCAAATCAGTGCTCTCTCTCTTGTGCCTCTAAAGCCCCAGGACCCAGACAGGGCAGTATAGGTAACCCTTAGCAGACTACTCTCAACAGTGTTTGGCCCTTGACAAAATGCCACAAAGTTGGAACGTGTAGCCCTGAGAAGGGTTGTTGGCAGAGGCTGCAGAGTGGCTTTCAGAGTGGTTGGCCAGCTAAGACATCTGCATCAATGCCTCGCACCACTGGGTGTTCAGTTTTCCCTCTGATTAAATCTTGTCTACCCTGTGCCCATAGAGTCAGCATGTGCTGCGAGATCACAACGTGGGAGATCGTTCCCCAATACTGAGATAGAGACACCGCCCCATAGACGCAGTTACACACTGCCATGTGTAAACAGATCAGGAAAGGAGCAGGTGCCCAGCCCAACCGGAGCTCCAGTTCACACAAAAGTTTTAGAAAACCCAAGAGGTAAAAGTTTAGAGAATATTGTCTTCTTCAAACCTCCCTCTAACACTGTAAAGTGATAATAGACAAGAATGTAAAAACTTGGGGGAAAAAAAGCTAAAGCTCAATTATTGACACTGTTTTAATGACCTCCACAGATAGATTTGAGAGGTATAGGAGCAAAAATGACTTTAAAATAAATAAGTTGTTAAAGTTTTATTGGTGCTGCATTCCCAACCTGAGGTTTTCTTTGATGAAATTCAGATGAAGTTTCACATCTTGTGCTGTGGAATCCTATGAAATGCTTAGAGATTCAAATGGTTTGTGTTGGTTAAAGCAAGCTTTAGGCTTTGTTCTTCATTATGCTAATCAGTTTTTCCCCCAGCTTAATTGAAGTGTAAAGTCATTTGAACAACACTGGTCTTTTCTGTACACAAGAAGGTTAAGAACCTCAGACAGCTCATGCTGCTGCCAAGAAGTCTCCCAGTCGTATTCTTCAGATTAATTACCTGCAGAAACAGAAGTAAGAAAATCCATTACAGGTTAAAGCAATGATTTTGGCAGGATCTGAAAAGCACTAGGATTATGTCATGGGGAAAACTTCAGCAAATCTCACAAATGGGGGCTCTCCTAAGCAGATCTGACATTTCAGTTTTTAACCATTTGTATTTGAAGGCAAATATTGAGGTGGTGGGGGTTTTTATTAAAATATTAAAATCAAACTTTTTCCTATATAAATTCAGCAATATAATTTAAATATTCTGATTTGTGCAGTTTTATTAAAGCCACTGAGACCACAGTGATGCTAAAGTTTTTGAATGCAGGGAGCAGGCCAGTCTTGCCTTACTCTGTATGTTGTTTTATAATATTGATTTGAAAATGCAAGGTTATACTACAGAGACCAACTTTTTCCTCCTCAATCCTGTGCTGGCAGCCACAATAAATGTGCTTGAGTCCCAGCAGTGAGCGTGTGTGCCTTCTCTAGAAGCTGCTGTCTGCACGAACAACCCAAAAATGTCATAGAAATGCACAGTTCTAGGCTGGGTGTGGTGGCTCATGCCTGTGTAATCCCAGCACTTTGAGACGCTGAGGCAGGATAATCGCTTGAGGCTAGGAGTTCAAGACCAGCCTGTGCAACATAATGAGACCCCATCTCTATAAAAAGTTTAAAAATTACCTAGATGTGGTGGTGTGCATCTGTACTTCCAACTACTCGGGAGGCTGAGATAGGAGGATTGTTTGAGCCCAGGTCAAGGCTCCAGTGAGCTGTAATCGCACCACTGCACTCCAGCCTGGGCAACAGAGTGAGACACTATTGCTAAAGAAAAAAAATAAATGCATGAGTCTATGCTACAGATTCTTTCATGATTTAAAAAGCAAATATTATTAATTATGCACTAATTTCTAATTATTCAGTGCTAATTTGCATAACCGTTGAGACAGCACATAGGAATTTTGTTAAACTTGGATTTGTTTTGGTAATTTTTATTGGAAACAACAATAGTAACAATAACTTAATTACAGCTTATATTTATTTATACATGCACTATATGCAAAAAGTATTCTAAGTACTCTAAATGTGTCAACTCATTTAATATTATAACAACCCTATGAAATACTCTTGTTGCACCTGTTTTATACATAGAGGCAGATAGAGATTAAGTAGTTTGTCCTAGGTCATGTAGCTAGTAAGTGGCAGAGCTGGGATTTGAACCCAGGTAGCTTGACTCCATAGTCCGTGCTCTTAAAGACTGAAGTCTATGCCTCTTCTGCCAGTGCTGTCAACACTGACTTAGCTCTAGAATGTCTTCTCCTACCTTAGTAGAACTCTCCCTGCCTTCCGCCTGAGGCCAGAGACCTTCCCAGGTAGGTGTGTGTTGACCCAGCGTCCTACACAATGGTTGTTACACCAACCTGACTCTGCCTTCTTTTATTCACACATTAGAAGATTTCACTGAACTGTTTAATTACTCCTCAGAGGGAAGACAGATATAAAATACCTTCTTATCTTCCCCACTTCTCTCTCCCAGTGGCATGACATTTTGAAGTGAGATTTTCTTTCCCTCCTATCCAAAGTCAAAGGAGAAATGGAGAAATTCCACAGAACTACTGTCCATTCACAAGAAGTTACATAGCACTTAAGGACAGTCTCTTTCCCTTGAGCAATAAGTACTTAGTTTTCATTGAAATATTTCTCTGCTGAGCTCTCATAGTATAATAGCAACCAATCCCAACAAGCAAAAATAACTTGTAAATTTGCAAAACCAGGCCAGGCGCAGTGGCTCACACCTGTAATCCCAGCACTTTGGGAGGCCGAGGCGGGCGGATCACAAGGTCAGGGGTTCAAGACCAACCTGGCCCACATAGCGAAACCCCGTCTCTACTGAAAATACAAAAATTAGCCGAGCATGGTGGTGTGTGCCTGTAGTCCCAGCTACTGGGGAGGCTGAGGCAAGAGAATCACCTGAATCTGGGAGGTGGAGGTTGCAGTGAGCTGAGATCATACCACCGCACTCCAGCTTGGGCAACAGAGTGAGACTTTGTCAAAAAAAAAAAAAAAAAATTGGCAAAACCAATGAGTGGACCTTATCTTACTTAAATGCTCATAAAATTACTTTATTTTATATGTTAACATTCAATAAAAACTGTCATTTTTGAGATAATTCTATGTGTTTTAACAAAGTATGGTTTAATGTAACAACCACCACTAAGGATATAGAACATTCCAATTACCTTCAAAATTCCCTTGTGCAGTGTCCCCAACCCAGCATTTGGCAACCACTGATCCATTCTCCTTCATTACAGTTTTGTCTTTGGAGAATGTCATATAAATGGAATAGTACAGGATGTAACCTTTTGAGATGGGCTTTCTTCATTCAGTATAATGCCTTTGAGACCCATGCAAGTTGTTTTGTGTATCAGTCATTCATCCCATTTTATTACTGAGTATATTCCATTGTATGAGTGCACCACAGTTTATCCATTCACCAGTTGAAGGGCCTTTGAGTTGTTTCCAGTTTCTATCAAGTCTGAACAGAGCCACCAGAAACATTGGCGTATCGGTTTTTGTATGAATATTGTTCATTTTTCTAGAGCAAATACTTAAGAATTGCTAGGTCATATTGGAAATATGTGTTTATAAGAAAATGGTAAACTGTTTTCCAGGGTGGTCGTGTCATTTTGTGTGCCCACCAGCAGTGGGGGAGAGTGTGTTTCATTTGCTCCATATTCTCACTGCACTTGCTTTTGTCAGCATTTTTACTTTTAACCATCCTAATAGATGTGTAATAATATCTCATTGTAGTTTTAATTTGCATTTCCATAATGACTAATGATGTTGAACATCTTTTCCTGTGCCTGCTTGTTACCTGAATAACCTCTTTGGTGGTCTATTTAAGTCTTTTGCCCATTTTTCCCCTTGCCTATTTTTAAAATTGGATTGTTTTCTCACTGTTGAGTTTGTAAAGTTCTTTATATTTCTCATTCAATAGAGAGAAACAGAAAAAAGAGGACGTGCACACATCCCCATCAGTACTCCTAATAAACAGTATGGATTCTACATTGGGAGCATAAAGAATGGTATATTTAGTTCTAGGAGAGGAGGAGCATGAGAAAAGGATATTTGCAAGTTGTTCTTGCTTTATAGTTTTACTTCTTTAAAGAGATATGCTTAAGACATAGTTTTAAAAAGACTTACACAATATTTTTTTTGTAAGAGCTTAGCGGCTCTCTTGGTTAATAGATATGTTATTCTCTCTCAGAAGTGCCATAGACACACTTGAAAATTATTTCTATGTGTGAAACAATTATCTGTTACTTAGAAAATTGACAGAGCCTGGCTGGGCGCTGAGGCTCACGCCTGTAATCCCAGCACTTTGGGAAGCCGAGGTGGTTGGATCACCTGAGGTCAGGAGTTCAAGACCAGCCTGGCCAATGTGGTGAAACCCCATCCTACTAAAAATACAAAAATTAGCCGGCGTTGGTGGCAGGTGCCTGTAATCCCAGCTACTCAGGAGGCTGAGGCAGGAGAATTGCTTGAACCCAGGAGGCGGCGGTTGCAGTGAGCTGAGATCACGCCACTGCACTCCAGCCTGGGCAATAGAGCAAGACTCTGTCTCAAAAAAAAAAAAAAAAGAAAAGAAAAAGAAAAAAGAAAATTGACAGAGCCTGAATTTAAGGGCAAGACAGAATTATTTATCCAGGAAGCAGAAGTTACAAGGTGGCAGATTTCAATGTCAGAGGCCACTTATTATTATCTAAATATTCCATATGTTTTCATGTTTCTGCGTTTTTGTTTAAATTGCTTGTTTCCTTTGCTTGGAATGCCATTCTTATTTTTCCAGCTGGTGATTTTTTTTTTTTTTTTTTTGAGACAGAGTCTTGCTCTGTCACCCAGGCTGGAGTGCAGTGGCGCAATCTCGGCTTACTGCAACCTTCACCTCCCAGGTTCAAGCGATTCTCCTGCCTCAGCCTCCCGAGTAGCTGGGACTACAGGTGTGTACCACCATGCCCAGCTAATTTTTGTATTTTTAGTAGAGATGGGGTTTTGCCATGTTGGCCAGACTGGTCTCAAACTCCTGACCTCAGGTGATCCACCCACCTTGGCATCCCAAAGTGCTGAGATTACAGGCATGAGCCACCACCCCCAGCCCTGGTGAATATTTTTATTCTTCAAGGCCAACCCCTGCTTGATCCCATTTTTCCAAATACAGCTAATATTTTCTTTGTTCACTTATCACTTTATATGTTTATATAACTTATCAAATTATTTTAGAAATTTGTAGGCAGGTGTCTTCTCCACTAGGCAGAGAGCTTCTTAAGGATAGCTGTGTGAGTGAATCATCTTTTATCCCTAACAACTAATTTAATGCATGCTTCAAAAGAGATACTCATTTACCCATTTATTCATTAATTTACCAAATATTTATTGAGTTCTCACTGTATGTTAGGTTGAGGGGCAGAGTAGTGAACCAACAGAAAAGATTCCTGCTTTATGGAGCTTACATTTTGTTGACCTTTTCAGATAACCAGATTCTCCTTTTCTAAAACAGTGGTTTTAAAGCTATTAGTTTTCCTCAAAGCCCTGCTTTAGCTGCATCCCATGTATTTTGCTATGTTGTATTTTCATTATCATTTGATTATTCTAATTTCTCCTGATATCTTCTTTGATCCAATGATTATTTAGAAATGTATTGCTTCATTTCCAAATATTTGTAGTTGATTTCTAACAATATCATTGTGGTCAGAGAACATACTCTTCCCATCTTTAAATTTATTTCAATCTGTTTAATGACCCAGAATATGATGTGTCCTGAAAATGTACCGTATGCACTGCTATTGTTAGCTACCGTTTTCTCTACGTATCAGTTAAGTCAACACGGTTTATAGTGTTGTTCAAATATTCTATGTCTGTACTGGTTTTTTGTTTGTTTGTTTTAAGATAGAATTTCATTCTGTTTTCGAGGCTGGAGTGCAGTGGCGTGATCATAGTTCACTGTAGACCTGATCTCCTGGGCTCCATGATTCTCCCACCTAAGCCTCCCAAGTAGCTAGGACTACAGGCATATGCCACCATGCCTGGCTAATTTTTAAATTTTTTATAGAGATGAGATCTTGCTATACCACCCAAGCTTTTATTTATTTTTTTATTAGTTGTTCTATCAGTTGCTGAGAGAGGGACATTAAAATCTTCAGGAAAAATTATAGAATTGTCTGTTTCTAACTTTAATTCTGTCAGTTTTGCTTCATGTATTTTAAAGCTCTATTAGGCACATATGATTGCAGTGTTTTTCTGATAATTGACCCTTTTTTCATTATGAAATGGCCCTTTTTATTTCTGGTAATACATTTTGACATCTATTTTATCTGATATTAATATTGCCATCCAGCCTTTTTATACTTATTATTTCCATGGTATATATTTTTTCCATTCATATACTTTCAATCTATCTGTGTCTTTGTATTTAAAGTGTATCTCTTGTAGACAGCATATAGTTGGGTTTTGCTTTTTTAAAAAAAAAATTATTCTGCCATCCTCTGCCTTTTAATTGGTGTGTTTAATGAAATTATTGCTTTAATGTAACATGTAATAGAATTATTGCTATATTGGGTTTGAGTTTAGCATTTTATTTTTTGTTTTTTACTTGTCTTTTTTGTACCTCTGTTACTCTTTTCTTTCCTTCTTTTGAATTATTTGAATATAGAATTTCATTTTAAATTTTCTGTTGGCTTTTTAGCTACACTCCTTTGCATTATTCTTTAGTCATTTATGAGGGATCACAATATACATCTGTGACTTTTCCACTACAGTTAATACTAACCCCTTACAGTTAATAATAACTGCTTACATGAGATCTATTGTACAACATTGTGACTAACATATGTATAATTAATAACATGTATGTATCCTTGAGAACCACTAAGAGAGTAGATTTTAAGTGTTCTTACCACAAAAATAAGTATGTGAGGTAATGCATGTGTGTGTTAGCTCAATTTAGCCATTCCACAATGTATATATATATATTTTAAAACATGTTGTATACAATATATACAATTTTTGCCAATTAAAATAAATGAAAGCCACTTATAATTAATGACATATACTTCATATAAAATACTGAAATCTTGCAACTTGTAGATCCATATTTACCCCATCTTTTATGTTATGGTACTTGTATTTATTACATAAAAATACATTATAAATCCTGTAAGACAATATTTTAATTTCTGTCTTTAAAAGTTTGAAGGTTCAAGGCTGGGCACAGTGGCTAACACCTGTAATCCCAGCACTTTGGGAGGGTGAAGCAGGATCACTTGAGGCCATGGATTCAAGACCAGCCTGGGCAACACAGTGAGACCCTGCCTCTATAAAAAATTTAAAAATTAGCCAAGCGTGGTGGGGTGCGCCTGTAGTCCCAGATCCTCAGAAGGCTGAGGTGGGAGGATCACTTGAGCCTAGGGAGTGAAGGCTGCAGTGAGCTGTGATCACACCACTGTACTGCAGCCTGGGCAACGGAGTAAGACCCTGTCAAAAAAAAAAAAAATAATAAAACTTAAGGTTTCATAATAACATAAAAGGAAAAAGGAAAAAAATGAGTCTTTGAACTGATGCAGGTATTTATCATTTCCAGTGCTCTTCATTTTTTTCTGAGGGTCTGAGTTTGATCTTATATAATTTTTCTTTAGCCTGAAGAACTTTCATTAGCATTTCTTGCAGTGCAGGTCTTTTGATGATTAATTCTTTCTGGTTTTGTTACTCTGAAAATGTCTTTATTTTGCTTGCTTTCTTGGAAGATATTTTGCTGGATGTAAAATTCTGAATTTAGTTTTTTCTCACGTGGTACTTTAAAGATGTAGTTCCGCTCTCTTCTGGTCTCCTTAGTTCATGATAAGTCAGCTGTTAATCAGACTGCAGGTCTTTTGTATTTAATATGTCATTTTTCTCTTGCTGCTTTTGGTATTTGTTCTTTATCTTTGGTTTTCAACAGTTTGACTATAATGTACCTTGAGGTGGGCTGTTTTGCATTTATTTTGCTTAGTCTTTGATTAGTATCTCATAATTGTGTGTGTGTATTTGTGTGTGTGTGTGTGTGTGTGTGTATATATATTTATTTATTTATTTATTTGTTTATTTTGAGACAGAGTATTGCTCTGTTGCCCAGGCTGGAGTGCAGTGGTGCAATCTTGGCTCACTGCAACTTCTGCCTCCTGGGTTCAAGTGATGCTCCCACCTGAGCCTCCCAAGTAGCTGGGACTATAGACGCGCACCACCACACCCAGCTAATTTTTGAATTTTTAGTAGAGATGGGGTTTCACCCTATTGGCCAGGCTGGTCTCGAACACCTGACCTTAGGTGATCCGTTTGCCTTGGCCTCCCAGAGTGATGGGATTACAGACATGAGCCACGGCACCTGGCCTGTAATTGTGTATTTGTGTTCATTAAATTTGTGCTATTTCAGCCATTTATTTGTTTGTTTTGTTTTTGCGCCACTGCGCTCCAGCCTGGGCGACCCTGTCACCCGGGGTCTTGCTCTGTCACCCAGGCTGGAGTGCAGTGGTGCAATCTCAGCTCACTGCAGCCTTGACCTCTCGGGCCCCAAGAAACTGCCCCACCTCAGCCTCCTGAGTAGCTGGTACTACAGGCACATACCACCACACCTGGCTAATTTTTTTTTTTTTTTGGTATTTTGTAGAGGCAGAGTTTTGTCATGTTGCCTAGGCTGATATCAAACTCCTGCGCTCAAGCAGTCTGCCTACCTCAGCCTCCCAAAGTGTTCTCTGTGTTCTCTGGTTGGAGCACAGTAAGTGAAGGGAAGAATGATGTACAATGAGATTGGAGAGGCGAAGAAGATCACGGAGAGGTTTATAGACCCTGATAAGGAGTTGGAAATTATGATTCTGAGTAAGAAAATATGATTACCATAATTGTAAGGGTAGCTTGCCAAACTCATATTGCTTTATCCTTCAGAGTCTTGACCGATGGATAGGGTGGCCTTGTGATTGTATGACCTACCTGTCAGTTAACATAATTGGAACAGAAGCTAGAAGACCATGCAGACTGGGTTTCTGCAGTGTGTGGGAAGTTGAAGTGGACGTATTCTAACATCCCTTCCACTGCTAAGGTTCTCCGGTATCGCTGAAAACAAGTTGGCCTCCATGTAGAAAAGTATAATGTCAATTAAAACCACAGTTTATAATGAAGAGTGCAAATGTAGAGAATGAAAAGACCATTGTAGAATGAAGAGTTGTAGTTACACACAGCTAAAGATTTCATGTGATTTCTGCTTAAGAGCAGTATCTGTAGTCCGTAAGTGTTACTATGTTAAAACAATGGGCTTAAAACAGCATGCTAGATAGAGTATGTTTATAGATCTGATTTCCGGGGAACACTTAAAGCTCACTTGATCCTTTCTTTGGTTTAGATGACAGCGCTTCTGCTGCAAGTAGCATGGAGGTGACAGACCGCATTGCTTCACTGGAGCAGAGAGTCCAGATGCAAGAAGACGACATCCAGCTGCTCAAATCAGCTCTAGCTGATGTGGTTCGGCGGCTGAACATTACTGAGGAACAGCAGGCCGTGCTTAACAGGAAAGGACCTACCAAAGGTGGGCGTTTGAGTGACACAGGAACTTCAGTAGAATTGGTCTCGTGGCAGAATCTTGCTCTAGCAAACACATTGTGCTCTTTAATATTGACAGAGAATCGAAACTTAGAATAACAATAAAACAGTCTTAGCACTGTCAACATAATCACACGACGTATGATAGTATTTTGGGGCTTGATGTTGGTGAATTGTACAGCCCAGTGATGTACATTTGTAGGTGATCATTAAATGCTTGTTGAGTCAAGGAAGGAACAATCCAAATGGACCACTGAGAACAGTTCTTTTTTTTTTGAGACAGAGTCTCGCTCTGTCGCCCAGGCTAGAGTGCAGTGGCGCGATCTGGGCTCACTGCCAGCTCTGCCTCCTGGGTTCACGCCATTCTCCTGCCTCAGCCCCACGAGTAGCTGGGACTACAGGCGCCCGCCACCACGCCCGGCTTATTTTTTGTATTTTTAGTGGAGACAGAGTTTCACCGTGTTAGCCAGGATGGTCTCGATCTCCTGACCTCGTGATCCGCCCGCCTCGGCCTCCCAAAGTGCTGGGATTACAGGCGTGAGCCACTGCGCCCGGCCGAGAACAGTTCTTTATCAGGATTCTCTGGGATGGAGAGAGCTTGCAGAAAGAACCATGATCCTTTGGGCCACTTTTGGAGGTTGTTCTACCTAGCTTTTTTTTGAAAACTGTTATCTCTTTATATGCACTTAGCTTATACTGTCATTCAGTTCAGCATAGCAACACTCGATCATATGCCACATTCAAAGCTCTGAGCCAAGCACTGGGGGTGCAGAGGTGGCGGGCCTCCCTCTGAGGAGCTCAGAGTCCTATGTTATCATTAGCTCTTCCCCTCTTCTAGCTGCAAAGCAAGCCACTCTCATGCAAAGCCCAGTGTTCCTTTTGAATCTCCTCTGCTGTCCACAAGGACATCACCTGCTACAGAGCTCTGTCCCTGGTAGATTTCTAGCAAATTTAAGTCATCATTTCATGTCCCTGTGGCTCTTGGGAATGAGATATTAAAAAGCAATATTTGTATTAAATAATGTTGTCATTATCTTCTTAGAAGATAATGGAATTAGACAATTAGACAATGTTGGAAATAAAACGCCTCCTAACAATTTCTGTCCAGCTAGCTGGCGCCCTCATGTCTACATGAACTTGCAAATGGCTCGTCTTTAGCCAGAATCACTCTTCCTCGTGACTAACTGTAGAAAAGAGAATTCGTCTTGGCTGTAAGATGCCTTTGGCTAAAACGTTTTTTGAGATTACAACATTTAGATGTTCCTTTAAAAATACCTTTCATTGGCTGGGCACAGTGGCACACGCCTGTAATCCCAGCACTTTGGAAGGCTGAGGCGGTCAGATCACCTGAGCCCAGGAGTTCAAGACCCATCTAGGCAACATAGTGAGACCTCATCCCTACAAAAAATTTAAAAATTAGCTGGATGTGGTAGCAAGTGCCCGTGGTCCCAGCTACTCAGGAGGCTGAGGTAGGAGGATTGCTTGAGCCTAGGAGGCCAAGGCTGCAGAGAGCACCACTGCACTCCAGCCGGGTGACAGAGCAAGACCCCATCTCAAAACAAAAACAAACAAAAGGAATACCTTTCATTGTTATTTCAATTTAACAAATTATTTCACAGTTAATGTGTATTTTCCTTAGAGTTGGGAGGGAGGACTGTCTAAGGTTGCGTCTTTGAGTTTTTTTTTCTCAAGTACTTGGCTGCATTTCCACACATCTGTGGGAAGAAATCAATTTCTTTGTCATCCCAGATGTTATCACCAGCTTCGTGTGAGATGGCTGGCTACACCTGTTGGGCTGATGTCTGCATTTTGAATAATCATTTTAAGTAATCTTTTTTCCTCCTGAGTTACAAAGTGATTCAGGTATTTTAAATAGAAACCGCATTATTTTAAGTATTCTTGACCTACCAGCTTTCCAAAAATAAATCTGATGACTGCTGTGTCTGAAAGGGTACATTTGAAGGAGCTGTTTTATATAAATCTTCAGACCTCTAAAACTTCCTTATTTTTAGAAAACTACAGGAAGAAAATAACAGGGTGTGCCCAAGAGTTTTGTTTTCTTGATTAAGAATGATTTGAATTTCATAACTGCACAGAAAAATAAATGTTTTCATAGTCATCTGATATTTCTTTATAAACATTCTTTTTCTAACTGTAAGCAAATCAAAGCTTAGTTGCCAGAAGGTCACACCAAGAAGTAAAAAAAAGATTCACAAGAAAGCAGGTGAATGGGCTGCATCCCCTGAGTGGAGGGACCTTGGGCTCTCTACTTTCTGTGCAGCTAATTAGAGCACAGTGGAAACAGGGGCAGGAGGGGCGTGCCCGTGGGAGGGGCATGCCCACGGGAGGGGTGTGCCCGTGGGAGGGGTGTGCCTGCAGCAGCTGCCCTGGCTGTGCTCATCTTTGAGGCAGCTGCCACGTGGGCACTTGGGAACTGGTGCCCACACCTCTGTCTGTCTTTAGAGCTGGCTCTCTGTGGTCATGGTTGGGGTGGGGAGTCTTTTAGGCAAGATGGATTTTAGGCAAATCTCCTTTGGTTTTAAGTGGCCACACAATTATCACTTCATAATATTTTGGCCTGCCATGCTCATATAGACTTGAAGTAGCCTGGACACATGACATTCTTATTTTTATTTCTGAGACAGATTCTTGCTGTGTCACCCAAGCTGGAGTGCAGTGGCGTGATCTTGGTTCTCTGCAACCTCCGCCTCCCGGGTTCAAGCGATTCTCCAGCCTCAGCTTCCCGAGTTGCTGGGACTACAGGCACACGCCACCACACCTGCTAATTTTTTTGTATTTTTAGTAGAGACGGGGTTTCACCATGTTGGCCAGGCCGGTTTTGAACTCCTGACCTTAGGTGATCCGCCTGCCTCGGCCTCCCAAAGTGCTGGGATTACAGGCATGAGCCACCGCATCTGACCTGCATTCTTATTTTTAAATATCAAATGATTTTTTCCCCCACAGTTAGTTTTTTAATGCTTAGGTCTCACTCAGTATGTTGAGGTTTGGGTGTACAGCTTTTGCTGTCTGCCCAATGCTGGGCGTGGCTGTGCCACCAAGAAGCAGGCAGGTACTCACTGGGGGTCCTGCTCAAAGCCAGTGCGGGAAGAGCGCGTGTCTTTCTGCTGCCGTAGCCGCTAGCTAGTTTTTAGACTGCAGTCAACACTCACTGGCCTCAGCAGTACCTGTGGAGCCATAGATAATCATTCTGATTCCTTTCCACAATAATACTCCACTTATTTGAAGAATGTTATCATGACCTCTAAGCTTTGGCTGACTATCATTCTTCATATGCCTTGACTAGTATAACGATGAGAACTGCAGGTTCATGGAAATAATTCACTGACAGCTAAGGTCAAGGCTTCCTGAAATGGGATGAGATTGTGGCCCACTGTAATGTGCTGGGCCTGTGGATAGGTATTCTGTAGAGAGGGAGCTGTCACTTGTTCCCCTGTCCCTGCGGTTGGCCTGCTTGCACCAGTTACCCAGGTCTTCTTTCCCTTGAGGATACTGCTCTGGGTCTTAGGATTTCCTCAGTCTCTGTGAGCTCCCCAGACTCTGCTTTCTCCTTTTCCTTTGATATTTTTTAAAATAGGAAGAACCGGCTACCATATCACACACCTTCACTGTGGTGAACCTCAGCCCATAAAGCTGGCTTGGTTCATGTTGGATTTACTCTTGGATAGAATGACTTGGAATGTTTCCACTTTGCTGAGCTTGGATTACCATGTAGTGGAGAAAAGAGAATCAAATCGTTCACGAAGGGCTGTATTAAAATTCTTGCTAATACGGAAGTGTTTCAGAGTTGTGGTTGGAGTGGGGCAATACTCTGGTAGCAGAATACAGTGAACAGACCCCTTAGATATTGCTGTTGTGACCGTAAATACAGACAAATGATGGATGAGTAAGGGAATTCATTGCAGCACTGTGCGCAACGGAGAAAAACTGGATAGGAAACAATAAGGGAGCAGCAAGCAGTAGGGGCATGGCCAGGAGATGATGGTGCCTCCATATGATTAAATGCTGTGTGGTCTTTAAAAATGTTTGTGTTACTGGTACAAGAGGGAAAATGCTTACGCATTACATTGAGTCAAATGCAGGCTATAAAACTGTATATACTGTATCATTTCAACTAAATAGACAAAATTTATGCAAAGAAGACTGGAATGAAGTACTGTATAGCAAAAGTAATTCACGGGTTTTTTCCTGAGTAATAGGATTATGAATTTTTAAATACTTTTAGTTAGTTTCTAAATGTTCTGTGGTGTGTATTTCTTAATAAGCAGAAGAAATTTGTGTTCTAAAAAATCACTTCTTTCTTTGCATTGAATCTGAGGTCAACAGCAGGGCTCATGGCAAATGTCAGGAGGCCAGGGGTTTACTCACATGTGTTTTCAAGAAGACAGGGAGTAGTTTGGAGTTCAATCAATCCATTGTATACACACACAGCTGATTTTCATTTTAGTGCAGGGATTTTTAAAATGTAAAATGTAGATGAAAATATAGTCATTGTGCCATGTATCTGGGATTGTCTATTTTGTTATGCATTAACCAGTGAGTAGCTCATATTTCCCATTTGAAATTTTGCTTGTTTGTTCAGACTAGTTAGGCAGCTTCCCTTTTAAAGTACTTTAATATGAAATACTTTAATATGCCTTTGCAACTTTTACAATCAGTTATACCAACTAGTGGATCTATGAATTAGAATATCAAAGAATTATAATAATTATTGGCTTCATTAATTAATGGATCAGAGAATTACTAAATATAACCAGAAGGCTTCTGTTGGGGAGGTTAATAAGCAAGTCAGTCCTGTCATTCCAAGACATCAAAACCCTCTAGCCTCAGTACATAGCCTCTGCAACCACTGTCAAAAGCCAACTACAGATTTTTAGCTGTGAGAAGCCTGTGCTACACTGGCACTTAACACTGATATTCAGAATACTACTCATAGGTACCATGTATTGATTGACTAAGGGCTGGACTTTGCAGCAGACATTTTGGATGTATTCACTCATTTCACCCCTCCACGTTTCTGTGAGGCAACTATCATTGTGCCCATTTTATAGATGAGAATGAAACCTCTGGGAGGTTTAGTGATTTGCCCAGGCTACACAAGGGCTAAATCTGGGACTGGACCCCAGGGCCCGGCTGGCATGTTCTTTCTGCCATCTGCATTGCCTCACTGTGCATGCCTCTAGCAGTATTCCATAAGTTAGCATTATTCACATTAAACCAAATATTTAAAACATGAATATAATTTGAAAATCTTTTTTCAAGGTTTAATTTGATTTGCAAAGTGTGCCAAATACACTAGATCATATTCAGCACATCATTGTGTGAAATACTATGTTACGGTCTCTTCACAAGTTTTATTAGGTAGGTGCAACTGACAAATTAAAATTTTTAAGCTCTTGGCAGTCAATGACATTAATGAATAATTAACTTAGTTCTTTATCCTGGTTAACCAAAATTAAGGAGCAAGTGGCTTTTGCTTTTTCTCTTGTCTACTGCACCTTCTCCTTACAAATTGGCAAATTACAGAAAAAAATCTTTTCTCTTTTGCTCTTTTAGATAGAACATACTATAGTTTCTTTTGTTTCTCTCATTAGCTGCCCTCTCCAGTTTAGATAGATATTCTGTAGTGATTTATAGAAAAGGGTTTAGTAGATGTTTGTAGTTTTTCAGAGATTAAAAAAGACGTTTCAAATTTTGTATTATGAAAATGTTCTCAAATGTGTACAAAAGTAGAAAGAAGAGTACCTTTTACCTGCCATTCTCATTTATCAATATGTGGTCAGTTTTCATTATGACCCTCTCCCACTACCCCTCACCCCATATTGGATTATTTTAAAGCAAATCTAAGACGCTATATCATTTTATCTGTAAATATGTCAGTATGTATTTCTAAGATATAGACTCTTTTTTAAAGTCCATAATGGCTGGGCATGGTGGCTCATGCCTGTAATCCCAGCACTTTGGGAGGCTGAGGCAGGTGGATCACTTGAGCCCACGAGTTAGAGACTGGCCTGGGCAACATGGTGAAACCCCACCTCTACAAAAAATACCGAAATTAGCCTTGTGTGATGGCGTGAACCTGTAGCCCCAGCTATGCTGGTGGCCAAGGCAGGAGGATCACTTGAGCCCAGGAGGTCGAGGCTGCAGTGAGCCGAGGTCACACACTGCACTTCAGCCTGGGCAACAGGGCAAGACTCTGTCTCAAAAAAAAAATAAATAAATAAAGCAAAAATAAAAATAAAGTCTATAATACCATTATTACACTTAAAAATTAATAATTTCTTAATATCATTTAATAGCAAGTCAGCATTCAGATTTCCCTAATTGTCCAATGAATGACTTTTTAATAGCAGTTTTATTGAAATATAATTCACATACCATAAAACTGACCCTTTTAAAATGTACGATTCATTGATTATTAGTATAAGTTGTAAAACCATCACCACTATCTAATTTTAGAAAATTTGTATCACCCGGAAAGAAACTCCTCACCCATGAGCGGTCATTTCCAGTTGCTCCCTCCTCCCAGTCCCTGGCAACTGCTAGTCTACATCATGTCTCCATAGATTTGCCACCTTGGATGTTTTCTGGAAATGAATTCATACAATATGTGGTCTTTTGCCACTGTCTTCTCCCACTTAGCATACTTGTTTTCAGGGTTCACCCATGTTGGATCACACATCATTCCTTTTCATTGTCAAGTAATATTCCACTGGATGCAACATTTTGTTTATCCATTTATCAGGCAATGGGCATTTCAGTTGTTAATAAATTACTTTATGAAATCAGTTCATTAATGTCTTTTTCCCCATTTATATTTCTATTATATTGAATTTTTAATGTTACAGGATTCTTGCACTCCTAGACCCATGCCTAAGAATTCAAATGAAAACGCATGGTACAATGGACAGCCCCATCTACATGTACCTTTTGATAATTTCGAAACCTTTTTAAAGTGATGCAGTAAGAGACAGTGTTTTAACTCTGCTGCAGGGTTTCAGGTTTCTGGACAGTAGATACAAAGTAGCATGCTCTCTTGTTCTGAACCTTGCTCTTTTTACTTAGCAGTGTGGCCTACAAGGCATTCCTTTGCAGTGTCTAGAGCTCCTCCTCATTCCTTTTTTTTTTTTTTTTAGGCAGAGTTTTTGCTCTTGTTGCCCAGGCTGGAGTACAATGGTGCGATCTCAGCTCACCACAACCTCTGCCTCCCAGATTCAAGCGATTCTCCTGCCTCAGCCTCCCGAGTAGCTGGGATTACAGGCATGCACCTCCACGCCCAGCTAATTTTTGTATTTTTAGTAGAGACGGGTTTTCTCCATGTTGGTCAGGCTGGTCGTGAACTCCCAGCCTCAGGTGATTCACCCACCTCGGCCTCCCAAAGTGCTAGGATTACAGGCGTGAGCCACCGCACCCAGCCTCCTCATTCCTTTTACAGCTGCACAGTGCTCCCTTGCTAGGAGATGCCACAGTGTATTCAACCAGTCCCTGCAACAGGCTTTGGTTTTGCAAATTGTGCTGCAGTGATTGGCCGTATGCGTAGGGCATTTTGTATTTTTGCCAGTCTCTTTAGGACAGGTGCCTAGAAGTAGGGGTGCTGGGTCAGAGGATACGTGCACCTGTGATTTTGCTGGATGATGGTGATGGTGATGATAGGAATCTCCTCCAGCACTCAGCTAATCATCTACTTTGTCTTATAACTTAGCAAAAGCAGGTTGCCTTTTCCAGTTCTAAATACAGACATCTTTTAAATTTTGAAATGGATAATTAGGAATTCTAGCTTCATAGTGGTTAGATATGTTAAAAGTAAACTTTGGATTTCCTCATATAATCATATATGTAATCATGTTTTTAAGCCTAATGGGAGTTTTATATATCAAATAGTGCACATTGCATTATTGATGTGATGTAAGTTAAAAGCATTTCTTGATCATTAGATTATAACTTAATATCAAAAAAATGCATTAGTAGATTTGGCTAGCTTTACTAGAACTTCTAGATTTATTCATATCAACTGTAGTTTTGAAAATATATTATCATGGATAGTGCTTTTTGAAGTCTGGTTATTCTAATTCAACCATTTAGAATGATGAAAAAAATTTATTTCAGGCTTAATTATGAATGTGTTTGGACCTGAGATTTTTAATACCTTAGTTAGATTTTCAGTTACCAAACTATGGAGTCATATTGCAGGGAATCTAACTCAAGGTGGTTTAAATAGTATGAAATATAACAGGAAACTGCTGAGCATAAA
Organism: Homo sapiens; assembly: GCF_000001405.40. Taxonomy (NCBI): domain Eukaryota; kingdom Metazoa; phylum Chordata; class Mammalia; order Primates; family Hominidae; genus Homo; species Homo sapiens. The sequence continues at coordinate 99,859,319 of NC_000014.9, forward strand.
TACCGCACCTGTTACTGGAAACCAGTCTTCAGCTTGGTTGCCCTTCTCCCTTCACTTCCAGCGGGTTGGTAGGGTCTGTTCTCAGAGAGGCCAACTCATTGGGAAACTCAAATGTTGCTTTACAGAACACGCTTCTCACATGAATGAAAGACAACAGATTTCAGAGTGGGAAGATACCTTAAGGAACATTTTTGAGCAAAGGCTTTCCTTTATGGGTAAGGAAAATTGGACCCAGAGGACCTTGCCTGTGGACACCTGGCTAGGTGGGGACACAGCAGGGACTGGCGCCCCGGCCCCTGAATCCCAGGCCTGAGTTCCTTCCCCTCCTCTCCACTACCTCCCCCACTCTGCCTTGGTGTAAGCACAGGAAGTAAGTGGCTGGTTTTGGGGGAGAATGTGCCTAGGGTTCTACTCCAAATCTGTGTACAGGATATGCAGCCCATGGGTTCTCACTGGCTCTGATTCTGCCTCTGGTACCACTTGACCATAGCATTTTATTCTCTTCACATTATATTCACGATACAAAATTGCACCCATTGTCCACAACAGAGCATTTTATTGTCGGGATGTAGCCAGGGGATAATGGCTACCACTTCTAGGGTGTCTACTATGTGCCGGGCACTGTACTAGAAACTTCGCATTGCTCATTCCTAGTCCTCACAGCAGCCCTGCAAGGTGGGTGGGCACTCTGACCTTATTTTAGAAAGAATCCAAGGCGTGTGCTGTGTCTTCCAGCTCAGCTGAGGATGAGTCCAGTCCTGTCTGCCTTGAGGACCCTTGCCCTCCTTCACCTGGGCACCTCTTACCCCCAGAGACAGGATTCCAGCCATCCTGCAATCCTTCCACCGGATGCGTTCCAAACACAGCGTTTCTCAGGCTCCTTTCATCTGAGAAATTCTCCTTTTGGTGCTGTGTTTGTTGTCGTGTTTTGCCTCTAGGAAAAAGTTAATTTTTTTTTTAAAACAACCCTTTCATGAACCAAAAGAATCTCTCATATCTTAGTGTCATCTGGAAGCTAGGGATCCATTTACCTTAGCACATGACGAGCAGAAAATTGTGTTTGAAACTTCCCTGCTGCTATGTCACTTCTGCATTTTTAAAGAGCACTTATCTGAAAATGATTCATTACAGCTGCTCCTCTTTCCTGTCATCTTCAAGATCCAGGCTGGCACCTGTTCAGACTCAACACTAGGAGGTATTTTTCCTTCCACCAGGTTTTCTTACCGCAGCGAGCTTTCTTCCTTGAGTGGCTAATAATTTTTATACATGGTAATGTGAAAGAAACCTGGCGTGATGGCATGTGCAAAATAGGTACTTAGTAAGCGTGCTGGTGGTGGGGGTTACGATGCTATTTAATCAGTCAGTGGTTACAAAAACCCAAGGATGTTATCAAGACAGGGATGAGCAGCAATTGGATCTTGCCGAAGTTGGGATCTATCCAACTTCTCAGTCATTCCAAGAGTAGTCAGTGTGTGTCCCCCTCCCCCTTCCCATCCCTCTCCTCTTCCTCCTCTTCCCACCCTCTATTTTTCTTTCATGATCTCTCATCACAACTTTAATATTCTACTTGCTTCTGATGCTACTCTATGATATTTTAAGATATAAAATATACACTCTGGGAATGCCTCCTGCATTGCATCTGATTTTCTTTTCATGGGCTTTTAAAATCCTATTTTCTATTTCTTCTTTTGAGAAAAGGACAACAATAGATTATTATGAGATTGAATTTTGAAATTATCACTCAAGAAAGAATGAACAACTTAGTAGTAACTCCAAAATGGCAACATAATGTCTGCTCTTAGAAGCAAGGCTTTCGTTACTGAAATTAAACCAAGTTACATTTCCAGTGTATGTTCACTCCCTTCTGTGTGTAGGCCTGGGAGCAGGTACTAGCTTCAAGGATCCTGCAGTCAGTGGAGTAGACAGACTATTGGATTTAGCGTTCCAAGTGTGATGACGGTGGCCAGGGCAAGGCGCTGTGGGAGCATGGAGGAGGCCCCACTTTCTTTTACATTAAAGAGAGAAGGAAGATTGGCCCTCAGCTTTAGGGACTGGAAAGTTCCAGCAAGTTAAAAATTTGGCATAATACACAGTTTTGTTGTTGGTAATATTTTAAGAGCCTAAATGGAGGCAGATTTAATTCTATGATGAACAAAATCTGCTAGCTTTTTTGTTTGATTGGAGATGGAGTATCACTCTGTTGCCCAGGCTGGAGTGCAGTGACAGGATCTCAGCTCACTGCAACCTCTGCCTCCCGGGTTCAAGCAATTCTCCTGCCTCAGCATCCTTAGTAGCTGGGATGACAGGCGCATGTCACCACGCCTGGCTAATTTTTCTGTTTTTAGTAGAGACGAGGTTTCACCATGTTGGCCAGGCTGGTCTCAAACTCCTGTCCTCAGGTTATCCACCTGCCTCAGCCTCCCAAAGTGCTGAGATTACAGGAGTGAGCCACCATGCCTGGCCTCTGCTAGCATTTTTAAATGAACTTTTTATTTTAGGATAGTTTTAGATTTCTAGAAAAGTTGTAAGCACAGAAGGTTCCCATAGACCCAGTACCCAGTTTCCCCTGTTATTACCGTCTTACATTAGTATGGTACATTTGTCACAACTAATGGATCAATATTAATACATTATTATTAATTAATGACCATGCTCTATTGGGATTTCCTTAGTTTGTCCCTTAAGCCCTTTTGGTTCCAGGTTCCCATGCAGGATAACACATTATCTTTAGTTACCCTGGCTCCTCAGCCTCCTCCAGGCTGACAGTCTTCCTTGTTTTTGATGATCTTGACAGTTTTGAGGAATACCTGTTAGAGGGTTCATTGACTATCCTTCACCTTGGCTTCGCCTGATGTTTTTCTCATGGATAGACTCAGCTTATGGGCTTTAGGGAGGAAGGCACAGAGGTAAAGTGCCATTCTCATCTTATCAGCACATCCCGTCCAAGGGTGCATGCTATCAACATGGCTCATCACTGTGGTTGTTGACCTTGGCCATCTGGCTGAGGGGGTGTTGGTCAGGTCTCTCCACTGGAAAGTAACTTCTCCCCCAACTTCGTCATGTGGCTGTTAGAAGGAAGTCAGTATGTGCCAGCTACATTTAAGGAGTGGCAGATTATATTTTACCTTCTTGAGGGTGGGGTAGCCACATAAATTATTCAGAATACAGCTGTATGGGGATTTGTCCGTTCTCTTCATTTATGTATTTACCCAATCATTTATTTATATATACTGTAGCATAAACTTACAGATACTCGTTGTGTACTTTGGGTTATAATCGAATACTATGTTATTTGTTTTGTGGCTCAAATTGTTCCAGCTTTGGCCTTTGGGAGCTCTTTCAGTTAGGTTTTGTGTCCGTTTGACTTGCCCCCACCAAAATAGTGTCTTTTGGTTTTGTTGTTGTTGTCTGAGCACTTCTTTACTTTCTGGCACCACAGAAGACTCCAGATTCATGTGCTCCCTGCCCCAGCCGTACGTGCTGCTGCTTCCCCTGAAGGCATGCTTTCTTCTGCTGTAGAATGGCCTTGGAAACCAAGGTTTGGGCATTAGGTGTCATTGCTTTAGGCCCTGTCAGCAGACAGAGCTCAGAAACATGTGTTTATACTAACCTGTGTGTGTGGGTGTCTATGTATGTATTTATACTTACATGTCTGCATCTGTGTTAAGGGAAACCTGAGTCCACACTGATGTCTCTACTCTAGTGGCACATGGTTCATTCCCGCCATCTGCCCTTGCTTATCCATCACCTCCCTCTCCAACAGTGAGAGACCTGCCGCTGCCATCCTCCATCCTTTTATGTAATTGTTCCATCCTGATGTTCCTGTGTAGTGGTTTCAGAATTGTTAGCCTCCACCTTTGTGGGAAGCACCCTTACTAACTAGAATACAGTGCTGATGCGCAGTTCCTGTTATCTTTAGTTTTACAGTCTCTACTCATTTCCAAAATGACTTAGGTCAGCATCTTCCTGCCCCCCACTACCTTCAGTGAGGTTGTCATATGTTTGTCATACAATCTTCATTCCATCATGGGGTTTCCCTGTCTCCTAGATGGTTTTACTTGCATACTTCAAGGTTCACTCTTGGTGCTGTAAGGGTCTCTGGGCTTTGACAAGGCATCATGTCACATATGCCCCATGATGGTATCTTACAGAATAGTTTTATCACCCTAGAAGACTTCCTGTATGTCACCTATTCAGCCCCTGCCCTGCAACCTCTGACAGCCACAAATCGATTTTCTGTCTTTAGTTTACCTTTACTCAAATGTCATATAAATGCAATCATACAACATGGAGCCTCTCAGACTTGCTGCTTTCCCTTAGCAATGTGGATTTCAGATGTGGTTTGCTTCATTCCTTTTATCACCAACTCATATTCCATTGTATGGATGGGTCAGTTTGTTTATCTGTTCACCTATCAGAGGACATCTTGGTCGCTTCCCGTTTTTGACGATTGTAAATAAAGCAGCTCTAAATATTTACATGCGGGTTTGTGTAGACATAAGTTTTCAGATCAATTGGGTAAATACCTAGTGTCAGTACAATTACTGGATCATATGGTGAAACTATATTTAGCTTTATAAGAAACTGCCAGACTGTCTTCCACAGTGGCTGTACTATTTTTCATTCCCACCAGCAAGGAATGAGAGTTCCTGTTGATCGGCATCCCGGCCATCAATTGGTATTTTGTCTGTCTTTTTGGATTTCAGCCATTCTAATAGGTGTATAGAAGTATCGCATTATTGTTTTAATTTGCATTTCCCTAATGACAAATGACGTTGAGCATCTTTTCATATGCTTATTTGCCATCTGTATATGTCTTCTTTGGTGAAGTGTCTTTTCAGATCTTTTGCCCATTTTTTTAATTGGGCTGTTTGTTTTCTTACCATTGAATTTGAAGAGTTCCTTTTATGTTCCTTATACAAGTCTTTTATCAGATACGTGATGTGCAAATATTTTCTCCCAATCTATGCCTTGTATTTTAATCCTCTTAAGTTCTTTTGCAAATTTTTAAAAATGTTAATGAAGTCCAAACTATCAATTTTTTTCTTTCATGGATTGTGCTTTTGGTATTATATCTAAAAACTCATCACCAAACCACTTTCTTCTAGAAGTTTTATAGTTTTGCATTTTAAATTTAGGTTTATGGGCTGTTTTAATTTTTGTGTAGGGTGTGAGGTTAGTGTCTAGGTTGCCTTTGTTGAAAAGATGATCTTGGCTGGGCATGGTGGCTCTCACCTGTAATCCCAACACTGGGAGGCCGAGGCAGGCGGATCACCTGAGGTCAGGAGTTCGAGACCAGCCTGGCCAACATGGCGAAACCCCATCTCTACTAAATATACAAAAATTAGCTGGGCATGGTAGCCAGCACCTGTAATCCCAGCTACTCAGGAGGCTGAGGTAGGAGAATCGCTTGAACCCAGGAGACCGAGTTGGCTGAGATTGTGCCACTGCACTCCAGCCTGAGCAACAAGAGTGAAACTCTGTCTCAAAAAAAAAAAAAAAAAAAGAAAAGATGATCCTTTCTCCAAGGAATTGCCTTCATACCTTTGTCAGTGCTGCTGGTGTTTCAAAATTCATGTCCTTTTCCTTTCTACTTAGCTTATGTTCTGTAAAACAGTGGTCTCCAGCCTTTTTGGCACCAAGGAAATTGTGGAAGATGATTTTTCCACAGAAGTGGGGCGGGTGGTGGGGATGGTTTTGGGGCTATTCAAGCATGGTACATTTATTGTGTACCTTCTTTCTTATTATTTATTGTGTACCTTCTTTCTTACTATTACATTTTAATATATAATGAAATAATTATACAGCTCACCATAACGTAGAATCAGTGGCAGTCCTGAGCTTGTTTTCCTGCAACCAGATAGTCCCATCTAGGGTTGATGGGAGACAGCGACAGATCATCAGGCATTAGATTCTCATAAGGAATGCTCAACCTAGATCCCTCGCATGCACAGTTCACAAGAGTTTGCACTCCTATGAGAATCTAATCTGATCTGACAGGAGGCAGAGCTCAGGTGGTAACATGAGTGATGGGTAGCAACCGTAAATAGAGATGAAGAGTTGCTCACTCGCTCACTGCTCACCTCCTCCTGCTGTGTGGCCTCATCTTCCTAACAGGCAGTTGAGGACCCCTGCTGTAAAATGTTACCTTTGCAAAGGGGAACTTTCTGATATTATTTTCTGCTTGTCTTACAGCAAGACCACTGATGCAGACCCTGCCTTTAAGAACCACGGTCAACAATGGCACTGTGTTACCAAAGAAACCTACTGGCTCTCTACCATCCCCCTCCGGGGTCAGGAAAGAAACTGCTGTGCCAGCAACCAAAAGGTGAGCCAGAAGCAGGGCCTTAAATGAACTCTCAAAGCAGTTCTCTCTTAGATTCCAACATGAGTATTACTTTTTAAAATGACATTGTACAATTTCTTCTGTGAGTTAAAGCTTATAAAAGTCCAACATTTTATATGGTGCCATAACAAGAACTAGTTAAGTTTATTATTATTCTTGTTTTAGATTTACTTGTGTTGCCTTTGAAACCTCACTGGCTAAAACCACAGTGTGGTGTTTTGTATTTTTACTTAAAGTTCTCTTTTGAAAAAACAAATGTTAGTATAACCTGGGTAAAAATAAATAGCTGTTCCCAAGTCCATACTGGGAACATGGCAAAATTCAGATTGCCATAGCAACCTTAGATTTTTCTCTATGCAATTTGGATAAGCTCATACTTTCAAAATGTACCCAACAATGGAGTCTAAATATTGATGTTATCTGTCACAAAGAGCACAGTTTGCTCTTAACTTTGCTATTATTTTGTAATTATCATTTAAAGATTTTTATATTTTAGGGCCAGGTGCAGTGGCTTACACCTATAATCCCAGCACTTTGGGAGGCCAAGGTGGGCGGATCACTTGAGCTCAGGAGTGTGAGACCAGCCCACCTTAACCATTTTTAAGTGTAGAGTTCAGTAGTGCTGGCCGGGCTTGGTGGCTCATGCCTGTAATTCCAGCACTTTGGGAGGCCAAGGCGGGCAGATCATCTGTGGTCAGGAGTTCGAGACCAGCCTGACCAACAGGCGAAGCCCTATCTCTACTAAAAATACAAAAATTATCTGAGCGTGGTGGCACATGCCTGTGATCCCAGCTACTTGGGAGGCTGAGGCAGGAGAATCGCTTGAACCTGGAAGGCCAAGGTTGCAGTGAGTCAAGATTGCACCATTGCACCCCAGCCTGGGTGACAAGAGCAAAACTCCATCTCAAAAAAAAAAAAAAAAAAAAAAAAAAGAGTTCAGTAGTGTTAAGTATATTCACGCATCTATTGTTGTGCAACAGATCTCTAGAACTTTTTCATCAGGCAAAATAGAAACTCTAGACCCATTAAATAGTAACTCCCCTCTACTCTCCCCACTGCCCTTGGCAACCACCTCTCTACTTTTTGTTGCTATGATTCTGACTACATTAGGTATTTCCTAGGAGTGGGATCATCTAAGTAGTGCTTGTTCTTTTGTGACTGGCTTACTTTGTTTAGCATGATGTCCTCGACATGCATCCATATTGTAGCATGTGACTGATTTTAAGGCTGGATAATATTGCATTGTGTGTATATATCATATTTTGCTTTTTATCTTAATTTTAGGTTCAGGGGGTATGTGTGCAGGTTTGTTACAAGGGTATATTTGTGATACTGAGGTTTGGGCTTCTGTTGATCCTGTTACCCAGATAGTGAAGATAGTACCAAATAGGAAGTTTTTCAACCCTTACCCACCTCTCTCCCACCCTCCTTTTGGAGTCCCCAGTGTCTCTTATCCCCATCTTTATCATATTTTGTCTATACATTCATCCATCAGTGGCTATTCTGTACCATTTATCTGCACATCTGTCCTTATGGCCAATACCCTACCATCTTGATTACTATTGCTTTTTAGTATGTTTTAAAATCAGGAAATGGGAGGCCCCCAACTGTATTCTTCTTTTTCATGATTGTTTTGGCTATTTAGGGTCCCTTGATATTCCATATGAATTTTAGGATAGTTTTTTTCTATTTCTGCAAAAAAATGCCTTTGGGATTTTGATAGAGATTGCATTAAATCTGCATATCACTTTGAGTAGCATGGAGATTTTAGCAATATTAAGTCTTCCAATCCATAAACATAGGATGTCTTTCTCTTTTTTTGTATTTTCTTTTAGCAAAGTTTTGTAGTTCTCAGTGTATGAGTCTTCTAACTCCTTGGTTAAAGTTATTCCTAAGTATTTTATCCTTTTTGATGCTTCAGTAAATAGAATTAATTTCTTAACTTCCTTTTCAGCTTGGTCATTGTTATTATATAGAAATGCATCTGATTTTTGTGTGTTGGTTTTGTACCTGAAACTTTGTTGAAATTATGTATTAGTCCTCACAGTTTTCTTCTGGAATCTTTAGGGTTTTCTAAATATAAGATTCTGTCATCTGTAGACCGATAGTTTTACTTTGGATCCTTTCCTATTTGGATGCCTTTCATTTCTTTCTCTTGTCTGATTGCTCTGGGTAGGACTTTGAGTACTATGTTGAATAATAGTGGCAAGAGTGGGTATCTTGCCTTCTTCCTAATTTTAGAGGAAAAGCTTTCAGTCTTTTACCATTGAGTATTATTTGAGCTGTGGCCACTCAAATATGGCGTTTATTACATTGAGGTAGTTTCCTTCTATTCCTAGTTTGTTGTGTTTTTTTATCATGAAAAGGAGTTGAATTTTGTCAAATGCTTTTTCTGCATCAGTTGAAATGATCATGTGGTTTTTGTCCTTTATTCTGTGAATATTGTATCACATTGATTGATTTTTATGTGTTGAATCATTCTTGCATTCCAAATATAAATCCTAATTTGTCATGGTATATAATCCATTTAATGTGCTGTTGTTTTCAGTTTACTAGTATTTTGTTGAGGATTTTTTCATCAGCATTCATCAGGGATATTGGTCTATAGTTTTCTTTTCTTGTGTCTTTGTCTGGTTTTGGTATTAGAATAATGCTGGCCTCATGCAATGATTTGGAAGTGTTCCCTCCTCCTCAATTCTTTGGAAGAGTTTAAGGAGCATTGGAATTTATCCTTTTTTAAATGTTTGATAGAATTCTCCGCTGCAGCCATTGGGTCCTGGACTTTTCTTTGTTGGGAGGTTTTTGATTACTGCTTCAGTCTCCTTACTAGTTCTAGGTCTGTTCATATTTTTTGCTTCTTTATGATTCAGTCCTGGTGGGCTTTGTGTTTCTAGGACTTATCCATTTGCTCTAGGTCACCCAATTTGCTGGCATATGCTTGTTCACAGTGGTCTCTTATAGTCCTTCTCGTTTTTGTTATATCCGTTGTAATGTCCTTTCATTTCTAATTTTAGTTATTTAAATTTTCTGTCTTTCTTTGTTAGTCTAGCTAAGGGTTTTTCAATTTTGTTGATCTTTTTTAAAAAAAACAATTCTTGGTTTTGTTGATTTTTTTCCTATTGTTTTTCTATTCTCCACTTCATTTATCTCTGCTCTAATCTTTATTATTTCCTTCGCTCTGCCAACTTTTGGTTTTATCTTCTTCTTCTAGTTCCTTGAAGTATAAAGTTAGGAGGCTGATGTGAGATCTGTCTTCTTTTTATGAAAACTTTGATCACTATAGACTTCCCTCTTAGTACCCCTTTCACTGCCTCCTGTAAAGTTTTGGTATGTTGTGTTTTCATATGTCTCCGGATATTTTTAAAATTTCTTTGTGATTTCTTCTTTGACCATTGATTGTTTAAGAGTGAGTTGTTTAATTTAAAGATTGACTTTTTATTGTAGCAAATACATGCATGCCTCATTTTATTGTGTCTGGCTTTATTGTGCTTTAGAGATACCACATTTTTTTTACAAATTGGTGGTGGTGGCAACCCTGTGTTGAGTAAATCTATCAGCATCGTTTTTCCAACATGTACCCACTTCATGTCACATTTTGGTAATTCTTGCAACATTACAACTTTTTTGTTATCATTATGTCTGGTATGGTGATCAGTGATCTTTGGTGTTAATACTGTAATTGTTTTGGGGCACCAAAAACAGCACCCATAGAAGGTGGCAAACTTAATCCATAAATGTGGTTTGTGTCCTGACTCCTCTGCCCATTGTTTCCCCATCTCTTTCCCTCTCCATTGGCCTCCCTTTTCCCTGAGACACAACAATATTGAAATAAGGCCATTTAGTAACCCTATAATGGCCTCTAAGTGTTCAAGTGAAGGAAGAGTCATACATTTTTCACTTTAAATCAAAAGCTAGACATGATTCGGCTTAATGAGGAAGACATGTCAAAAGCCAGGATAGACCATCATGTGGTTTAGATGTTTGTCTCCTCCAAATTTCATGTTGAAGTGTGATCCCCACTGTTGGAGATGGGCCTGGGAGGAGGTGTTTGGTTCATCAGGGTAGATCCCTCATGAACGTATTGGTGCTGTCTTCACAATAAGTGAGTTCTTGCTCTGAGTTCACTCAAGGTCTGGTTGTTTAAAAGAGCGTGGCACCTCCTCCCCACTTGCTCCCTCTCTTGCCAAAGGACGTGCCTGCTCCTGTCTTGTCTTCTGCCATGATTGAAAACTCCCTGAGGCCGCACCAGAAGCTGAGCAAATGCCGGTGCCATGCTTCCTGGACAGCCTGCAGAACTGTGAGGCAATTAAACCTCTTTTCTTTATAAATTACCCAGCCTTGGGCATTCCTTTATAGCTGCACAAAACGGACTCATGCAGGCCTGTTGTTCCAAACAGTTAGCCAAGTTATAGATGCAAAGAAAAAGTTCTTGAAGGAAATTCGAAGTGCTACTCCAGTGAACACGTGAATGATAAAAGAAAAAAATAAAAAGCAACATCCTTATTCCTGATAGGGAGAAAGTTTGAGTGGTCAGAATCAAAGATCATACGAGGCACAACATTCCCTTAAGCCAAAGCCTAATACAGAGCAAGGCCTTAACTCTCTTCAATTTTATGAAATCTGAGAGAGGTGAGGAAGCTGTAGAAGAAAAGATTGAAGCCAGCAGAGGTTGGCTCATGAGGTTTAAGGGAAGATGCCCTCTCCATAACATAAAAGTGCAAGGTAAAGCAGCAAGTGCTATTGTAGAAGCTGCTACAGGTTATGCAGAAGACCTAGCTAGCTAAGATAACTGGTGAAAGCAGCTACACTAAACAACACATTTTCAATGTAGATGAAACAGCGTTACATTGGAGGAAGGTGCCATCTAGGGCTTTTATATGAGAAGTCAATACCTGACTTCAAAGCTTCAAAGGACAGACTGACTCTTGTTAGGGCCTGATGTGGCTGGTGACTTTAAATTGGAGCTAGTGTTCATTTATCATTCCAAAAATCCTAGGGCCCTTAAGAATGATGCTAAATCTCTGCCTGTGCTCTATAAATGGAAGAAAACCTAGATGACAGCACATCTGTTGTAGCAATATGATGTACTGAATATTCTTAGCCCATTGTTGAGGCCTACTGCTCGGAAGAAAAAGCTTCCTTTCCAAATATTACCATTCATTTACAGTGTACCTAGTCATCCAGGAGCTCTGATGGAGCGGAAATTAATGTTTTTATGCTGGCTCACACAACACGCATTCTGCAGCCCTTGGATCAAGGAGTAATTTCAACTGTCAAGTTTTATTATTTAGGAAATAACATTTTTTTTTTTTGAGACAGTCTTGCTCTGTCACCCAGGCTGGAGTGCAGTGGCGCGATTTTGGCTCACTGCAACCTCCGCCTCCCGGGTTCAAGTGATTCTCCTGCCTCAGCCTCCCAAGTAGCTGGGATTACAGGCGCACACCACCATATCCAGCTAATTTTTTTGTATTTTTAGTAGAGACAGGGTTTTGCCATGTTGGCTAAGATGATCTCGATCTCTTGACCTCATGATCTGCCCTCCTCGGCCTCTCAAAGTGCTGGGATTACAGGCGTGAGCCACCGCACCTGGCAAGGCATTTGCTGCCATTGATAGTGATTCCTCTAATAGATCTGGGCAATGTCAACTGAAAACCTTCTAGAAAGGATTCAACATTTTAAAAGTCTTTAAGAACATTTGTGGGGCCAAGCACAGTGGCTCACACCTGTAATCCCAGCACTTTGGGAAGTCGAGGCAGGAGGATCACTTGAGGCCAGGAGTTTGAGACTGCAGTGAGCCATGATTGTGCTACTGCACTCCAGCCTGGTCAACAGAGCGAGACCCTGTCTCAAAGGAAAAAAAAAAAAAAGAACATTTATGATTCATGGGAGGAGGCCAAAATCTCAACATGAACAGGGAAGTTTGGAAGAAGATGATTTCAGCCCTCATGGATGACTCTGAGGCAATTCAAGACTTCACTGGAGAAAGTCACTGCAAATGTGGTAGAAATAGCAAGAGAACTAGAATTCGAAATGCAGCCTGAGGATAGGACTGAGTTGCTACGATCTCCTGATAAAACTTTAATGGGCGAGGAATTACTGCCAAAATAGTAGTTTCTTGCGATAGGATCTACTCCGAGAGAAGATGCTGTGAACACTGTTCACATTTCATGACAATAAAGGGTTTAGAGTAGCACACAAACCCTGATGAAGCAGTGGCAGGGTCGTGTGGCTGGAGCGTGGGGAACGTGGCCCGGGCTGTCTGGCTCCAAAGCCTGTGCGCCTTCCATTGTGCTCGGCTGCTTCCCGCACAGATTTCCAGGTCAGCCCTGACATCTGCTCAGGAAAAACGCTTGATATAATGACTGCTTGCAAATCATCCTTCTTTTATGCCCCATCCTGTCTGTGTACTATTTGTGGGAGCAGGAGCAGCAGTCAGGAGTGAGGGTGACTCTCAGCAAAGATTTCTCAGATTGCAGGTCTGATGTTGTTAAGGGGATGTCGGGGCCAAACACCAAGTAAGGAAACAAGTCCTGGCTATGAACAGAGGCCTGGGTCTTACACCCCCACATTTCAGCCACATATGAAAGGGCTCCTAGGTGGCAATTACTCTCAGCAATTTTATCTTAGGGAAGAAGGGAGGGAGGAAGGGAGCAAGACAGGAAGGAGTGAACGAACACGTGAAAAATTATGCTTAGTAGCCATCGTGTTATATCTAAGTGTGTACGTGTGTGTGCTAGCACTTAAATGGTAACCCTCCTCCCAGAAACATTCTAAGGCCTCTGTAGACTTTTCCTTATAATTTACAGAATATCCGTTTGATTACTCTAATAAGCTATTGTCAGCATATAGCTGCCAACTAGAAATACATATTTTTCTAGACTGAGTGTCCAAGACTCTGGGTTTTGAGTGAAAGTGTAGTGATTCATGTATTTTGGTTCGTTTCTGGCATTTATGGGCTTCGGTGGATGGGACTTCCCTTCCATTTGGAAGCTAGAAATAAGAACAGTAGCATCTAATTGCTACTCTGTGGTAAAGTTCCTATAGATCTCTCATTAGGAGAGAATTTTGAAAACAGAAAGAAGCAGGCTGGGCATTCTGAATATTAGGATTAAAATAACTTCCAAGTCATTTCAAATATGTTTACAATCAGGTAGGAATTTTTCTGTAATCAGAGTTCCAAATTAAATGAGTTGGGGCATCTGTGGTGTGTGGATGGGTATATGTTTGTTTTCTTTTCTCCGGGGGTTTTTCAGCCTGGTGCTTAAGAACAAAATCCCCTTTGGAAATAGTCCAGTTCCCAGCGGTTGTGCTTTGTGTTGCCAATTAAGACTTCGATTGAGGGCTTGATTTGGAATCCTTGGGAAAAGCTTTGTTTCCATTAGGCAAAGGAAAAAAGGCAGAAAATCCAGGGAAGACATTGTAGGTCATACCTTGCTCAGTGGGGATGCGGAGGCTGACAATGGAGTAACATTTCTACTGGTTCAAGAAAGAGACAATCACTGTTCTCTGGGCTCATAAGTAGAGCATGACAATAGGCCAAGCTATGTGAACAGAGATCAAAAGAACAAAACTGGTACAAAAAGCGTTATTTAAAAAATGCTCTGTGACAAATGTGAGATAGACTGGTAAATATCTCTTGCTTCCAAACAAACAGCCAATAGTCCTTTGGAAAAATAGTTCCACTTGTTAGAAGTACAGCATTTGTAATTGCACTGAAGCCAGTGCTGGGTACATAGCGTGATTTGAAGAATAGAAAGCCAAAATCTGGCTTCAGTTGATTTTTAAGAATTATTTCTAATATATTTCTCTATTATTCCGATCCATTGAAACGTAGGTGATAAATCCATGTTTGAGTCTGTTCTCAGTAGCAAAATAGAGGTGGAAGTATTGTCCTGTTGAACAAAGGAAGACCTGCGGGACCTGTCCCCTTATCAGAAGTGATATGGTTCTCCCCACTAGCTCGAGTAGTTGACTTTGTATTGTAGAAAGAAAGACTTATGTATATAGAATTCTCTAAGATTCTCCCAGACCACTAGCCTTCCTGAAAAATGACTTGGATTTTGCCGAAGATCAGTTTTTAGACAGTGAAAGATATGAGCATTTGTTAATTTAATTACTGAAGTGCGTTATCTCAGTCTGTCAGAATTATCTCCTAATTTGAGGGACAAAAGCCAGGTGGGTCCTGGTCCCTTGTGGACCCTCCAGCACTCAGCATAGCGCACAGTGGATGGTTGATGCCTAGTAAGTGTCTGTTGAGCAGATCACTGCTTTTATCCAGTGTTAGTCGCCCCAGCTGTCAGGACAAATGAAATCATCAGAAAATCTCTGGTCACACATAAGAGCTGTCTGTCAGATTTCTGTTTTGGTTGTAAAAGTTTGGGATACTTTTGCAAAATTTTGGAAAATCAATTTTTGATTCCCAATCACATGATGAAAGAAAACCTAATTGTAGCTTCTTATGCTTAGAATTCTTATTAACCATAAGAAGAAAGACATCTGTTTTTCTTATGGTCACCAGTCTCCCTGCAGAAATTTTATTATGTCTAAAGTGTTAAGTGGCACAAATTGTTGAATGCATATGCAATGTAATATAAAGAACCATTTATTTTCATAACTTACAAGGTTGCAGGTTTGGGTGTGCGGACAGAGAGCAGAAGGGAAAACAAAATAAGTGGTGATGTCTATGCATTTCTATACAAAAAATACTTGCCTTAAGCACTAAAAAATATACTGCATTATTGCACAGTCTCTCACAAGCCAGTACTTCTACCACTTTCAAAATAAAGAGCATTATTTTTCACTCGCCGTCCAGAGAGAACATAGCTTCTTTGATATTCCCTGCTGGTTATTTGAGGAGGCTTCCTGCAGTGAGTGTACGGTATTGCTCTCTCTGGCTGCCCTTGTTACTGCAAATGTCTTGTCTTTAAGCTTTATTTTCTGTCCTTCACTTTGAGTCCTAGTAAATCCTCTTTAATTCATAAGAGCCCTTGGTTCTCAAAAGGAAATGTCTTGTTTTTTATTCTACGTCTGGGACAACAGTAAGATTTTTTTAAAAAGTTTAACATTTTAATGCAAATATGGGAATGACAAATATCTTGGAAGAGTTGTGAAGGATTATATCCACGTCTATATTTGCGAACCAAAATGTCTTTCGATTTTGATGTGTGCGTCCTGCAATTTACTGAAGCTTATCAAAATACTTTTCCACGCTTTTATTAATTGCACTCACATTTATTCTGCTTTATTTCTGTGCCTCTTATATGTAGATTAAACAGATCTGTGAGTCTTCTCAATGCTTGCAAACTGAATAGATCGACACCAAGGTGAGGGGAACTTAGATTTACTTTGTCACCATAGCTGTTCCTTCCATTGTTTCCATCTCTGTTTTAACGTAGTAG
This sequence comes from Homo sapiens, assembly GCF_000001405.40. NCBI lineage: Eukaryota > Metazoa > Chordata > Mammalia > Primates > Hominidae > Homo > Homo sapiens. The sequence continues at coordinate 99,875,063 of NC_000014.9, forward strand.
CTTCAAGGTCTTGTCCAGTGCCTACCATTCATCAAGTCATCAATCATGTAACTATATTAATCATTGACATTTATTGTTTTTTTAGATGCTCAACTGGTCCTCCAAAACAGTATACTTTGGCGGTTCATAAATTGCAGATGGTGTTAATTAGGGGCCTAATAGAGAGAACACAGGGTTGAAGTCACCAGCCCCACCACTTGCTGTAACCCCAAACAAGTTGCTTCACACTCCTGAATTCGGTTCTTCATCTGTAAAATGAGGATAATGATATTGCTGCAGGGGATTTGTGAGGTTTGAATTAAGTAATACAGTATATGTAAAAGTCCAGAGTATGCCTTAAACGTTAACTGTGGCTGCTGCTGCTGCAGTTTTCATCACTGGCACCCCCGTGAACTCTTCCAGCCACCAGGTTGAGTGTTAATTATTAGAAAATCAGTTAGTGTTTGCTGTAATTGATGAACAGTTGTGGTTTTTCAGCTCTTTAAGGGTGTTTTATACAGTTCTTTAAGTTGCTATGAACTTGCCATGAACTCCCACAAGGACGCCCCAGAAGCTGTGCTCTGGGCTCTTCTTGCGGCTGCAAAATCTCCCAGGGCCCCGGCAGCTGGTTGGGCAAAGTGTGCATCAGAGCCTTGTACTAAAGACTGGGCGGAGAATAATCCTGCTAAGTCAAATTAGCTTGGTGTTTGTCGTCATGGGAACATCTTGAACTTGAAGCACAAAGGCTCCTATAATTTTTAGACTTTAATCCCAAATTTCAGAAATGTAATGCTCTCTTAAAATCTGTAATTTCCTTGTCCCCAAATTGAGCATTCTAAAAACACACATTTTGACCTTAAGGCACACCCTGCAGATTGCAGTTGTAAGATTCTGGCACTGTCCACTCAGGGGTTCCCCAGTTAACAAAAAGACTATGTGGAAAGTGTATTCAGATAATCACCCTGAGAGTGATTTCAAAGCCAGCATACCATGAGGGTTTTTAAAAACCTGCTTGGAGATTACTAACTGAGCCACTGGAAGTTGCAAAGGAAGGAAGAGTGAAAGTTGAGCTAAGGAGGGTGTATAGACAGAGGAGACAGAGAGGGGAAGGAAGGAAGAGAGGAGAGAGTCACTGGCTACCAAGAAGGAGAGTGGCCAGCCCCAGGCAGGAGCTGCCTGGATGGGAGGCTTGTCATTTACTTATGAGGAGGGAGGACGTTGAGCTTCAGTGCAGGCGCAGGGGTCTTGCTGTGTTAAGTTCCTCAGCTCCTGCGTGCTCCTTGTTGAGATCTGGTCCCCGTGCACCCTTCACTGAAGCTGTGCCCACTGGCGCCGCCTGAGACTCCCCACTTCCCAGGGCTCACCCCCTCCTCTGTGCAGCACCAGCACATTTACCTAATCCTGCGCTAGCCTTTGCGCACCACTCCTTCTCTCCTGGTGTCGCTGCTACCTCTGACTCCTGTGGTAGCTTCTCAGCCCACGTCTTTAAACATTAGTTTCCCCAGGGCTCTTCTGTCCTTGGTCACCTCCTCCCTCGGTGATTTCCTCTGCATCCGTGGCTCAGCACCCGCCAGATGGATAGAGTCTGTCCTGAGCTGTCTCGCGTGTTGCAGGCTTGTATTCTCACCCACCCACACCTCCAGCTCCAAGTGTCAAGACTAGAGCCACCCAAGTCTGTGTGTGTTCCCAGAGCCCTGGCCCTAGAACAGCCCCCTGCCTGCCCCTCCCCTCCTCCTTTTTTGCTTACAGAGCAGGTGCTGCATTAAAGCAGTTTGTGTCTCTTCTGGTGACAGGGTCAGTGTGTGATACTTCCATTTATTTCATCCTTTCATTTAATAAATGTGTACCAAACTTTTGTATAGGGCTCTGCAAAGCTACGAAAATGATAAATGAGATAAGATCTCAAGAAATGCGTGGACTAATGATGTAGATTTTTAAGTATGTACAGAGATACCTATACTAGAGTTATGTGCTCTGTCTTAGTGAGTTTGGGTTGCTGTAACAAAGTCCATAGACTGGGAAGCTTATAAACAGCAGAAATATATGTCTCACCATCCTGGAGGCTGGGAGTCCGAGACCAGGGGGGCCAGCATGGTCAGGTTCTGATGAGGGCTGTCTTCCAGGTTGCAGGCGGCCATCTTCTCACATGGTGGAAAAGGGTAAGAGAGCTCTCTGGGCCTCTTCCATAAGGGCACTAATTCCACTCATGAGGGCTTCACCCTGCTGACCTCATCACCTCCCAAAGGCCCCACCCCCTAACACCATCACATTGAGGGTTAGGGTTTCCACACATGAATTTGGGGAATACAAACAGTCCATAGTGTGCTCTAAGAGGGGAACAATCAGCCTCCACTCCATACCTGGGCTCTGGTTTACCCCTCATGCCTACGAATCCCCTGTGTATAGGGGATCCCTTCTCCTAGAGCAGGCTCTTTCCATCTGTGTCATAACAACACATTCAAGCCATTCATTTGATCTTTCCCGGAATTTCGCAGTCTTTGGGAAGACTTCCCCAGGCTGCCTTCCCAGGCCTCTGAGCACTCTAGTCCCTCTTGTCCTATGAATGAAGTTGGCCGCTTAACATGGACACCACCTCCAAACAAAGGCATTGTACACAGGGTGGAACGTTTCTGTCGTTACTCGTGACGTCCTGTTAGCATTTGTCCCACGCCTGCCTTTAGGCCAGATTTCTTCAACCTCAGCACTATCGACGTCTGGGGCCAGGTGCTACTTTGTGGAGTGAGCCATCCCGGGCCATGCAGGATTTCTAGCCGCACCCCGGGTCTCCACCCACTACATGGCAGTAGCAGTCCCTCCCCAGCTGTGGCAACAGAAGGATGTCGCCAGACATTGCCAGATGTCTTGGGGGCACCATCCCCCCGGGTTGCACACCACCATCTGGACCAAGGTTGTCCAACCCATGGGCCCATGGGCCTTGTGTGGCTCAGGACAGCTTTGAATGTGGCCCAACACAGATTTGTCAACTTTCTTAATACTCTATTTTCTTTGCAATTTTTTTTTTGTTTAATTCGTCGGCTATCGTTAGCATTAGTATATTTTATATGTGGCCCAAGACAATTCTTCTTCCAATGTGGCCCAGGGAAACCAAAAGATTGGACATCCCTGGAAAGTGAAGCCTACTCAAGGGCAGGATTGCTTCCCTGGAAGCCCCTGGAGTGCTCTCACACGGTACTGTTGAAGTCTTAATGCCTCAGTTTCTCCATGACTGTGAACTGTGCTAGTGGCCTCAGTTAAAAAGGCAGAGAGAGAGCAGAGATGTTATTCTATGTGACACTCTGAAAAGCTTTTTGATCTCCGTTGCTAGGCCTGTCTTTTGAATATCCATGTGGAAGTATGACGTTCTATGTATATATTTGTATGCTTAGCAATAAAATAAAGTCACGATATTAAGGAGTTCACTGTCACTTCCATTCCACCCTTAGTAACATCAAGAGGACCAGCTCTTCTGAACGAGTGTCTCCTGGGGGTCGAAGGGAAAGCAATGGGGATTCCAGAGGAAACCGGAATCGCACAGGCTCCACCAGCAGCTCTTCCAGTGGCAAAAAGAACAGTGAAAGGTAAGGACGTCTTATCTCTCAGTTCCTGCTGTTCAGATATGTTAGTACGGCTTGTCCCCAGAGAGGAGTCAGAAGATCCCCTCATATTCCAACAAGCTGGGAGTACTCTTGGAGAAGAAGACCTTCTCCTCAGGTATTTATAGGACTAATCAAACAGCCATTTGAGGGCAGCTGCCAGGCACAGTTCACACAAACTACCGTCCAGGTGGAAAAACTGTCACTCAGATTCCCAGCACTCTCATGTAGACATAAGTAGTTCCTGAGAATTTCTTAGTACCAAGTACCTAGAACTGGGGAAGCCATTCTGAATTTCTACCTGAGCACCTTCGATTTCTAGTACACTCTCCTGACCTTTTTAAGTTCATTTTAATGGACTGCTTTAAGTTTGTCAGCAGTATTTTCTGAGACACAGTGGCTGAAAAGTTGTAATTTTATGATTTATCAGAGGCTATGTTTCATATTGATGCTAACACCAGAAATGTGAACCATTTTTCTTTATGGTTTCATGAAATACGTGGACTCCAAATTTTTGAGTTTTTCTATGAGGTTAGTTTGTAATGGATTATGATAAGTATCAGTGAAACTAATAGTAACATTTTGTTCCTGAATGCTGCTTTTTGGCATTTTAGCAGCTTGTTTTGTGTCTATATAATATATTTATATCTATATAATGTACTTTGTAAAGAAAATCCAGTTTCTCTATGTATTTTTACCTAACATTGTACTTTGTTCTCACTTTTTAAACATTGTACTTTAATTTTATTCTCTCTGTTTAGTAAAGCTGAGGAAGGAATTTCAGCTTCAGAGGCTAAGCATGTGTTTTTTTTCCCAAATGTTCATGTAAGGAGAAGGCTTAGTCATAAAGCAATCGACTCCAACCCACAGGCTATAAAACTTCCAAGTTTGTAAATCCATGGTGATTCAGTCCTATAAAGGAAGCTTAAACTCTTTTTCAGTTTTATTCCTAAAAGATGTCTGTTGTAGAAAACATAGAGACACTTCTCACATCTATAACAGGTCAGGTCCACGGTCTATTAACAATTTAAAAAACCATTAACATGGGTTCTGTCTTCTTCTCATTTAGACTATTAGTACTTCTTATCAGAAGATTATGCTAATGGGGTGATAATACCTTGGAAATGAGGCCAAGTGGTTACAGTGGCAACAGAGTGTGAATTAGTGGGAGGTGCAACGTAGCCCAAAGCTTCTTTGAATTCAGGGTAAGCTTGGAAGTTGACCTGAAATGTCTAGATCTTGGCAGTTCTTAGAGACTTGGCTCCTCCTCTGCACATCTGATTTTTATTAAGAATTTCCAAAAAGAATCTGCATTGTGTAAACTCCAGATCCATTTTATCTTTAAAATCCTATGGCTTTGGTAAATGTGCTGGGTAAATATTTCCATAGAAGATATTTACAAAGAGATTTTTGAGAAATGCCACAGTAGGAAATTTTGATTTGGAAATGAGGGACTGGGAAAATTTACTAATCATGTTCCCAAACTAATTCAGGCAACTAAACATGTCCATTTAAAAATAAATTCTTTGTCTTGTTAGAACCCAGGCGTGGTTGAGGCGAGCATAGCACAGAGCTGGCTGAGTTTCATGCATCATGCACTGAAGGGGTTTCAGAGACAGTTACTGTCTCCTCTTAGGCAATTGCTGGTCTTGACAGGGACCCATAGGAGTAAGAGCTGCAGTAACTCAAAAGAAGCAGCTAAGACTCGGTAGAAGTGAAGGTTAAGCTGGTAATTCAGTGGCTGCCTGACCCCTTCCCGCCTTTCTTCCTCTGTATTCCCACGTGCGCAGCCCCATGCTCAGGCTGCCTTGACCCCAGCACCAAAGCAGATCTGGAGTCTTGCTGAGAAATGCCACCCTCGAGGATGGGACACAGGGAAGGAAAGGAGTAGGGAGGTGGCCCCCATGTAATTTCTGTTTTTAAACATTACTGCGTTCAGTGGACTCAAGATGGCATGCCTCGTCCCCATCGCTCACTCGACATGTCCATTGTTCCTGCAGGCTGTCCTGTGATTTAAAAAATTGCCCTTGTTGGGTTCCTGTAGGCAGCAAGACATGGTGGAAAGGGCAGAGGCTCTGCAGTAAAAGAAAGATCTGGGTGTGTATCCAGTTCTGCCTTAATGTCTCCAAGCCTCAGTTTTTTCCTCTACAAATTAGAGATTTTATACCTAATGCCCTTGAATCTTATAAATGAGCTAACTTGTAGGAAATTATCCAGCGTAGGGCTTGGCACTCAGTAAATGATCGTCATCCCTGTGATAGTTCTTATAAAGACAGGCTTGTGTGGAGCAGAGGAAAGTAATCAGTGAGATTTTCTACAATTCCTCACTTTTTATTTTCCTCATTTGTAAGATGAAAGTGTTAGATTTTGTCACAATCCGCGTTGCACTTGTGTCTAACGTAGTTGGGGGAAATAAAGTATTATAAATCCTTGTGAAGCTCACAGTTCTTAAATAAGGCATCGGGCGGGAGCTGGTCTGTGGGCTGCTTGCGATCCCAGCCTGCCCGCTGTTCCAGAGCCCCATTCTCTTCCACTCAGGAAGGCTAGTTAGGGTGCATGTGAGTGAGAGTGCTGACGTCATAGGGATGGCTTCCACCCTGTGCTGCTTTGTAGAAGAAGCAAATCATTCACACAGGCAGTGCTTTAACTTGCAGCCACAACAGATTATTAGCCATAAAGCTCACAGCTTCTCACACGCCATGTGCAAAGCTGTCGTTAGCACATATGGCACTTAGGCGCAAATTAGAAAAAGGCTCCCTTTACTTCAGAAAAACAGTTCCATCTCAGCACTATTTCTCAATAATAATACTTACAGCAGATAGAAAACCATTCTGTATAAATTATACAAATCTTACTATTGAACACAAAATAATAGTGTTTGTGGAGTCCTAAATATTAACCTTTTCTGAGATACTTTATTTTAAAGTAATTACATGTTTTGCTTTCATAAAACTATATTCTTTTTCTTTTTCCTTTTTTTTTTTTGAGATGGAGTCTCGCTCTGTCACCAGGCTGGAGTGCAGTGGCACAATCTCGGGTCACTGCAGCCTCTGCCTCTTGGGTTCAAGAGATTCTCCTGCCTCAGCCTCCCGAGAAGCTGGGACTACAGGTGCGTGCCACCATGCCCAGCTAAGTTTTATATTTTTAGTAGAGACGGGGTTTCACCACATTGGCCAGGATGGTCTCGATCTCTTGACCTTGTGATCCGCCCACCTCGGCCTCCCAAAGTGCTGGGATTACAGGCGTGAGCCACCGCACCTGGCCAAAACTGTATTCTTTATGATAGTTTCAGTCTTCTTGCTCCCATGTCTCATTTTCTTTACAAATGGTCACTGGATTTGAGTCTTTCTTGTGATATGGAAGACCTTTATCTTAGAATGTTTAATTTTTTCAAATACTTTGTAACAAGCCACAAAATTTTAACAGCATTTAATCTTTGCACCAACAAAACCTCTATTAAAAACAAAAGCAATATATGGTAGTATTTTACTTTATGTATTATTGATGATAAATGAACGTTAATAATTACATAGTGATTCATGTCATCATGAAATACTACATTTAAATAGAGAATTGGCAATAACATCGTGATGGAAGGCTTGTAAAATGTAGCCAGTGAACTAATCTGATGGAGATATTTTTCAATTAAAAAAGTATTTTATACCTGATAGAAAATTGGCTGCTTATTTAGAAGCACGGTTCATGTTAGATGTTGCTAGATTGATAAAGCATTTCAATTATCAAACTGGTTCCCCTTTTGTAAGTCTTAAGGGAATGAGCTATGTCAGCTCTATAAGCAAGACACTGTTTCAGCTTTACTGAAAGTTGTTGAAATGAGTTGATTTTGTTAGAATAAGGATGTTTCAGTCATGTGCTAGAAACTTTGTTGTCACATATGTATAAATCAGGGGTGTCCCTGGACTTCGGCCTCCCTGGACTTTTGGCTTCCCCAGATTAAAAGAATTGTCTTGGGCCACACACAAAATACACGAACAATAATGATAGCTGATGAGCTAAAAAAAAAAAAAAAAAAAAAAAAAAGAAAATTGCCAAAAAAATCTCATGTTTAAGAAAGTTTACAAATTTGTGTTGGGCCACATTCAAAGTCGTCCTGGGCCGCATGTGGCCTGTGGGCTGTGGGTTGGACAAGTTTGATATAAACTGCCCATCTTTGGAGTCAACAAACATGAAAAAAAAAAAACCCACCTCAAAATAGTGAAGACGTTGGCATGTTAGGTGTGGTGCCCTTTTGTGTTGTGCCCCCTCAACCCCGGGATCAGACAGCCCCGTAGTACAGCTGTCAGGTCGAGAACCACTGGGCTGGACACCTTGAGCGCCTGTCCTTTCTAAAGCTCTAGCATTTGGTGACTATTTCATCTCAGGGCTCTTCAGGGCGCAAAGTTGTTTTTCCTTTACGATAGCATCACTGCTGCCGTCGGCTCAACAGTACTCCTTGGCTGGGGCTCTGGGCCCTTCATCCACCAGCTCCTCATTCCCTTTTGTGCCCTGACACGCATGCCTCTCCAACACATTGCGCACTTTTCCCCAGCACAACTTTTTTCCTTTTTTGAGGCCATTTATTTATTATACAAGTAACTTGTTTTAGAAAATCTAGGCCGGGCGTGGTGGCCCACTCCTGTAATCCTAGCACTTCAGCAGGCCGAAGCGGGTGGATCACTTGAGCCCAGGAATTCAAGACCAGCCTGGACAACATGGCAAGACCCCATCTCTACAAAAAATACAAAAATTAGCTGAGCGTGTTGGCACATACCTGTAGTCCCACCTACTTGAGAGGCTGATGTGGGAGGATTGCTCGAGCCTGGGAGGCTGAGACTACAGTGAGCTGCGATCATACCACTGTACTCCGGACTGAGCAATGGGAATGAGACCCTTCCTCAAAAAAAAAAAAAAAAAAATCTAGATGCACTAAAAAGAAGAAACAACAATCACCTGCAGTCTCACCACTCAGCGAACTCACAGCCAACAGTCATTACATTTCCACGTGGACTTTTATTTGCAGGGTGCTGTATGAGTGTAGTGTATAATTTTGACATAAATGCCATTCTTGTGCATATTTTGTGATCCCTTCTTCATTTGCTAAATGAGCATGTCTTTGTGTGAATAAATGCACTCTTGCAATGTTATTTTAGATGTGGTTCATCATGTTTCCAGCCCGAAGTACTTCAGTTGGACGTTTAAGTACCAAACAAGTTTCACTAATCCACTCAGACCAGGCCACCATCTAGAACAATGCCCAGCACACAGTAGGTGCTCAACAAGCATTAGTCGAATGAATCTTTTTGCCCTGATCACTATAACAAAAGAAGGTTAAAATGATGGGCCTTTATTGCCACAGCCAAGTGTTAATCCCAGCTCTGCTGCTTTGCTTTGTCATTGTGAACAAGTGACTTAATCTCTTTGGGGTTTTCCTCAGTAGCAGTAAAAGTGGTACCTGCCTCACAGGGTGCCTAAGATCCCATGCATAGGAGCCTCAGTGCAGAGCTGGTCTGCGGTCGGCTCGCCACAGTGGCAGCTGTGAGTGTCATGTCTGCATCCCAGACTGTTGGAGTTGAGGCCTGCACACTTGTGTCCCTCCCACTCCCCTGCTTGCAGGGCTTTTTTTCTTGGGGATGTCTTGGAATTCCCCAGCGCCTGTTTCTGTCTTTATCCCAGCCTGAAAAGCGAGGAATCAGAAATTCTGAAAATTGTTCTCACCTTGCTCTTTCAGTTTCACTGCTGTGCTGGACTTATGGAGCACCTGCTGTGTACAGAACGTAGTCCAAGGCATGGCAGGGAGTGGGAAGGAGCAGCACAGAAAGACTCATTCTCCTAACAAATGTCAGTGGCACAATGCCTGCAGGGCTGCTTTGCTTAATTCCCAAAGGACTCACAAATGGGAGAACAAGATAATCCACGGAATAGAAAAATGGTAAAGGGTCTGCACAGGCGCTCACTGAGAAGGAAATACCAGTGGCCCTTAACTCATGAATAGGCAATCAAGCCCAGACCTAATTAAAGACATGCCGATCTAAGTAAGAAGATAACATATTTAGAAAATTCTTTTTACTTTACTATAAAATAAAGCACAGATGCAGAAAACCACACAAGCAAATTCGTAGCTTAATGAATTGTTCTAAGGCAAACACCTTCTAGCACCTAGGAGGAGGAGGGGTTTTCCCCTCTCCCAAGTGACAGGTGGATGTATCTGGAACTGGGGGTGGGGGCAGGGAAGGTGACTGTTTTTGATGAACTCCAGCTCATCCTTCGAGACCCAACTCAGGATCCCCTTTTTCTGGGAGCCTCCCCTGGCTCTCTAGTCTGAGAGCAGTGCTTTTCAGATGGTGTCGTAACTGCCTGTTAACTTTATCTGTGACTCTGTAGCTCTCCTCCCTTCACCATGCTGCACACACCGCTTGCCCTCCCTTAGGCTCTGGAGGCCCAGGCCGTGCCATTCTTATTCTTTGTATCTCTAGTACTTTACACAGCACTTGGTGAACATGAGTGCTCAATAACTATTTGTTGAATGGATGGAAGGATATTGTATACGATCAGGCATCACTTAATGACAGGCACATTCTGAGAAATGCATTGTTAGGTGTTTTCTCATTGTGTGAACATCATGGAGTGTGTGTTTACAGAAACCTTCATGGTCCAGCCTGATGGTCTAGCCTGCTGCTCCTGGGCTACAGACCTGTACAGCACATGACTATAGGGAATACTGCAGGCAGTGGTAACACAGTGTTAAATATTGGTGTATCTAAACATAGAAAAGATACCATAAAAATACAGTATTATAATTTTGTGGGACCACAGACATCTATGTGGTCCATCATTGACAGAAACACCCGTGTCTAGCCCATGACTGCATTTCATTTGAAAGCCACAGCCATTCAAGAACTATGTAAACAGCACCACCTATGGGTAGACAATTTTAACACCACATTTTACACTGGAAGATGAGACTTACGCATTTTTTACTGAAAAAAATGTTTCACTCTTCAAGCCATGGGGTCATTTATGTTTTAATAAATTTCAAAATGATAAGTGCTAATATTCTTCATATTGTTTTAGTTTTGAGACTGTTAGCTGAGGAGTCTGGAAATACAAAGGTTTTTGCAGTGAAAGGAGGAGGAAGAGGGAAGCCATATTAATTAATAACATGTTGGACGCATTGTAACATATCTTATTTAATCGTGCCAATAACCTGTTCCTCACAGTGGTTGTATTCCCATTTTTAGATTAAGGAGGTTAAGCTGGTGGAGGTGAAGCCCCTCACCCAAGCCCTAGAACACGGATCCAGCTGGCCTCAAAATCTGTGCTCCTTCCACCATGTTAAGCTGGGAAGTATTGGTTGGAAATGTCTATGAAGCAGTCGCTTTTGTCCCAAATAAAGTCTCCAGCAACTTCTAAACATTTTGAATAGATGGTTCTTAAATGACCCTATTTCTAATAAAAAGCTGCTTAAGGACAATTTTTGTAGAGTCATTATTTCCATGGTGGAGTATTCTGACTTCCAGCAGGAACTTTATTTCATCACGTGAAGTCATTTTTAAAAGCAGTCATGTGGCTGAGCCCAGTGGCTCACACCTGGAATCCCAGCACTTTGGGAGGCCAAGACAGGCAGATCATTTGAGGCCAGGAGTTTGACACCAGCCTGGACAACATGGCGGAACCCTGTCTCTACAAAAAATCTAAACATTAGCCGAGTTTGGTGGCATATGCCTGTAGTCCCAGATACTTGGGAGGCTGAGGTGAGAGGATGGCTTGAGCCAGGAGGTGGAGGTTGCCGTGAGCCGAGATCACACCACTGCACTTCAGCCTGCGCGACAGAGCCAGACCCTGTCTCAAACAAAAAGAAGTCATGTTATTCCAAGAGCCAAAGTTGTTCTGGATTAATAAATTGTAGGGAAATCACATGTTTAACTTTGGAATGGACTCCTCCTCTATCAAGCCTTATTAATCACTTTCAAAAGCAAGTATCTCTGCTCAAACAGCACGTGGCTCCTATTAGTTCCACTCTGATCCTAGTTGCCCAGGACTTCTTACACATGTCACCACGTGTCGAAGACCTGCAAGATCTGGCCCCAGAGCCCCCTTTCAGGAACATGGGGTTAGGTTAGTTAATGTAGATGAAAGAGATAAGAGCAGATCCCCGCTCTGAGGCACAGTGAATATCTGTTGAGTTGCAGCCTGGACACGTCGTCCACTGGACTCTCCTCCTTATAAATGCCAGTCTATGGTGCAGCAAATAGGAGCTTTATCAGATGAGTAAAAACCAACCACTCTTAGACCATCCCTGTGCCCAAAGTCCACAGTGAACACATTCAGGGATTTGGACTTAGACATACGTGTTCACAGCTGCCTCTGCGGTGTTGACCGCACTGGTGTCTGTTGGTGTGAGCCTCCCAGCTCAGACTGCACTGCTGTCTGTTGGTTGACTGCACTGCTGTCTGTTGGTGTGAGTTTTTCCTTGGGGCAGATGTCTAGTGTTCTCCTGCCATCTCCCCATACAGCTGCTGGTCTGGTGAAGATTCAAATGTACCTCATCCTCCGTTGAGTCTCCACGACTGCTTATATCTTATATCAGCTCTCGAACCATTCAGCTCAAGGGAGCATACAGCCGAGCTCTTTCAGCAAATCTCCTTCTTATAAGCAATAAGAACTGTGCTGGAGTTCGTCTTGGAGATATTGGCCACAACTTAACACCAGAATAGCCAAGCGCTGAGAGTTTGTTCACCGGGGGGGCAAATCCTTTCTCTCCTCCAGGCTTAGTTCTGTCATGGGCTTCAGGGGCAGGTGCAGGACATCTTGATTGACTCCACACTGGGCAAGGGATGAATGGAGCCTCATTCTGCAGCTGGTGCTCCTTCACCCTTCCTAGGACAGGACTGGGCATTCTCCCCCGCACCCCGCCACCGCCATGGAGCCACACCCCAGCTGCTGAGGGGATGTTAAGTCACCCACTTAATTTTTTCCACCGAGCTCACATCAAGAAATGGGGAATCAGAGATGAATTACGTAACACCTTGAGAAGCGATCATCTCCCACTCCAAGTGAATTCACCGCCCAAGCATGTTTCAAAATAGTGCTGGGTCTGAAGGACCCACTCTCAATTTGAGTGGCTGTGCGTTCTGGAGAGATGCACTTTCTGCATACAGCTCCCGTCAACAGACTTTGTTGAGAGGCCACGGTGGCTTCAATGTTCTCTTCTGGTTATCACTGCACATCTGTGTGTTTGCCTTTCTATCAGTTGTTCAGAAGATTTGTCATCATTTTGTGGGCTTATATGCCAAGATTTGCATGCAAGAGTGAAATTACCTCCTCCCAGGCTTGCCTTTTAGAAAAGGTGGTGGTGCATTGGCAGGAGTAATGGGTTCTAAACAAATAAGCTGGGTTTTTTTCAATAAAAACTCAACTTTCTAAAATAATAAAATGTAGCAGTAGTATATTTTCTAAATACAGCATACCACAAAGTGATACATTGTTTAGAGCATGATTTAAAGAAATGTAAGCATTTTAGTACCACCTGATACCTCCTCTCTCAATGACCTTAGTTGTTAACATTCCTGCTACCTAATCTGTTAATAGAAATCTTTCATTCTTCCTCTTACAGTTCTTCAGTGTCGAAGGTCCACGAGCTTCCCTGTATGAAGCGTTCAGATTCCCTTGCGGATTTTCTCTTTGCAGGAAGAACATAGTTCATAATTGCTTTTTTCTGTCTCTAGGGCAAGTTCTGAATTTCTCATTTCTGTGTTCATAGCTTTTGCATCATTCTACTTTTGTGATCAAAGTCATGATAAAAAAATAGTTTTCTTATCTTTTGATTCCATACCTGGCTTCCCTTTGATTATGTTTCTGTAATTAGATTTGCCTCGTAGTCTTTTGTCAGCTTTCCTTCTGTCCTCACCTCCTTCTGCCTGTAAATTTAATCATATATGTGAAATTTGGAGTTAAGATTTCTTCTGCTTCTGCTTAGCACACAGAAAATGACAAGAATGTCACTTCCACCCTAAAAATGAGAACAATTCAGGTATCTACAGTATCATAGCTATTTTAAGGCCACCATGGAGCTGAGGACAGAAAGTAGTATAATGAACTGAAGTGTTACTGAAAAGTGGCAAGCCCATCTGAGGAGGGACAGGCCCCACGGCTGCTTTTGTCTCTGGCAGAGTGGCGGGGAGAAAAGGGGAGCCCTCTTAGATGGGAGTAGGAAATCACCTGGAGGTGTAGAATTGGGAAAGGCTGAGTGTGGACTGGCAGGAGAGTTCAGAGTCCTCAGGGGCTCTGGGCACACGAGAACCCTCCCCCCGCTCAGACGCACTCCGCTTTTCCCCAGACTTCCGTGAGTGTGCATGGTGGATTGGGAGCCGGACAGGCGGCTGAGAGAGACCCACGGAGGCAGAGGCATGCCAGGAGGAAAGCCGAGAGACGTTCTCCACGCTCAGGGCCTGGAACTAAGTGCCAGGCAGCAGCTGGCCACCCCCGAAGGAAGGATGAGGAAAGCTGAGAGAGAGCCCTTTGAGGGGTGGGTGTGTAGTGAGGTCTGGGGACCTGGAGGATGGAGAGAAACTCCATCTGCACACCAAGCCCCACACCAGGTTCTTGGCAGCAGCTGTGTGTGCCCCGGGGAGAGGCAGGATTGCTGAGAGCCGACCCCACCACCACCCACCAGGCACAGATCCTTGGGGCCTGCTGAAGGCTGAAGACGGAGAACCAAGAGGAATTCCACAGGAGCTCCAGGCCTCACACCAGGGCAGCCGCTGTCTATTGTCCAAGGCCCTGGGAATATAGCCATGAACAGAAAGATCCCTGCCCCTGTGGAATTGCCTCCTGGTGGGAGAAACAAAATGAAGGCAGGGGGCAAATAAGTGCTATAGAGAAAAATAAAGCAGGAGGGGCGGGGGCTGTGGCGAGCAGGGCGTGAGGAGGGTTTCAGTATGGAGCAGCGAACATGAATCCGTACGCACGGCTACAGCAGTGGCCTGAGAGTGGCTGACTTCGGGGAGGATGGTCCAGGAGGGCCCATGAGCCAACGCCTGACACGGAGCCTGCTGGGCCAGGTTCCCAGAACAGCAGGGAATATAGTGAAGGGAGATGAGCTCTGAAGAATACAGGGGTCAGGTGCAGATTGGATAGGGCCTTGTAGGCCAATGTAAGACCCAGGCTTTCAGGTTCAAAGGCTGTGCCATGGCTTTTTAGTAGTATTTTCAATGACCATAGTTTAGAGTTTAGGAAACTAAGCCTATAGCTTACAAAACTACTTAAAACACATTTGAACAGAGTAAAACACTTTTAAAGCATCAGGAAAGTAGTAGGCTCTACCACCCCACCCCATGTGCTGCAGGAAATTATCTGGAAATCAAGAATATTAATATAGAATATTACTTACTACATCTTGGGATTAAGGATAGTTTTTATTCCTGGTGTTTTTCATTGTGTTTCAAGTCAAAAATTGAGGAATAATATTAGGAATATATCTGCTCAAGTTTTTGTTTTAAATACACACACACACAAAATGCATATGTAATCCTAGCAGCATTTAAGGCACTATGGTGCCTTATGGGTTCACTATGGTGAACCCAGTGCACCCCTTGACTCCCGTTTATTTCCTGTGTCGTCTTTTGTATCTTAAAGCAGGCAGAAGTCAGGGAAGCTAAGCAGTGCAAAGCATGAACTTTGGAGTCAAAGTTGAGGTCAAGGGGTCACCCCCCTCCCTGAGCTCCCTTGGTCTCCCTGTCCCTGTCTGGAATGGAGACGGTGCCATCTCCCCAAAGGTGGTGTCATGGGAGGGGTGCCCCTGGCAGAAAGTAGTGGGTCTGCAGTGGCGGCCGCCTCTCCTTCTGCCCCCAGGGTCCCCTCGTGGAAGTTTCTCCTGTGAGGTGCTTGCTCCTAGGGATGTCCAGTCTGCCTGCGGCTGTCTGTCCTTAAATGCTTCCTGGGTTTGGTTTCCCAAGTGCTGTCATGGGGTGGTCTCACCTGCTCATGGTGGGTGCCCAGGGTGACTGAAGTCAGCAGGGGTGTCCCTACCTCTCCCAAGAGATGGCTGAGCTGGAGGGTACCACACCCTGGTGTTCCCCGCTTCTCTTTCTATTTTATGTTCACCCACTTGTCTTCCGAGAACAGCCATCTGCTTAGGAGGTGAGCTCTAAAAGGCCTCACCAAAAGATCTTTTGTCAGGAATTTGCTAGTTTTAAATAAGTTCTTTAAATAATCTGTCAGAAGAGTGTAGGGAATAAAAACAACCGTTTTTACACATTTAGACAGGGTCATTCCCTTCTTGATTAATCACATTTTTTCCTCCCCGAAACACTTACTTGCAGTCATAAAAAGCACAACTTTGGTGATAAAGTGAGGATTGCAATCTCTTGCACCTATGAGATTGTTTATGATTGTTTATGTGTGTTCCTTTTTGCAGTGAAATTGGTGGTGTTTTTCTTATTAACGTGTATAACTTATGCAGCATTTGTGTGGCAGACTACTGCAGCCGTGGCTTTGGGGTCTGAAGTGAATGAGATGAAACACCCACAGCACCCTTTAAAAACTGTTTTTCGTTTATTTTCACAGCAAACCCAAGGAGCCTGTATTCAGTGCAGGTAAGTCTGATTTAATTTATGTATGGGAACCCCTCACTCACTCTCTCAGAACTCAAGGGACAGAAAAGAAGTAGCCAGCTTCAGGGGCCAGCCTTGGACACACAGGAGCTTTGGTTTGTGCAGGCCCAGATGGAGCTTTGTACCTGGAGGTTGAATGGCTCAGATAGTGACAGCGAGACTGCCTTTAAACAGTCATAAAGAGCAAACCCTTCACCTACCCTCTCCAAAACCAACGTAAGACATGCCAGTAAGGAGGAGAGTGGAATGCCACCACCTATGCCATGATGGAATTTCTAGATTAAAAGGTGTCTGTTGCCTTGGTTATTCCTTCCTTACTAACTGGATTCTGTTATCAACATTTGCATTTCTCTTAGGGGAAAGTTTCTTATGCATCAAGTTATATAACTGTCTAAAAGTAGCTTTTCTTTTTCTGCCTATGATCTCCTAAACTGCAAACTAATAGTTCATGTATATCTTTCCATATATCTTTTTTAACACCTTTTGTAATAAGGTAGATGCTGTTGTCTAGCATCTTAACCTTATTTAGAAATGCATTTAAAATGCAAAAAATGGACAAGTATGTAATTGATGAAATACATTCATTTAATTTTAATTGTTCTAGTTTTTTCTTAAGTTCAGAATTAAAACATAAAAGTCAAAGTTGTGTATTTATCAGCATGTGCTTTAGTGTTCATTTCATTTTCAGGAAGCATGAAATTACTCACTGAAAATGTACTTGCTGTAAGCTCGCAGGGCCACATTGTGAGCGCACTTGTCAGGATCCCTGAACCGTGTCCAGATTTTAAGACTGGGGGGCAGGTCAGGTGTTGGCCTGCGGGCTAGTGAGGGCTCCGGGCTCCGGGGCAGGCAGGCCAGCCACACTTGCAGTACTCCACCGTCTCTTTATCTAGCCCTTCTGTCTCTGTCTCCGAAATCACAAGGGAAACGCCGGGTGACACACTGCAAAGGTAGGCAGCATTTCTGAAACCTCATAGCTCTCTGAGCAAAGCTGTTACCCAGGCTACAGAAACCTTTTTCATACAGGCAAACAGATGCTCTCCTTGTATGAAAATGTTTTTGTGTTGCAAACCACTTCGATTCATTTTAAGTTAAACGCATCCCTGAGCATTTACTCGGATGGGCTTTAATAAGTGGCTGTAATTTGGATCCCAATTGGTATTGGCTGACTGCAGGAATTTTTTTTTCATCTATGTAAACCTTAAGAGAGCTATAGGGCCACCCCTGGATGTCCCACTGTTTGACTTGGTATCATGCACTGCTGCTGGCCTCTTCCCACTAGCGCCTTTGGGTTTGGTGGCGTGTGTGCTGTTATCCTAACCTGCCTGGAACAAACACTGCTTTCCCTGGCTGCATTTTGATTTTAGATGTAGCCTGTCTGAATCACCAGTACAAAACAGTGCCAAGGCTGACTTCAGTGCTTTTTTTGCCTAGTTCAGTAAGTTAAAATTCTGCAGTAAGTAAGCTCAGTCCTAAGGTTTCTTAATCATCACATACCTGTGATAGACTCATGTGGATATTTCATAGACATTGGTTATATACATCCACACTCTGCATTTTTTATGTGTTGTGGAAATAGCATTATATTGTCTTTATTCCTAACCTACATTCTGCGAGCTTTCTGGCAGGACTGATTCTCTTACAAAGAGAGTTGCTAGAATCCCTTTTCATTTAGCTGTCAACTCCAGTCTCCTGCCCCTCTTTTCAAGAATGTCAATCGTTTGGGTGCTTTTAGATTCTTTGGTTGTGGTAGCCACACAGCCCCTGATGAGCTTATATTTGGGTGAGGTTTAAGGAAGGGAAGAAGCTTCAGAAGAGAACAGCATGAGCGGTGGCACAGACAGGACAGGGTGTAGAGGGGGGCAAAGAGACACGCCTGGCCCCAGAGGAGAATCCCTGTGGGTGGCTGTGGCAGATGAGGTCCTGTGCGGTGAGAGCCTGGCAGGGCATTTAGACCTGCTGGATCCAGCAAGGAAGAGAGCAGGTGAAGAAGTTTACATGGAGGAAGGGCTCCGTAAACCTGGTTTGGGCCTTGGTGGGTTTGGCAGCAGTGTGTAAACTGACCCAGGAGAGCCATAAGACAGCCTGTGGTGATGGGGCCCCAGTGCACCTGGGGAAGTTGGCACCAGTGTGGGAGACATTGTAAGGGGAGGATCCATGGGACGCAGTGGCTGGCACACATAGGCAGGGATGATCGCGTTCATGACTCTCACTCAACGTCAGCCTTAATACGCAGTGTGAAGAGTGTGTCACGTGCATGCATTTAAGACCTGAAGCGCATACACACAATAACATGAAACTGGGGTGCCCTCTTGATTTTTAAGTAATACTGCATGTGGCATTGTTTGAAAATCCTTAAGAATAAGACTTATAAAACTAACTTGTACTATAATTATTTCCTAACTGTTCCTCGCCAATTTCCTCCCTGCGGATGCTTTTTCTGTTGAGTTGTGTACAGGTATCCCTGGTTCCAACTGCCCAGTTTAAATACCATTAAAACCAGGTCCTTTGATCTGCAGTGAAATTTCAGAATTCAGCGAGTTCTGAATCTGAACAGAATTCACCAGGAGCGGAGCTCACAAGACATTTTCTTTGCCCTTATCATATCCTGAGAACTCCAGTCAGAACACCCCAAGATGTTCTTTTTGAGGTCTAGGAGTTACCCCGTGTTGATACGTTGTTGATATTTACTTTTGTCCCTATGATTTATTGAAATATTAAAAGTTATTTTATTATAGAAATGTTCGTTCTGAAGAGTTTTGCATCCTGATTTCTCTCTCTAATGGGTCTTTTGTTCTTTTGTTTTCCATTTCTAGATTTTCTTTGAGCATTTTCCTTTCTGCATTGCATCCTAGCATGCACTTCTGCTGATTTTGTGTTCTTTACACTTGAAAGAATTGTTCAGTTAAAAGATACATAAAGATATATTTTTACATTGCAATATAACAAATCCATTTAAATATTGAAAAATATTTGTGAATTTGGATATTGAGATTGTGTATACATTGAACTCAAAAACTTTAAGTGGATTTCTTGTGTTAGTTGAATTTTGGGGGTGGTATTTTTTCCCCTCCTGATGATAAAAGAAAGTAAACAGTAAAATCTCATGGAAAATCATTGTTGGAATCAAGTTCCTTCCTGCCTTTTACAATTTCGTAGGTATCTCATGTACTTAAGTAAACAGAATATCAAAAGCAAACAAGATGCAAACTTTTGTTTCAAACTGTTTATTTTTATGTTACTTTTTTCCCTAGGATATCAATTAGAATGACAGAAGGGTAAAAGTTTCTCTTTTATACTGAAAGGCTAGAGAGGATAAAGCATTTGTTTTCAGGTACGCTGGGCACTGAGGTATCTTACTGAAATCTTTGTTCTTTTTGTAGAAGAAGGCTATGTAAAAATGTTTCTTCGTGGACGCCCTGTTACCATGTACATGCCCAAAGATCAAGTGGATTCTTACAGCTTGGAAGCAAAAGTAGAACTTCCAACCAAGAGACTCAAGCTGGAATGGGTGTATCCTTTATTCATTGATTAGGTCTCACATGAAGTTATCAGTCAATCAATGCTTGATGTTAACTGTAGAAATTCATAAAACTTAAGTCCTCTTAAGCTTTTAAAAAACAAAATGTTTTACTGTTACTTTTGAAAACTTAATGTAACAAAATTGACTATATGTTAGAGACCTACAGAGTTCTAACAAAGTAGGAGCTTCATAAGAGCGGCTTATTATCAGGAGAACCAACTTATCATTCCTGAACGAAATAGCTGTGGTTCTGGCTCAAATACATGTTCATTATTTTGCTGAAAAGAAAATATGAAGATGTTATATGATTGTATGAGTGATTTTTTTCTTTGTCAGGAGAAAATGAATCACTAGTTTCTGGTCCGAATTTTATTCTTTCCAAAAGAATGACAATAGTAGTTAGAAATATATAAAGAAGTGAACAGTGAAAATAATCAAGAATGGGTAGAATTTTAGATTCTAATGAGAACTGATTTTTTTTTAAGAGATAGTCTCTCCCTATGTTGCCCCAGCTGTTCTTGAGCTCCTGGACTCAAGCAATCTGCTCGTCTCAGCTTCCCAAAGTGCTGGGATTATAGGCATGAGCCACCATGCCCAGCCAAAAGCCAATTATTTTTAACAGGAGCTATCATATACTTAGTCAACTCTTCAGGGACAGATGGAAAACTAGGCACTCTCTATATTTATAAGGAAACAACAGTGACAATGCAAGAAAATATTGTCCTTATGATTGAGGAAATGGGAGTATCCAAAATTGAAACTAAACCACATTGGCAAAAAAGTTTTTAAACCCAAAGAAAGAGGGGTACTCTGAAAGGAGGACTAGCATTCTCCCCTTAAACCAAGTATGGACTTGGCCAGCCTTAGGAGCCAAACTTCAAGTGTGACCTTGACTGAAGGGATGATAGAAAAATATGAATACCAAAGTACTGAATGAAGGGAGTCAAGTGAATGACGTAAATGAAATTGACATATCACGTAGATATCATCCTACTTTAAAAAAAAAAAAACTAGCTACAGGGATGCATCCCTGTAGTCCCAGCTGTTCAAGAGGCTTAGATGGAAGGATCCAGGAGTTCAAGTCCAGCCTGGGTAACTTGGCAAGTCCCTGTCTCAAAAATACATATATTCATATCAATCAAAAAGGCTCCCCAAAAATCTAGGCCACAAAAATCTGAATCAACCATATAACTAACGTTCTTGAAACAGAGGTGCTGGTAGCTTCATGGCATGAGGTTTGGAAAAGTGAGCTTCCAGGGGAAAAAACAACTGAAAGATAAGAAAATAGAAACTGTGAAAAAGGTGAATTAATTGTTGATTATTTTTCCATTTTCTTATTACTTTAGAGGAATCCTGCAGAGACCACCTTTCAGTCTATGCAGATTTTAAGGGAAAAAAAAAATTTTTTTTCACCTTCAAATATTTGAGTACCTGTTTAATGCCAAGCCTGGAACACAAATTATAAGATGTTGGTTTAAATTTAAGCTATTGTGACTTCATTTAGAATAATTACTATTTGAGATTATGGAATCATATTCCTTAGAAATTTTTTAAAATTACCACCTGTACCTAAATTTCTCCCCCAAAATACTTTTTTTTTTTCCAGATTCAAATGTCATAGGCATTTACCTGCACCTGTTTTGGAATCTATCTTGATACATGAAATTGAAGTGCTTCAGCTCGTCTTTAAGTCAGTAGTGGTTTATTAAACGGTTATATCACATCTGGAAAACATTATTCAAAACATTTATTCAGCCTACTTCCTGTTCATATTTTAGAAGATGTAAAGCAATGAAATTTGCTCTAAATAAATGGCATTTTTTTGGCCATTATTTGGCATCTTGCCGGGTTACTTTTTACATCCAAGTTGAAGTGATATTTTGTTCTCAAAATAAAATAATTTTCAAGGTTTGGAAATATAATGCAAAAATTTTAACAGGGATTCTTATCCCAAAGGATCTGAGGGGCCTGATTTTTTTTTTTTTACCTTTTATGTATGTTTGTGTGCATGTGTGTGTGTCATTTGTACCCTTTGTAAGTACTTTTACCATGTTTAAAAAAGGAATTTTTTAGTAAAAATTTAGCTCGTAGATTACAGTAAAAAAATTAATAATTGACTCAATAGCTTTCTAAAAATAAAACCAAATCATTGTGAAAATATGTATTCACATTACATCAATGACTGTTTCAACTTTACTGCATGCCTTTTGGGGGTCACATGTATTTGTCATGGAATATTTGCAATTTAATGTTGTTTAAATTAGTGATGCTGATGGTAATAGTTATATGGTATTTTATTGCCTGTGCCTGTTGAATAAAGCTGATGTTTTGTCAGCTCTTAAAGGGAAAAAAAATTTTATCTTGACATCCACAAAGCTATGGGTACAGGGGTCGAGACTGCCGTAACAACCTGTACTTGCTTCCGACGGGAGAGACCGTCTACTTCATCGCATCCGTGGTGGTGTTATACAACGTGGAGGAGCAACTGCAGAGGCATTACGCTGGCCACAACGATGACGTGAAGTGGTAAGTCCTGAAACAGGTCATTCCTGCGACTCAGAAGGCGAAGGTAGGAGGATCGCTTGAGGCCAGGAGTTCCAGACCATCCTGGGCAACAGTGAAACCCTGTCTCTAAAATAAATAAATAAATAAATGTGATTCCTGTTGCACAGGTGGAAATAGCATTAGCAGAACACGGTCAGTATTGGGACATAACTAAAGAGAAGGAAGAGGGTCTGAGGAAATGAGGTCTTTGGGAGAGCTCTTCTGTGTGGTCTCCTTGTGGTCCGCTCACTACTGCGCTCCGTGAGACCCCTCTCATGTTTAATTTTCCAGCCTCACCAACGCATGAGCTTCACGGACCACATTGTCTCAACAAACAGCGCCACCTCTTTGGAGGCCTTCTTAACACATCATGTATTAAAGGCTTCTAATTTGGGTCTTTATTTTTTGATAAACATAAAAATGTGTTGCCTCATGTTTGTGGCTGAGTCGGCTCTTCCCATAATTCATTTATAGCTTTTGGTAGGCATATTACATATCTTGGAAGGATGGATGCGTGAAGAGATGGATTTATATATTTGTATTTGTCCTGGTTCCTTGGTCAATGATAAAAATCCTGTTCACGAAAGATGGTATCTTTCCTATTTATGTACTCAACATGACTTTTTAATAAAGATTGTAGACTAATGTAGTGGTTCTGAGATTGAAATGGTATTTTCCCAGCAGAGGATGCTTTTTCCTTCAGTTTGAAAATTCTTAAGAAGAAATAAGGGAATTAAGATGAAATGAATTAGGTACTAGTTGTCTAACGTCGTGGTGCTCAGAGAATTTGTCATGAGTCTGTAAGAAGTTAGGCATTATATATTTCTTATATTTAAATTTTTGACTAGATTATATTTGAGCAAGGGAAAAGTAAAACTTACCTGCAACATGTAGATGTTTTGTAAATATCCTTTTCTTAGCCTAGCAGTTCATCCTGATCGGATCACGATAGCAACAGGACAAGTTGCGGGCACATCGAAGGATGGAAAAGTGAGTTACGTTACCTTTTCATTGTTTCATAATGAACTGGTAACACAAAGTAATTTTTAGAAAACATTGTGCTGCTGAGTAAGGCTGCTTAGATATAATTATGGTATCTGAAAACTTCTGAACCCCTCACTAGAATTTTTTATTGTAAATTAGAAGACTTATTGTGTGGCAGGGTGCGGTGGCTCACGCCTGTAATCCCAGCACTTTGGGATGCCAAGGCAGGCTGGATCTCTTGAGGTCAGAAGTTTGAGACCAGCCTAGCCAACATAGTGAAACCCGTCTCTACCAAAAATACAAAAATTAGCCAGGCGTGGTGTCACATGACCGTAGTCCCAGCTACTCTGGAGGCTGAAGCAGGAGAATCACTTGAACCCGGGAGGCGGAGGTTGCAGTGAGCCAAGATCATGCCACTGCACTCCATCCTGGGTGACAGAGAGAGACTAAGTCTCAAAAAAAAAAAAAAAAAATACTGACTGTGACCTTAAAAATCCCTGGAGCTCATCTTAATTTCATCAGATTTTTAAATAGCATTGTTCTGAACAAAGAATTCGCTAATTCTTAAAATGTTTATTTATATGATAAGTATTAAAAATATGAAGGTAAACATTTAATAAAGTTAAAATTATAATAATAATTTGAATGTACAACATTTTGCCAAATTTCAGCCACCCTCTGCCCTGTCCTGTGAATGTCGTTTAACAGTCGTGACTTTAACCCGTGAAGTTTGTGTCTGTGTGCAGTCACAAAAGCTACTAGGAGGTTTTTAGCACAGATTTTGCAAGCACTTCAGCAAGACTTTAATTTGCATTTTAAGGCGTTAGAGAGGGAGCTTGTAGCTTTTTTGATATCTACTTTTATATAGCTTGTTATTGCATAATATTTTATCTGAAACTAATTTAAGTACATACATTTTATCAACATGTTTTCATCCAGAAAAAATGAATACTACCATATTTCAGAAAATATTTTAGTAACATTGGATTTTAAATATTAATCTTATGCTATTTTCCATTAATTTTTTTTTTTTTCTTGAGACAGGGTCTCACTCTGTCACCCAGGCTGGAATGCAGTGGCACAATCACGGGTCATTGCCACCTCTGCCCCCACAGGCTCAAGTGATCCTCCCACCTCAGCCTCCTGAGTAGCTGGGAGTACAGGCACACGCCACCTCGCCCGGTTAATTTTTGTATTTTTGGTAGAGACAGCGTTTCACCACATCGCCCAGGCTGGTCTCAAACTTCTGGGCTCAAGCGATCTGCCCACCTCAGCCTCCCAAAGTACTGGGATTACTGGCGTGAACCACTGCGCCTGACCTGCATTAATATTTTATACTTGAAAAGAGTTAACAGAAATAATGGAAATCAGACCACTATTATGTAAATAAATTTACTTAAATTGAATGGGTCTTTCAATTTTTTTTTTTTTAATGTTAAATGGCTTTGAAAAATTCTTTGAAATTAGTGGTAAGCTATTTGTTCCTCCCTCTAGTGGCTTAAAAGTATATTTCAGTTTCTGGCATTGAAATTGAATCGGTACTTTAGAACTAGAGAAAAATATTATAGTTATCTTTCAGTTTACCCATAGAGAAATCCAGAGAGGCCTAGTGAATGCCCGCGGACACCCAGCTGCTTAGAGATTAGACTGAACTAGAACTTGGTTCACCTAACGCCTGCCTAGTGTTTCTACTAGGTCCAAGGCCAGCACCTTTTCTTACTGATAAATCTACTGATTGCTCTATGATGTTTTCTTCTATTAAGGAAGAGAAAAATTAGCGTAAATAACCTAGGAACACAGTTGAGAGGATTTTAAACCAATTATAACAATTCTAAATCTTATTTGTACATAATTGATGCCTGTTTTGCCCAAGAATATTAAGCTCTTTTTTTTTTTTTTTTTTTTTTTTGAGACAGAGTTTTGCTCTTGTTGCCCAGGCTGGAGTGCAGTAGTGCAATCTTGGCTCACTGCAACCTCCACCTCCCGGGTTCAAGCGATTTCCTGCCTCAGCCTCCCAAGTAGCTGGGATTACAGGCATGCACTACCACGCCCGGCTAATTTTTTGTATTTTGTAGAGACAGGGTTTCACCATGTTGGTCAGGCTGGTCTCGAACTCCTGACCTCAGGCGATCCACCTGCCTCAGCCTCCCAAAGTGCTGGGATTACAGGCGTGAGCCACCACACCTGGTCTGTTAAGCTCTTAATATTATTTGGTGGTGACCATCTTATGAATTTAGGCATGGTGACACCTTAGCAACAAAACAGACTTTAAAAGAATAACCCATATGTGAGATTCCATTTTACTTGTCATTTTTCATTTCTAAAATTCAGACACATTTAGATGCACAAATTAAAGTGTCAGTTCCCATGGTACTATTGTCAAAAATTGGCCATTCAAATTCTAAAACTTGGTAGACCTCTCCTTACTGTTAAATTATCAACAAGGCCCTCCACCTCCTGAAGTCATCGGGAATGTTTTATTTACATAAAAAGGCAGACTCCTGAAATGCAGAAAAAGATCTTTTGTTTTGACAAAGTCCGAGTTACTGCCCAAGTAATCTTGTAGCTTCAAGGTAAAGACACATGTGTATCACCATCACAATTGATGGCTCTGTGTTTCTTTTCTGAACAGCAATTGCCCCCACATGTGCGCATCTGGGATTCTGTGACATTGAATACTCTCCACGTCATTGGAATAGGTTTTTTTGACCGAGCAGTCACCTGTATTGCATTCTCAAAATCTGTAAGTATGTGCCCTGTGGATATTGCTGTCTTCTTCCACAGGAAGTAGAGAATCAACTCAGGGTTGAAGAGGGGGAGTTGACACACTCGATACCTGCCTGGGTGTATGTACAGATTTGGACTCTGAAACATTCCTGCTTCCCAGAACCCCTCAGTCAGAGGTCATATGCATGTCTCATCAGGGACACACACTTCCTTCCAATCAGACATCTCCAGCCACATGGGTTTGGTGATGAAAACAGGCCCCCAGAGATATCGTCCTCACTTTCCTTAAGGCAGTTTATGTGCTCTGGCCTTGAATTTCACCTGCTTCTTTCAAGGGTGGCTCCAGCGTGTCTGTCTCTGCCATCCTGCTACTGGAAAGGGGTCCCGATCCAGACCCCAAGGGAGAGTTCTTGGATCTCTTGTAAGAATTCAAGGCAAGTCCATAGAGTAAAGTGAAAGCAAGTTTATTAGGAAAGTAAAACACTAAAAGAATGTCTACTCTATAGAGCAGCCCTGAGGTCTGCTGGTTGCCCATTTTTATGACTATTTCTTGATGATATGCTAAACAAGGGGTGGATTATTCATGCCTCCCCTTTTTAGACCATATAGGGTAACTTCCTGATGCTGCCATGGCATTTGTAAACTGTCATGGTGCTGGTGGGAGTGTAGCAGTGAGGACAACCAGAGGTCACTCTTGTCGCCATCTTGGTTTTGGCGGGATTTAGCCGGCTTCTTTACTGCAAGCGGTTATATCAGCAAGGTTTTTATGACCTGTACCTTGTGCCAACCTCCATCTCATTCTGTGACCTAGAATGCCTAACCACCTGGGAATGCAGCCCAGTAGGTCTCAGCCTCATTTTCCCCAGCCCCTATTCAAGTTGCTCTGGTTCAAATGCCTCTGACATTTCTCCCCTCCCTTTTATAAGAGAATCCTTAATCCTAAGGGTTGTAAAGGGACAAAGATCCATCTTCTGTAACTTCTTCGGGCTGAATAGGGATGATGATATTCCTGCCTAACTATTAGGGTCTCTTGTATTTGGGGTAGAGAAGAGCTCAGTCAGAAGACGTCAGTATGGCAAGGTGATATCTGGAAGATTATTAAGTGTTCAACTTAAGAAAACATTGAGTAAGCTTATCCTGCATTCCTACACAAAGAGTGCAACAGCAATATATTCCACAACAGTAAAACAAAATAAACAAAATTATCCCAAGTAAACTAAGTAAGAAGGCTTTTTATTAACTGGGCAACTATTGGAACCAAGCTGATATGGGGTCGCTAGCTGATTCCAGTGTGTCCAGAATTGGAATACTGATCCAGATATTTACATTACCCATTGCTTTTATTTCTTCTGAGCCGCAGTCAGAGATCACTGGTTGGTTCACAGGAATAAGCAGGGTTAGTTTAAATAGCAGAAAAAACTTAAAAACGACTGATGAAACTAGAATCTAATGACAAATGTACCATAGTTCTTGAAACATAATTTCTGTCTCCAGTCTCCCATTTTTACTAAAGACAAACCATAACAGGACTGATTAGTTTGGAAAAATAAGCCTTAGTCTTGTATACTTGGCTTGATTATTTGTATAAAGTGCAGCAAGAATAATTATTTTTCACATAGGCTTTTTAAATTGGCTTTGATGGAACTCTGTTCCATAAGGAATCTCAGATAAGACCTTTTTTAAAGCCAAGCCCAGCCATAGGTTTATATTCTCAAATACCTATGGGTTGGGTAAATTCCTCTCCTCTTGGGGGGTCCCAAGATAACTTGGGGCTCCTGGGCCTGTGAGAAAGTGACATTCTTTACTTACCACAGATCAGGAACCCTGTACAGGGACTGTGGAGACAAGGTACAAGGCCAGTTTCCCCCAAGGGGCTTCTATTGACTCTACAATTCAATTTGATTCCTTAAAGGAAAGCATGCCATTCCTGTGAAAAAAATAACCAGTTTCTCCAGTTGTGTCCTGTTACAAACAAAAACAAATTCTTTACAATTATGCAATTAACTATATTGCCATAAATTAAGAATACTCACAAATAGTTTCTAAATTCTGGAGAGATCAGGTTGAGAGAAACAAATATGCTTCAAATTTTGTTCATAGCAGTATACTTTACTTAATTGTTAAAAGCTCTAAATAGCTCAAAAGAAAAGTTTTCTTGTCTTTGAAAAAAGCAAAGGATCAGCAACATTTTAAGCAAAGTCAAAAAAGATGATTTCAATCTTCTATTAGTTTGGTTCATGCAGTTAACTCCTGTTCTGCTTGATATTCAGGAACATTTCAGCTCCCCATGAGAGTCCTGAAAGTTTTTTCCTCTATTCTCATGTTACAACTTTGAAAGTAATCAGAAACTTGCATTCAAGAGCACCTGTTAAAGGCCTATATCTGATTATAAGCCACCTTTTAAATAGGACCAAAACAAGACAAGAATTGTCTGTGGATGACAGAAAGTCTTAGGACAGCCACAATTAAAGCCACAATTGACAAGGAAATTTGGTTACTCCTGGAGCATACAATAATTTAACATAACAAGTACAACTATTAATAACATACACTAAGTCATATCAGAATTATAGGAGTTTCACCTAATTTTGGAACACATGCCAGTAACATATTTATACAAATACAGCCCAAAGAAAGCCAATTTCCTATTTGACAATGCTTCCTGTATGACTTTTATACCAAATAAGCCAAATTTCACCTTTACATTAGTGTACTATTGATGTTAAATATTCTTAACAAAATCTCATAGATAAATCTATTCATTTTTTTTTTTTTTTTGAGACAGAGTCTCACTCTGTCACCCAGGCTAGAGGGCAGTGGCATGATTTCAGCTCACTGCAACCTCCACCTCCCGGGTTCAAGCAATTCTCCCACCTCACCTCCCTAGAAGCTAGGATTACAGGTGCACACCACCATGCCCAGCCATTTTTTTGTATTTTTAGTAGAGACGGGTTTCACTGTGTTGGCCATGCTGATCTCGAACTCCTGACCTCAAGTGATCCACCCGCCTCGGCCTCCCAAAGTGCTGGGGTTACAGGTGTGAGCCATCGTGCCTGGCCAATGTATTCAATTTTAATCACTGTGACCATAAGGTAAGATTTTTATAAACCTTTTATTAATCCTTTACAATTTGTGTTGAAAAGCAGATCATTGCTCAGAGAAAAACCTGTTGTGCTTTTATTCCAATGTTTAATTTACAGAAAAACTGATTAATACCCCTTTAACTTTAGCCAATATGTTCACACAGAATTTCTTTACAAGATTAATTTCTCTCAAACTTTCGACAACTTGCTTAAACTTTGAGCTTTATTCTATCTAATTTAAAACAATAATTTAACCTTTTAATCTAGGCAAAAAAAAATCCACATTTCCATGCCTTCTTATAATCTATTACCAAAAGACATTTCACTTTCTTTATACACCTTACATATAAAACAGTTTTTATTTCCCAAAAATTACTTAATTCATGTGAACTGAAAGGCATTACACTTTTTACTTTTCTTACAAAATATTTGATTTAAGCTTATTATTATTATTACACCAATTAATCAAAGCTCTTTCATATATAAACATCACACACATAATACATGTAAATACACAGACAGAAAATAAAGGACTCATTCCCTAAGCCAGGAATTGAACCCTGATCCCAGGCTGCCACTGTGATGGCAGAGACCAAGATAAAGTACTGCCACGTGTTACAAGGTCAAGCTCCCAAGCACACGAAACAAGATAAGAGAGAAACTTTATCCAGTTTTTTTTCAGGAACCTGCCACAAAATTTATAACTGACCAGTTTGCTGTGCTACTTTGAACAGTGGGCTTATAGGGTCCTAGGCCCACATTCTATCCTATGGTACCCCTCTTTATGACAGAATGATATAGAAGACAAATTTATAACACAAAGCACAACAGATTTTCTACAGCTTAAGATTACCCTCACAAATCCTTTTTTCCCATTAATCAAAACTTTACAGGAGATAAATAGTGATTTTTACCATTCATTCAGCCAGTTTGCAGAGAGAGAGAGAGAGAAAGGCCAGAAGTCTGACTGGTAAGAAATTCTTACCATTTTGCTGGCATGCCAGGCTTCTGGGTTCCCTTTCCCTGAGGCGGCCCTAGTGATCCAGCTGGCTGCACCACAGCCCTAGGGGCCAAGCCACATCATAAAGGAAAATTATCTTTTTCTGTCCTGGCCAGAGCAAAATATGTGTGACAAAACATAGATATTAGCCATTCAGCTCAGCACCCAGCACCCAAAATCAAACTGGCAGGGCTCAGACATGCCCCTGGTCGGCCCCATCGTTGTTAATCCAGCCTCCAACCAGGAGCTTCAACTTACGGTCTCTGGGCAAGATGGTGGCCCTGAGTAATAGAAAACATAAGAAAGGGAAAAAGGAGAGAGAGAAAAGCATTCCCTGTGGCAGGGCGGGGAAGGTGAAGAGCTCAGGGAGGCCAGAGAAAGACCTGCCCACTGCAGTGACACTGAAAAGTTCAGGTGGCTGCCTGTTGATAACGAAGGGATCTTTCCCAGCAGTCCCGTCAGCTCTTAAATTTCCCCTTTTGGGGAGGAAAAAGTTCCCCATGTCCCATGATCTTGTACATGCCTAATTCTGTCACCCTTAGCCATCAGCAAAGAGTGCAAGGCAGATAAACCCAAAGATGATAATAGCAGTTAACGTCCCATAGTGCCAAGCCTGTTCTTAGCTGAAAAGGACTTTACTGAGAGGGACCTCTAACCCCCTAAATCTTAGGAAGGACTCTAACCTTCCTAAGTTGGGCCTGGAACCCAAGGTCTGTCTAGCGTCCTTGCCTTTTATTAAGAGGGGCCTTTAACCCACTCTGTCTTAGGAGAGACTCCTAAGTTAGGCCTCTAACCCAATCCCATCCTTTGCCCAGGTGTGTGCCCCCCCCTTACCCAAAATCAGCCATTCGGTGTGTACAGATGATTTTTCTTTGCATCAGGGGTCTCCAGTATCATCCCTTTGGGGTTCACCAGAAAGATGTTACCAGACCCCACCACTTACTAAAGTTAGCCTTTGGATTGGAGGTTTCCTCAGTATTGTCCCTTCTGTGGTCTCCAGAAAGATGTCACTGGACCCCACCACTTACCCAAAGTCAGCGTTTGGGTTGGGGGTTTCCTCAGTGTCATCGCTTCATGGTCACCAGAAAGATGTGATCATAAAGGGGTCCCAATCCAGACCCCAAAAGAGGGTTCTTGGATCTCACGCAAGAAAGAATTCTAGGCGATTCCATAAAGTGAAAGCAAGTTTTTTAGGAAAGTAAAGGAATAGAAGAATGGCTACTCCATAGACAGAGCAGCCCCGAGGGCTGCTGGTTGCCTATTTCCATGGTTATTTCTTGATGATATACTAAGTGAGGGATGGATTATTGATGCCTCCCCTTTTTAGAGCATATAGGGTAACTTCCTGACGTTGCCATGACATGTATAAACTGTCATGGTGCTGGTGGGAGTGTAGCAGTGAGGACAACCAGAGGTCACTCTTGTTGCCATCTTGGTTTTGGTGGGATTTAGCCAGCTTCTTTACTGCAAGCTGTTTTATCAGCAAGATCTTTATAACCTGTGTCTTGTGCCAACCTCCTATCTCATTCTGTGACCTAGAATGCCTAACCATCTGGGAATGCAGCCCAGTAGGTCTCAGCCTTATTTTACCCATCCCCCATTCAAGATGGAGTTGCTCTGATTCAAATGCCTCTGACAATCCCAACGTGGCTGGCGGGCAGCCTGGCTGCAAGCAGGGGTCGGACAGGGCCTTGTCATCTTCCAGGCTTCCTCAGGACGTGCTGGTTCAGCAGACCCACCCTACACTCTTTCAAACCATTTCAACCACTTCAGAAACCCATATTCACACACATGTGCACGTGTTCACATGAAAAGACCCCCTTGCACTCAGGCCCCCAGAGCCGAGGCATTGTGCAGCCCCACAGCAGCCACCTTCACAGCTGCTAACAGCCCCTGTGCCATGCCTGCTGCAGGCACTGTCTGCTCTAGGAGGGGCTCTTGTTTTCATGGAACCCAGTGGTGAAGAGACACCCCACTGGCCCTTCTCTTCCCCAATTCCTGTTTCTTCATTCCCCATCATTTACCTGCTCTTTCTGTCTGGTCAAGAAAGCATGTCTCAGCCAGGCCCAGTGGCTCAGCCAGGCACAGTGGCTCACACCTTCTAACCAGCACTTTAGGAGTCTGAAGTAGGAGGATTGCTTGAGCCCAGGAGTTTGTGACCAGCCTGGGCAACATAGGGAGATCCCATCTCTACAAATAATAATAATAAAGAGTAGCTGGGAGTGGTGGTACACACCCGCGGTCCCAGCTACATGGGAGGCTGGGGTAGGAGGATTGCTTGAGCCTGGGAGGTCAAGGGTGCAGAGAGCAATGATTGCACCACTGCACTGTGACCTGGATGACAGAGCAAAACCCTGTCTCCAGAAAAAGAAAGAAAGAAAGAAAGCAGGTCTCAAAAGCAATGGATGAGTATTCTTTAACTACAATGTAGCAGACTCTTTATTAAAAATGAAATTTGATGTTTATTTTTAATCATGTTCAACCCACTTTATTCTCAGATATAGTCTTCCTGTGAATAACTTTCTTTTCAGAATGGAGGAACCAATCTCTGTGCTGTGGATGACTCCAACGACCATGTGCTCTCTGTATGGGACTGGCAGAAAGAAGAAAAACTAGCAGATGTGAAGGTCATGCTCCAAGCCTTTTTTGGGCTGCATTAACATTTTCCCATTCAGAGCCGCCCTGGCATAGTGGTAGCCCCCTTTCAGCGGGCTCATTCCCACCCCAGCCCTTGTGTATGACGCCTTCACCTTAGAATCGTTTGGCCCCGATCCCTGTCCCATCATGGGACTTTGACCCCAGGTCCTGTTAGGGTTTTTTCTCTTTTCGCCATGTCTGTAAGATTGTTTTCTTCCTCATTTCATAGCCACTACCCTTTTAATTCATCCAGTCATGTATTTGCTGGCTGTTCCTTTCATTTGCTTGGCACACCCCGAGTGCCTGCCACGTGCTCGCACGGCACGTGGAGGCCCGGAAATGTGCTCAGGCGTGAGGTGGGCTTGCTGCCTGAGCCCCTGCAGCCGCAGGAAGGGCAGGTATGGGCAGGGGCCGCCAGCACGGGGGCTCCTCCAAAGTGGCACAGACTCAGGAAAGACCAGCGGGAGCCCCGAGCTAAACCCCAAATCCTTCCCAACAGGATTCCTCCTGCGAGGGGCCCCTTGGGACTTCTTTGACCGCCTCTAATCCGTTTTGCACAATATGTCAAATTCCCTTGCCTTGACTGACCTTTTTCTATTTCTATTTTCTATTGGAAGCCTATTTTTATAGACTCGAATTCAGATTTCTCATCTTTGCATCTATTAACCTTAGATAACCTTAGTCACCTAACTTTCTCTGCTGCATGTCTGCGAGGCAGACCTTGTATTCTAACCAGGTCTGTTCCCTGACACCTGTGTTCATTCCCTAGCCCCACCTTCTGATATTCTGGGCAGGTGTTTAAGTTCTTCTTGCTACGTTGCTAGGTTAGAAGGCATCAGAGGCAGGTTATTATCCAGGCTCAAGAATGTGTAACTGCATTATTAAATAGAAGCAGTGATCAGAGCCCAATCCAGTAGGCCAGGGTGCGGGTCTTGGAGGTTAGGGTGTGGGCTGAAGGTGGCGGAGGTGGCACCTGAAGTGCTAGATCTACTCCATGGGACCCCAGGCCGGTTCACTGAGCCACAGGCAGAGTCCCAGGAGTCAATCGCAGGAGGAACTCCCTGGGGAAACGGGCAGCCAGAGTCAGCCACGAACAATGGACCTTTGTAAAATCCATTCCAGGGCCCTCCCTGGAGATGACATTTACCAGATAGGGGGTGAGGCCTAGAGATCTGCATTTTACCATTTCTGGTGATTCCATTTGTTCGGCCAGACTGGGAACCCATGACTAGCAGATGAGAGCAAATGCTTGCAGTTCTGAAGTCCCTCTGGTCCCAACTCCCTCCTCAGCAAAGCATGCTGCATGCCCACCCCATGCCTGGCCCTGGGAGAGGCCCTGGCATAGACAGAGGACTCCTGGGTGCTCCCTGTCCTCAAGGGCTCATTGTCCAGTGGGGGAGACAGACAAGGAGGAGGTATTAAGGCCCACACCAGCATATGCTTGATGTTTTTAGCAAGATGGATTCAATGGGGGAAATAATAGGCATTGTGCTTGCCTTGAATTTCTTATTTATTTGTGGCTCACATTTTACTTGTTTTCCTACATGTCTCTTACGCGTCTTAAGAGATGTGAGGCATCCGAGTCCCTGTTTTTCCTATAGTGCTCTAATGAAGCTGTGTTTGCTGCGGATTTCCACCCCACGGACACCAACATCATAGTTACTTGTGGAAAATCACATCTCTACTTTTGGACACTAGAAGGAAGCTCCCTTAATAAGAAGCAAGGATTATTCGAGGTAAAGTTAAATTATGATTTTTGCTTTATTTTTCTCTCGTATATGTGATTGGCTAGATGCATCTCTCTGGGGGCTCTGGTGATCAACACAATCCCTTGGGATCCCTCACATAGTTGGGAAGCGTGTCACACCTGGTAGATAACGCTGGTAATGAAGTGAAGAAAAGGACAGAGCAAGCCTGGGTGGAGGGCAGGGAAAGGACCTGGACCCAGGGAGCACCAAGCCTCCCACAGTGGCACTGGCTGCAGAGAGTATCAGAAGATGAAGTCATCGGGAGGCAGGCAACCTGCCTTTGCAAAAGACATTAGAGACTCCCTGTGCCTTTTGTCTGGACGTTGTGGGGCTGCGAGAGCACCAGGGGACAGCACCTTTTCCCGGGGGTCCATCTGCCACCACCTCCCTGAGGCTTGTTTCGAGGACCCCTTTATTCTGGTGCTCGGACCCTGCCCTTTAGGCTGACAGCATAGCCCCACCCTTCTCCCCGGTCAGTACCCTCCTCCGCTTGCTGTCTGCAGCTTTATGATTCCCCAGCCACTTGGGGTTGCTAGAAATCGCTTTGTCTTAGAGCAGTTAATCTCACAGCAGAAGTTATGTAATAGTAGACAGAAATGCAAGGTGTGCAGGGTGGTCACAGAAGCTGACACTATCCAGCTTGGGACCACTGCGAATCTAGATGTTATTAGTACAAATGAAAGGTTGTCTGGAATATATATATGTTGTATGGATTAAATATATATATAATTTTTTTACTACATTCTACAGAAACAAGAAAAGCCAAAGTTTGTCCTCTGTGTGACTTTCTCTGAAAACGGTGACACCATTACTGGAGATTCAAGTGGCAACATCTTAGTATGGGGAAAAGGTAATAAGTGATTGTTCCCAAAACCAATGGTTTTTGGTAATGTTGTAAGAGATCAAACATGAGTGCTTTAAGAATTGTCTATTAATACAACGTACAGGAGTAGGATGAAATTTCAAGTTACAGAGACACACACATACATGTGTGCATGTGTAACTTGAAACCACAAAACTAGAACAGAGGAAAAGCGGAGAATAGTAAGAGTTACTGACCTTACAGCATTCTGAAAGGCTCTTTAAGCCCAAGCTATTATGATGGAATTAAATAGCTTTATTAGGAAATCCCCTGACAGATTATGATGAAATTAATGACTACTTATAGGTCTGTAAAATATTTAAGTTACTATCCTGATTTATCTAGCATGTGGCAGACATTTATTGAAAGCTAATTATGTGCTAGACACTGTGAACATACAACTGAGTCAGACCCAAATCCCCTGCTGTCTGTGAGCAAACAGTTTGCTAAGGGAGATGATGCATCACTCAGAAAGCATGCGTCCAGTTAAGTCCAGTGAGCATTTATGAGCACTTACCCCGTGACAAGAAAAAAGGGAAAATCCACCATCCCTTTTCTCAAGGATCTTAGAGTTTGAATTGGGGCTGAAGGTGGAGACGGACTTGTAAATGCAATTTCAGAAGCATTGGTGACATTTCCAGTATCCCTGCTGCTCTTGGCTCTAGGTGTCTTATTCACTGCTCACTTAATCCTTAGAACAATCCTGCAGGGTAAGCAGCAGCCCCATTCCACCAAGGGGGAACTGAGGGTAGAGTAACTAAGCAATTTGTCCAGAGAAACAGCTCACTAGAGAGCTGGGATCTAAACTCAGAGCCCACGTTCTCAGCCGCGTGGTGCTTCAACCATGCGGCTTCAACAATGCATATTTTCCTTCATTCTAAGGTAACCCATTTCATGCTTGTCTGGTGCTCTGCGAACGTCTAGAAATTGGATCCTTCATAGATTCATATTGCAATGATGTGCTCACGGACAATATTGCGTTTTAAAACCTAAGTCAGATGAGATTAGAAAATGGGCAGAGGCAACCTTTTGACAATGTGCTAATGATGGTTTTCTTGGTGTGTTTAGGTACAAATCGAATAAGCTATGCAGTTCAGGGGGCCCATGAGGGTGGCATTTTTGCACTTTGTATGTTAAGAGATGGCACACTGGTGTCGGGAGGTGGGAAAGACCGAAAGCTCATTTCTTGGAGCGGAAACTATCAAAAACTTCGTAAAACGGAGGTAAGTCATCAAGGCTACTGCTAAAATTTGTTTTTAACCTTAAACTGTTATCCTTTTTTTATTAGTTTGAAATCTGTATCTTACAGTTTTGAAAATTGTTTAGGTGAAATCACATTATATGGGAGCAATGTATTTTATTAAAATCCTGAGGCAGGTTAAATATAACTAATAAAATAGAATTAGGTTTATAAAACTTGAGGTTGTAACACACTTCATATTTAGAATATTTTTATTCTCAATTTTCCAAGGGACTGTTACCCACATTTTGATTTATTATAAAAATCTGTCTTCTCTTTTAACTTTTTCTTTTTCTTTTTTTCTTTCTTTCTTTTTTTTTTTAGAGCAGGGTCTGGCTCTCACCCAGGCTGGAGTGCAGTGGTGTGATCACAGTTTACTGCAACCTCCCCCTCCTGGGCTCAAGTGATCCTCCCACCTCAGCCTCCCAAGTAGCTGCGACTTTAGACACACACCACCACACCTGGCTAATTTTTGTAATTTTGTAGAGATGTTGCCCAGGCTGGTTTGGAACTCCTGAGCTCAAGCGATCCTCCCACCTCAGCCTCCCAAAGTGCTGGATTACAAGCATGAGCCACCACGCCCAGCCTCTTTTAATTTTTAATTTCTAGCATGTTATTTTGGAGACATTATTGCATTGAGTGAACTAGTATTTGTTGAGTATCTACTTCGTACATGGCCCTCAGCTAAGTGCCAATGTGCTCCCTAGGGCTGTGACTCCTTTTGATACCCGGTGTACCTCCCCATTATCTACTTGGCAGCCCTGCATTCCGGTAGGCACCAGAGGCAAGATATTTAATATTCCTTCTGCCCACTCAGTGAATTTTCTCCCCCAGGTTCCAGGAAATCGTGAGCAGACACTGCAAAATTGGCCTCATTCTGAAGGGTGATGCTTTTCATCCCTAGCTTAGAATGGACAGACTTTAGGACTTTGAACCCAGATACACACAAAACACTTATATTTTACATCAGAGAGCAACATGGCACCACCCTCTGGCAGTGTGAAAATTTGGTTCTGTTGATTATTTCCCTTAATAAAGGAAGATCTTCATCTGAGCTTTGGAAATCACTTCCCCTTGCCTGGAGATTCTGTTGTGAGAACATTTTTAATAATAAGATTTGACCAGCATTTGGTTGAACATATTGTGAATTGCTAGAGTCATAGACATGCCCAAGTCATATTATAACTGTAAAGAAAGCTCCAAAGCCCCATCTAATTTCATAAAAGCTATTCACTGTTTGTTAGTATCTGATTCTTCCTCATTAGCATGGGTCATCATCAACTTGACTCAAATCTGTGCTAACATGCCACACTGGAGAATGTGTGAGGGGAGGCTGCTTCTTTCCTGGAACGGGAGAGCCTAACAGCAACCGCCAGGGTCAAGCTGCAGCATTTGTTCTTTTTATAGTACAAGAACTTTGTTTCTTCATCATAGCAAATTGTTCTTAATGGGTGTATTTTGCAATTCTTTCTCTTAACATTTAGATTATTCCATATGTTTATGTCGATTTTTAAACTGAACAGAATGACATTGCCAAAGAACTTACCATTTTAAGTTGTATTATGGCAGTGTTATTATTATTATTATTATTAATTATTATTATTTTCAGACAGGGTCTGGCTCTGTCACCCAGGCTGGAGTGCAGTGGCGTGATCTTCAGCCTCTGCCTCCCAGGCTCAAGTAATTCTCCCACCTCAGCCTCTTGAGTAGCTTTCCAGCTACTACACGCACCACCATACCCAGCTAATTTTTTTTGTATTTTTGGTAGAAATGGAGTCTTGCTATATTGCCCAGGCTGGTCTAGAACTCCTGGGCTCAAGCAATCCACCTACCTCGGCCCCCCAAAGTGCTGGGATTACAGATGTGAGCTACCACACCTGGCCTATATTCTTTACTTTCTGAATTGTATCTACTGTTGCTATCAGAAATTGTAAAAAGTAAAGAGAAAACTAACCAGTAGCATTCCTTATTTTTAAATTTTGTTGAGGAAAATGCTTTTTCTTAACCTCATTCTTGCTGATGCTTCTAAGATATATAAAATGTTTGTAGTTTAAAAATAAGGCTTAGGGTTTTGATCACTCACTCAACAGTTGGCTGTGGTATCTGTTTTTTTGAGATGGAGTTTCACTCTTGTCACCCAGGCTGGAGTGTAGTGGCGTGATCTCGGCTCACTGCAGCCTCCACCTCCTGGGTTCAAGTGATTCTCCTGCCTCAGCCTCCCAAGTAGCTGGGATTACAGCCACCCACCACCATGCCCAGCTAATTTTTGTATTTTTAGTAGAGACGGGGTTTCATCATGTTGCCCAGGCTGGTCTCCAACTCCTGACCTCAGGTGATCCACCTGCTTCAGCCTCCCAACGTGCTGGGATTACAGGCATGAGCCACCAAGCCTGGCCAGCTGTGGTATCTATGTGAAACTCTCCATATATATGTATATACAACATATATATTTGAACGTACATTATATACATATGTGTATATAAAACTGTTATAGGGACTATCATTATGATAAGTGTTTTGAATGACTGAGCTAACAACTGAATGAAATTGTACATCTTTTCTTTTCATATGACTTTTCAATGCAGATTCCAGAACAGTTTGGTCCAATACGGACAGTGGCCGAGGGGAAAGGCGATGTGATCTTGATTGGCACAACTCGAAACTTTGTCCTGCAGGGCACTCTGTCAGGGGACTTCACACCCATTACTCAGGTACGATCCCACTCAGCAGGCCCGGCAAACACTCTCATTTTGCATTATATCAGACCCTAATCAAGCATTACAATCAGGTGCTTTATACTACGATAACCTTCCTCCACCCCAGAGTGTCTGTGGCTGCTGAAAGATGGGAGGAGAGAAACTGTTGAGAGCAGTTATGAAGTCAGCATGAAGCCTCGGTTCGTCATCCCTTACGGCTCCTGAGTGCGAACTGTAGTATCTCAGAGCGCTTCTGTTTGTCTTGGTTATTTGTAGGGTCACACTGATGAGCTCTGGGGACTGGCCATCCATGCCTCAAAATCTCAGTTCTTGACCTGTGGGCATGACAAGCATGCCACTCTCTGGGACGCTGTGGGTCACCGTCCCGTCTGGGACAAAATAATAGAGGTAAACATGCACATTA